>NC_000006.12:38241818-38544848 GCF_000001405.40 Homo sapiens
TTCGTGGAAGGAAACAGTCTAATAAATGGCCTAATGAACAGTGTAATGATTTTTTTTAAGTAGGCAATAGGAAGGAAAAGGGAAGAAAAACAGGCTAATATACTCTACAACCTGAATAATGAACCCCTAGATAATCTAGATTTGACCACTGGTGTAGAAGCTATACTTTTAAAACCAATTTTAAAGTATGAATTATGATACAGCTAATAGGCTGGACAAATTAATATTCTGTGGAAGTAGTACTGACAGCAAGGTAGGGAATCATATAAAAATAAAGGTGGATTTCTTTGTATCCATAGTCTTCATCATACTTCTGGAAGGTGGATAGTTGACTTGTACCTTTATGTGATTTTAAAATCTGAAGTTCATAGCCTCCTTGGGTTGGGAAATCACCAGTCGTCCCAGGCACAACATGAGCCAGTAGCAGATGGGTAGGCTCAAAATGCATCTTTTCAGAAAAATTTCCCTAACTCCATCCCATACTCTGATAATGTTTATATACTTACAGTACTTACATATCTGATTTTTCATGTTTACTGTGGTCTTATAGGCCATGCAAAATTCTGGGAAAAAGGGACTCAGAATCAGGAGACCTGAGTTCTAATCCAGGGCTTGCCATTAGATGAGAACTTGGGAAAGGCACCTGTGACTGCTGTCTCATCTGTAAAATGGGAGGCTTGGGCTATGATTTCCAAGGTACTTCTACCAGTTACAGTATTGTTTGATTCTAGGATCTTGTTTTGTATTTTACACTGTGTGTGCATATGTGTGTGTGTACACAAACAAGATGGTTCCCAAATGTTCTGTATAACCTGTAAGTTCCTTCATAGAAGAAATGTCTTCCTGTCTCCTCAGAATTTTCCTTCACAATGTATTAATAGTATGAGCCTCTACCTACTAGGGTCACTGAACAAATATTAGACTGAATCAAAGTTGTGCATTTGACTACAGACCTACAGAGATGACTCTGGGAAAAGCTGCTCCTATACTTCCAAGGGGATAAATCCCAATGTACCTTGAAAAATGGCTAGATTTTTAAAAAGTAACCTTTCTCCTGGACTAGGCCCTTATTTCTTCCCTTTTCTGAAACAGACCCAAGAAACAGTAAATGTATCAAGTTATATGCATGCCAATTACAGTGGACATTCACATAATGGAGCAGTCACTTGTGTTTGGGAGGAGAAAGATCAAGGAAGAACTCATAGAGCATTTGGCTGGGTCTTGAAGGGAACACTGAATAGGTGGAGACTTGAAGATCAGCCAGAGCAAATAAAAATAATTAGCTTACCTAAAGCATGGGCTCATTTAACAATAGTGATTAGGCCAGGCTGAAAGGAAAGTAGGAATATAAGGACTGTAAAGAGAGAATTACAGAAATAAAGGTTAGAAAGTCTGGTTAGAGTCAGAGAGATATGGTAATTTTATATTTGAAATCTGGACATGTGGTTTAACAGGAGGCAGGATATTTAAAAATGAGATGTTTAGGGAGAGCTGGTCATGTAGAGATAGAAGATGACCCAGGTAAGGATCGGAGGCTTTCCTCACTGAAGGTCCCTGTACAGGGATTAAGAAATCACAGCAACGACAACCTAGCAACAGTGTTCTAGACTCTAGTACAGCAACAGACGTAGAGTATAGAAATTCTCTGCAACAGTATTGAGGGAAACTCACTAGAAGCTACTATAAATACTCCAGGAAATAAGTATGAAGGTCTGAATACGAATGGAGGCAATGGGAATGGAAAAAAAAGATGAAAGGGTATAACAGAAAGGATATAGCACCTGAATGACTGTGGAGGGCAAAGAAGAAAGACTCAAAGGGGTAAGAGATGCCCAGGGGAAGGGAGCTACAACAACAAAAGCAGGGACACCAAAGGAGTGGAGCTGCTTTATGGAGAATGACAATGATGAGTTTAGTTTGAGACAAGTTGTGTTTGAGAAACCATTCTAGAAGGTGCCAATGGAAAATATGAATGAAAGAGACAGCTGAAGCCAAGAGAATGAGCTAAATGGTGATTCTGTGTGCATGCTGGACCCCTGAATTCATAAAAATGCCCTTTTCCTTCTTCTTTTTTAAACACAGGAAGAAAACACGAGCCTCTTAGTTCTCTGGGATAGAGCTGAGCAAGCGTCAATCATGGTATAATTACCAAAACAGAGCCTTCTCATTAGATCCAGAGGCTGGCTGCTGACTTCTGATTATAATTTAGTAAACTGAGGCAGGTCACTTTAAGAAAATAAGATCAAAACGACCATGCCTTTCCTTTCTGTTACCTTTATTCACTGACCAACAAATAGGCTCTACTTTCCTTTTTTTGCAGATGCCCATGCTGACTGTTACTGTGGTGCCCGCTGCTCAGTTTGCTTACCTACCTTGGGATCATGTGACTGACAATGTGCAGCAGGTCCCTTGTCTGTACACCCATTTCAGGGGAGGGGTTAATCAAGACTTGGTCATGGTAAGGGTGCTGACTGAGCACCTCTCTGGATGGTGGTAGGCTGGACCCTCTGCAGCCATCCTGAGACCATGAGAGGTACAGAGAGCTCTAGGATTCCAGAGTGAGGTCTGTTCTGTTGAACAGACTCTTTCCTGCTGGGAGAGGTACATGTGATGCTCTGGCAGGCAGTTTAGAGTCCCTCTTCAGAGTTTAAGTTTGGGCTTTTTTTTTTAACCTTTTACTCTAAAAATCCAGAGAAGCAATTGAAACATTAACCAGACGAACTTGGGATTTTAAATCAAATCAATTTCTGAACTGAAAGGGGCACAGCTGGAAAAGAGTTTTAAAAGCACTTGGCCCCTCCATAAAAATAAACTTTACTCTCTCTAAGAGTGGTTAAAAATAAAGGTAATGGACTTCCAGCCAGTAACCAACTTGAAGTGATAAACTGTTACCAGGGGATCCAAGTCACTAACGTGAGGGGCAATGATAGATGTAAAAACCAAAGAAAACTGAGCCTCTGGCAATACTGAATTAAAATTTGTGGAATAATGCTATAAATGAGCCAAAGATGACAGATCAATAATGGGTTAATAAAGAGAAGTTAGGAAGACACATGTGTAGTTTACAAGGACTACATCACCATGGGCAAATCTTATTCTCTCCCATAAACTCTTCCTTGCGCTTTATGTGACAGCATCTGAGCTGGAATGGGCAAACTTCCCAATTGGGCTTTGTGACAATGACACCTCCAGACAGTAACAAGACAAATGAAACCAACATGCATACGTGACTGGAGACAGAGCAATGGCACGCATGCTTCTATTCATTCAGATCAAGTACATACTGACCCCTACAAGTGTTAGGTGCTTGCTAGGCTACTACTATGGATCAAAGAGTGAGTAAAACACCAAATCCCTGCTCTGGAGCTTACCTTCTGGTGCAAAAGAACAGTAACTTAACAGCCATGCTATGAATGGGTAATTGCAAACTGCAACAAGGGCTGTGAAAAAAAGTAGCTTGGTTTTATGAGAGGGGATAACACAGTGATTTGATCAAGATGGGTGGTCAGGGCAAACTTTCCTGAAAAGTGGCCCTTGAGCTGAGAAGGGTAAGTGGGGGTGGTTAATGAGACAAAGGGCAGAGGGTGGGCTCCAGACAGAGACCAGCATGGCATGCGCAAAGGCTCTGTGTGAGGACAGAGCATGATGGATGGTGGGAAAACAGAGGATGCCAGGGAGATGGGAACAGGGAGAGGGATGCAGAGGGAGTATGGAGAGGCAGGGGGCCAGATTGTGCAGGGCACTCTAGGCCACGCAAAGAATTCTGTTCTTGATTCAGAGAGCAGCAGGAAGCAGTGCAGGGTCCTAAGCAGGACGATACTAGAGTTGTGCTTGAAAAGTGCCACCTGCCTATAGTAAGTAAACTCATGGGAGGGCACAGAGGGAATGTGGGGGGGTCAGTCAGTAGAGTGGAGTGGAACAGGTAAGTGATGATGGTAGGTGAACTAAATGTGATCTTGATTTATTTTTAATCATTTGGAATATAACATTAATAAGAAAGTTATTTCCATAATAAAATAAAAATTTCTGACCATGTACATTTTGTGTGCTCACACAGCTCACTGAGAAAGTTTTATTGAGGTATGCTTCATTTTTTTTATAACAGGCATGGAAAAAATTATTACCCTCACAGAATAACGTGGCTCCTGGGTTAAGTAAGAAAGAAGGAAATAGGAGCTCTCAGATTCTTCTTCCTGATCATTTGCTACCCAAGAGGACTTCATTTCCTTCTAGCTCCTTTAACTTCCAAATGTTCTGGGTAGAGAGGAGCCTCCCACTGGGGGTCCACAGGATCTGCTGGCAGCTCTAAATTTAGAACTCAGGCAATTCACATACTTAGCATCAAAATCTACTTTCCACATGCCTCCCAATGTTTGGGTAAATTTATAATAAAAACTTCCTGCAATACAAAAGATAAGTCCCCTTTAAATGTGCAGGTATGACTGGCTGACTCCTTATTGCTATTTTCTATTCTAAAATAAGCATCAGCTTTAGGTACTTCATAACCCCATAAACAAGTGTGAGTAACTGGTGTCTCCAAGTGTGGCCTAACGTATAGATGACTTCTATAGGGCAAGCCTGCTGATATCTCATCATTAACACAAGGATCTGCCTAGGGTCAGACTTGGCGCACGTGCACGTACGTGTGTGTGTGTGTGTATTGTCTAAAATCTGCTATTTTCTTCATTTTTCATTTTTTGAAACCATTCCTCTTACAGGTACATGTTTCTTCATTGTTCAAGTTCTAAAGCTCTTGACAAAATTAACACCAATGTTTGCCCTTTAAAAAAAAAAAACAGAAAAGAACATGACTGGCTTTTTTCATTACTGTCAAATGCTGTGTAGAAAAACGGAATTAAGTATGAAAAAAGAAAAATAAAATCTTCATCGAGCATTTCAAAAGTGACAATTACACAACCAGAACTCATTAATTGGTTCACGCTTCTAGAAGGAACAAGCAAACATACTCCTCCAACCTGGTAGGGCAGAAAAATCTGAGGACAACAGCCCTGTCTGTTATTACCAATATGGGATTTATGCGACAGTCAAGTGCTTCAATCTTCTTGGAAACTAACACGTCACCCAACTATGAACTATGTCTCATCATCATTAGTATCAATGAGGAAGACATTTCCTCCTTTATATCCTGCTTTCTTTCTGTTGCATCTTATTTGTGACATCAAGTTCTTTACACAAAACTCCAAATCACATGGTTAGCAGTGACCTCCTGGAACCAACCCAAAGTTTTTGTTAAGTGTGAGATTAAGAAACAAAGCAGGCAAAAAACAAATATCAAACCTTTCTCAACATTGTCACTAACAATGGCAAAGAAGATGTAAAAAAAAAAAAATCACAGGCAAAGTAAATTGTCTCTAGATTTAAATGTACCATTTTTCAATCTTGCTATACTTTGGAAGACTTTACTGAGGCTATAACTCTCCACCTTTAATTTATCCTGTTGTCCTCAGCCACTGCAGCACTTAGAAGAAGAAATATTTTCCTCTTTCTACCATTCCTAGGGA
Source organism: Homo sapiens (assembly GCF_000001405.40). Classification (NCBI taxonomy): domain Eukaryota; kingdom Metazoa; phylum Chordata; class Mammalia; order Primates; family Hominidae; genus Homo; species Homo sapiens. Next base: position 38,247,341 of record NC_000006.12, read on the forward strand.
ATAAATAGCAGATACAGAAACAGATCCCAGGACTAAGTGGCAGTGCATTCAGCAAGGGGACAGACAATGCTTCTCGGATATGAATACAATCATGCTGAAGACCAGGCAGCAGATGGGTGGACTCCACACATGTCTTTCCAGGTGACAGGGAGACAGTCAAGGTGCTTCTCAGGGAAGGCACAGGGGAGAAGCTTCCCAACATTAGGTTGCTGTAGAGATTGCCTGCTCCAAGGAGGTGCTCTAACCTGCCAAGTAGGCCAGGGCCCTTGGAGAGGGCAAACTCAGATGGGAATGAACTTTGGGTGTCCCAGGGAAAGGCAGAAGAAAGTACTCTCAGAGAAGCGGGCTTTAAGGAGCCCATGGAGAGAAGCATAAGGAAAATGTAGCTGGAGTGTCCTTTCCAGGGAAACACAGCTTTTGTGCTTGGGCTAAATGGCAAGGTTCTGAAGAGCTGCTGGGATATTGCTATGTATAGCACTTAATTTTGTTGATTTACTGCTGGCAGTGAATAAACCATGCCACTCTGCCAGCATATGCTACTCAAATAATGGCAAGGACAAGCATCCATAAAACACTTATGGCTCTAGCAAAAAAAAAATTTTTTTTTTCAAGTAAAGTGTTTTTAGATTTTAAAAGAAATACATGTAAATTGGTCAGAAAAATGTTGAAAATTAGAAATAATTTCCGTAATCCCTTATACAAAGTCGACCATTATGAATATTTTGGCATATTTCCTTTTGGCTTTCTTCTTCCGTAATTCTTTCTACTTATGATAACACTTCTATAATTTTGTACACGCTTTTTAAAAATCTTAGGTATTTCCTTAAGTTATTAAAAAAACTCTTTGCAGCATCATTTTTAATAAACACCTAGATTGGGGGAAAAATTTACTCAGAAGGGAATTTAGATGATAAATCTGGCAGGAAATAGAAAGTTTGTGATAAAATTAGAAGCTAAAAGCTAGAAAGACTAGGTAGTTCCATATTAGGACTACAGAATTCTCAAGTGGAAAAAGAAAGTTTTCATTACCTAATTCTTTTTATCTAATCGTTTGTATTTGCCAAAATGTTTGCGAGGGGCACAGTTTTGGATAGATGATGGCTGAAGTCACTAATACTTTGGCAGACAGAATTACTATTCAACGGGACCATGACAAAGCAAAGAAATTGTTTAAAAAATGAATGCAAATGAGGACAATACGTGAGGGAGTATACTCTGACAGGAAACAAGACAGCTATATAACATGGCAGAGGCACAGCCAAGCACACGAAAGGTAAGGAAAATGACTTGGGGTCACTGGGGACTATCAACAGCTGACTACAAGTCAGCACAGGCCGTGGTGCTTTTGGGAATTCAGGTCCAAGATGGCTGACATTGTAGGCACAGTTCGCTCTCCCTTCCCGGAAACCACTGACATGCCATCAAAGAAATGCAAAGAGAATACATTCAAAAAGGTTGCAAATTGGAGAGGACATTAGTAAATGAAAAATCTTGGTGAATTTCGAGAAAATGATATGCACATGAAATATTACTCATTTATAAATCGAGGAGAACTGGGCAGATTTCCATACCGAAGCAAACTGAGCAGGATGAATGACAAATGACCCACATCCAGCCATGTCACTGTGAAATTTGAGACTACCGAGGTGAAGAGAATATCCTAAAGGCTTCTATAGAGAAAAATAAATTACTGCAAAGAACATGAGTCAGACTGACATCAGATTTCTCATCTGCAACATTAGATACTAGAGGGCAATAAATCCAAGCTGTCAGACTTCTGAAAAAACTGAATTCTATACCCAGTCAAACTATGATTCAGATATGCTGGGGTTCTGAAAATTTGTTTTCTATATCCCTTTTCTGAAAAAAATTACTTATAGATTTGTTCTCTGCAATCGCCATGAGTGATCTTCTTTCTTTCTTTCTTTTTTTGAGACAGGCTCTTGTTCTGTCACCCAGGCTGGAGTGCAGTAGTGTGATCTTAGCTCACTGTAACCTCGAACTCCTGGCTTCAGCAATCCTCCCCGCTCAGCGTCCTAAGTAGCTGGAACTGCAGGTGTGTGCCATGATATCTGGCTAATTTTTTTTTCACATTTTATTTATTTGGTAGAGACTGGGTCTCACTATGTTGCTGGGGCTGGTCTTGAACTCCTGGCCTCAAACAATCCTCCTGCCTCAGCCTCCCAAAGTGCTGGGATTATAGCAGTCTTTTCAACTAAATGTTTAGGCTCAACAGACCCAAACAAGCCATAATTGGCTTCAGATTCACCTAGGACACAGAATGGGAAACACAGCAAGCCCCCAGGACAGCACCAGGTATTTCTTCCCTTCGGGAGTCTTTGTAGCAGTCAACACAACTGTCTGGGAGCTATTCTTTTTGGCCTGCAGGTGACAGCTCAAATAAGAGCATTAAGAATCAAAAAAAAAAAAAAAGTATATAAGACTCAAGGAAAAAAAAAGAGTATATAAGACTCAACAACGGGTAAATGTGGAGCTACTCTGGCTTAGAAGCTTCACATTCCAAATAGAAACTAATACTTCTTGTGACAGCTCCATAAGCACAGATCCCAGAATTACAAGGAATAAGCCCAATTACAAAAGTCTCTGCACTCAGGGAAGCACAAGGATCTATAGTTTCTGACCAGATATTTACAGTTCTCCCAGGCCAGATGCAATTTACCATTCAGGGGTAATTTTTTAAAATCATAAGCAATGTTGCTTATAACGCAGCAGACATTCCACTACCATCAGGTTTTCAGGGGAACAGGTCTAGAAAAGTAACAGGGGCCCAAGGTCAATATCTTAAGAAAAGGGAAAGGGGTTTTTTTAAAACTGTTTACCCACATTCCACAAAAAGAAAATGAAATTGAGGAAACAGTGTTACTAATGATAGGAAAGAAGAAGAAATTTTAGGATTGCAGACATAAACAATCTGTTCAAAATCAACCAATGAACAAACAGTATGCTTTAGAAGCTTCTGCAACGGAAAAAACTAATCAGGAACTTCAAGAAAACAAAAAGCTGTCTAATAGGAAGCTATTTAACATGTGGAATAATTCTGAGCACTTGTAAGAAAATCTAATCTGTTTCATCAGAACAGTACAATTCTTCCAAGAGGGGAACAAGTTTACTGACATATTTCCCTAACTCTAGATCCAACCAATTACTAGATCTGTCATGAACAATGTTTATATGATCATTATATTTTAATGAGTTCTTAGTGTTTTTCCCTTTTCAGGATCAATTTATAGTTAACATATAGATGGTTTAACTATAAGTTACAGAACAAAAAATAACTATCACAATGTCAATATAGTAAAGCAGCTAACAGAAGATGAGAAGTAGAATGGGAAAAATGAGGGAAATGTAGTGGGTGGTAATTTCTTCATCAACGTAGTAAAGAGTCGAGAAATATTGTCTATAACTGATGGATTAAAAAACAGAAGTTTAGGCCGAGCGAGGTGGCTCACGCCTGTAATCCCAGCACTTTGGGAAGCCGAGGTGGGGGGATCACAAGGTCAGGAGTTCGAGACTAGCCTGACCAACGTAGGGAAACCCTGTTGGTGAAACCCCTCTACTAAAACTACAAAAATTAGCTGGGTGTAGTGGCGTGTGCCTGTAATCTCAGCTACTCAGGAGGCTGAGGCAGGAGAATCACTTGAACCCAGGAGGCACAGGTTGCAGTGAGCCAAGACCGCGCCATTGCACTCTAGCCTGGGCGACAGAGAGAGACTATGTCTCAGAAAAAAAAAAAATAATAATAATAATAATAGAGGTTTAAGTATATTGTTTAATTTTAAAAGATAAATACTAACAGAACTAAAAAAACATAACAAAAATGAGGAGTGGTTAAATGAGCTAAATTTCTCATTTGTTTTATATCAAGGAGTTAGTAAAGTTGTTAAGTTAATAAAAGAGGTGTGATTTTTTTTTTTTTTTTTAAAGATGGGCTTGCGCTCTGTCGCCCAGGATGGAGTGCAGTGGCACAATCTTGGCTCACTGCAACCTCCGCCTCCCGGGTTCAAGCAATTCTCCTGCCTCAGCCTCCTGAGTAGCTGGGTTTACAGGCACGTGCCACCAGGCCCAGCTAATTTTTGTATTTTTAGTAGAGACAGGGCTTCATCATGTTAGCCAGGTTGGTCTCGAACTCCTGACCTCAGGTGATCCACCCATCTTAGCCTCCCAAAGTGCTGGGATTACAGGTGTGAGCCATTGCGGCCAGGCTGCTTTCTACCATTTTTTTAGTTTTTAAAACTTCTCAACTATAAAAATATTTCAGCCAGGTGCGGTGGCTCACGCCTGTACTTTGGGAGGCCGAGGTGAATGGATCACCTGTGGTCAAGAGTTCAAGACTAGCCTGGCCAACATGGTGAAACCCTATCTCTACTAAAAATACACAAAATTAGCCAGCCGTGGTAGCATATGCCTGTAATCTCAACTACTTGGGAGACTGAGGCCGGAGAATCACTTGAACCCAGTAGGCGGAGGCTGCAGTGAGCCAAGATTACGCCACTGCACTCCAGCTTGGGTGACAGAGTGAGACTCTGTCTCAAAAAAAAAAAAAAAAAGTGAGAGCTTTTAAAATAAAGGGTGCAGGTCAAAGGGTACAGGATTACACTGTATGAAGAAAGAGGGGTAAAATGTAATTTTAAAAAATTAGTCACTATAAAAATGGAGTTATCTATAATAGAAAATGACTGCTTATCCTGAAAACAAACCAAGAGAAGCTCCAACTATAGCAGACTTAGGAGAACTATGGAGGAAAATATCCCACTCCTGGAGCAGAGAGACTAACAGAGACACTGGAGAATCTTATTTCCCAGGGATTTTTCAGAGGACAGCAAAAATCTATGTTTTGATTTCTTGACGAGGTAGAATGCTATCAAGAGGCGGAGCTATGATCTTTCAAAACTCCATATAATTTCATTTATAACCGCACGCACTCTGTTTCAATAAAGAGCAGACTACAATTCTTGAAACTAATAGAGTCCTCTCTTGAGGTCTGCACTGTAGCATATTAGTTAAAAAGAAAAACCTTTTGCCTTTTATCATTTACATATCTTCTATATTTCTTAAGACCTAACTTTAAAAAGGGAGGTACAATACATTCAAGTTACGCCTATAAACATAAAATCATAACCTCTGGTTCCATTGATTCTTACAAGGTTAACAGGCATATTTGCCTTCTTATTACTACTTTTGTTCTTCTAATGTATTATTTATTTATTAATTTGTAAAACAATGCTATCGCATCTAAGTGCTATACAAAGTTAAAAACATATAAATTATTTAAATCCACCAATGAAAAAAAATTTAAAGAGAGAAAAAGATGTTGGTAATTTAATGCAAAGCTACTAGAAGAGGATCTAATGAGTGAACAAGACTTTGAAATCAAAAAAGTCCCCATTTAACTAAATACAAAATGAATATGACACCTACCTGGTCAACAGTTAGTCAATCAGCTCTTGTTAAAAACCCACACTGGGCCGGGCACTGTGGCTCATGCCTGTAATCCCAGCACTATGGGAGGCCAAGGTGGGCGGATCACCTGAGGTCAGGAGTTCAAGACTGGCCTGGCCAACATGGTGAAACCCTGTCTCTACTAAAAATACAAAATACAAAAATTAGCTTGGCGCAGTGGCACACACCTGTAATCCCAGCTACTCAGGAGTCTGAGGCAGAAGAATCACCTGAACCTGGGAGGCGGAGGTTCCAGTGAGCCGAGCTCATGCCACTGCACTCCAGCCTGAGCGACAGAGTGAGACTCTGTCTCAAACAACAACAACAACAACAACAACAACAAAACACCCACATTGTATAGCACCTTTGTGTTAGTCCGTTTTCATACTAGTATAAAGAAATATCCAAGACTGAGTAACTGATAAACAAAGAGCTTTAATTGACTCACACTTCCATATGGCTGGAGAGGCCTCAGGAAACTTACAATCATGGCAGAAGGCGAAGGTTAGGCAAGCACCTTTTTCAGAAGGCAGCAGGAGAGAGAAGAGTGAAGAACTTCCAAACACTTCTAACACCATCAGATCCCATGAGAACTCACTCACTATCACAAGGACAGCATGGGGGAAACTGCCCCCATGATCCAGTCACCTCCCTCAACACATGGGGATTACAGGTCCCTCCCTCAACATGTGGGGATTATAATTCAAGATCAGATTTGGGTGGGGACACAGAGCCAAACCATGTCAACCTTTAACAGAGGGACATAAAAGAGAAGAGGAATCCAGTTTACAACAATAAATGACAAAAGAGACCTGTGGTGGGTAAGACATGTACAAGATGACAAGCTTTGAGGAAGTACAAGGTCTGGTCTGGGAGCTGTGGACCCAATAAGCAAAGACTCTGGAAAGACAAATGCATAGTTGTTCATGGGCCGTGGAGGCCCTCGTATTGTATAAAAAGGGTTCCAGGAGCTTGGGATAAATTAACCACTTTGTTTCCCCCTTTTCATCATCTAGCTCGGTACAGTCCTCTTTAGCAGTGTTTTGAGTCCTAAGAGGCAATATGGTATAGTGGCAAGAAGCTGGATTTAAATCTCAGCTCTGCTTCTGGAAGAAGAGGCTGAGATGGTAACAAGATCTGTGCTCCACTGGGAAGTGGCTACCCAACCAGGAACTGACTACATTTCCCAGCCATAGTAGCATCTAGTATGTCAATGTGACTAGTTCATCTCAGTGGCATGTGAGTGGAAGGCATGTATGCTACCCCTAGAGCAAGGCTTTTCAGAACTAGGTGTACCTTCTCTGTTCTTTCTCCTGCCAGCTAAATGTGGCTGATGCTGAGGAGGACCTAGATGGCAGAACAACAAGAAAGAAGCTGCCTCGGTTCCTGTCACTTCTGGGAAAATCACTTAACTAGGAACACACACACTGACTGTCCCATGACTGAGAAATAAACTGTTGTATTAAGCCACGGAAATACTGAAGCTTATTTGTTACAGTAGCAAGAGTTAACCTAACCAATATATATATGCTGATAATTACTACAATAATAATGGTGATGGTGTCAGACATTGCATCAAACAAGCCATCATTAATACTGTTAAGAAATCTTGGCCCAGCCTAGGCAATATGGTGAGGTGCTGTCTCTACAAAAACAAACAAACAAACAAACAAACAAAAAAAAACAATTAGCTGGGCACAGTGGCATGCAGCTATAGTCCCAGCTGCCTGGGAGACTGAGGTGGGAAGATCACTTGAGCCCAGGAATTTGAGGTTACAGTAAGCCTTGATTGCACCACTGCACTCCAGTCTGGGCAACAGAGTGAGACCCTGCCCCCACCCCAAGTAAGCACATGAAAAGATGCTCAACATCATTAGCCATGAGGGAAATGCACATGAAAACCATAATGATATGCTACTTCGTCCCTACTAGGATGGCTATGGTCAAAAAGATGGGCAATAGCAAGTGCTTGTGAGAATGTGGAAAAATTAGAACCCTCAGCCATTGCTGGTGGGAATGTAAAATGGTGCAGCTGCTGTGAAAAATTTTGGCAGTTCCTCAAAAAGTTAAACGCAGAGTTATCCGATGACCCAGCAATTCTACTCTCAGATATATACCCAAAGGAATTGAAAATATATGTTCACATAAAAACTTGTACAGGAATGTTCATAGCAGCATTATTCATGATAGCCAAGAAGTGGAAACAACTCAAATGTCTATCAACTGAAGAATGGATAAACAAATGTGGTATATGCACACAATGGAATACTATTCAGCCATAAAAAATGAAATTCAGATATATGCTACAACACGGATGAACCTTGAAAACACTATGCTAAGTGAAAGAAGCAAGGAACAAAAGGTCACATACTATATGATTCCATTTATATGAAATGTCCAGAGTATGCAAATCCATAAAGAAAAGACAGAAAGTAGATTATTGGATGCTGGGGCTGGGAGAGTTGGAGGGAAATGGGGAGTGACTGCTAATGGGGAAGATGTTTCTTTTTGGGGTGATGAAAATGTTCTGGAATATTAGAAAGCAGTGATGGTTGCACAATACTGTGACTATACTAAAAACCACTCAATTGTACACTGTAAAAGTGTAAATTTTATGGTATGTGAATTATATATCAATTTTAAAAAGAAAAATAAAAAGAGAAACGCATTTGCTCCACCTTGCCTCTTAGAGATTCTGGCTCTACACAAAGAGGTACTGATCTCTTTTCATGTACCATGATGCTAGGCTGCTCAGAACCCACAGACTCCTTCCTCCTATCTTCTGCTGCAAGCAGACAAGTCTAAACAGCCCCAGTGCCATATGCATTAAATGCCTCTGTTTGCATGTGGAGAAATAAGGTACAAGGCTTTCCTTAGTTTGAGTAACAGCATAGTTAACGAGATGAGATAAATAAATATTGACGCTAGCCCTGAGAATGCTATGAGTGTGGGGAATAGGATAGAGCCCCATAATAACTACTGAAGTATGTATTGCTTCAGCAAAGTTCTCTAAGGAAGAAAACAATCCTAAAAAATGTTCTCACTCATAGGTGGGAATTGAACAATGAGAACACTTGGACATACGGTGGGGAACATCACACACACTGGGGCCTGTCGTGGGGTTGGGGGGGTAGGAGAGGGATAGCATTAAGAGAAATACCTAATGTAAATGATGAGCTGATGGGTGCAGCAAACCAACATGGCACATGTATACCTATGTATCAAACCTGCATATTGTGCACATGTACCCTAGAACTTAAAAGTGTTAAAAAAAAAAAGTAGTGTGGGGTATGGTGGGCATGGCGGGGTGGGGGGTCTGAGAGAGGATTGCATAAGGAAAGTTTTTTCGCTATTTAGGCACTCATGTCATTTTCAAAAGTGTGAGTCAAATTCACACCACAGAATAGAGAAACCCTGTTTGGTGACATCAAGTAAATTTCATATAAGTATTTAATAGTCAAAACTGAAGAGAAGATCACTGGAGTGTGTTTTCCACCTCCAAATAAGAATGTAATTTGGCGATTCTATGAATTTTCTTTTGAGCCTCCCAATCCACTGGGAAGACTGTCTTTTCAATAGGAATAAATTCCTGAAAAGACACAACTTACTTGCAGGAGACTTTAGTTCTGTCAGCAACCATGGTCCACTGTTGCTGGTTGGTAGAAACCTCAACGTAGTAGCTATAGCTTCGATCATCACAATCCCAAAGTAGTAACCTGAACAAAGGGAAAAACATAAGATTGCTGTAAATGTTTTAACTGGTTGTTTCTTTAGGTTGTGGGCATATCCCTCCCACCCACCTCCTTTGTTCAGCACATTTCTAGGACTGGACAAAGAAGGTGAATCCCAAAAAAGTATGAAGAGAACAGGCAGAGTCAGTCTGCAGTGAGAGGCTTTTTATCTTTAGTTCTTTTCACAAGTCCCCCAATCCCAGGCAGGCTCTGCCCCACTGGTGGCAAAGTTCTTTATACTGGTTTAGTAGAGAGATGTCCCCAGATCACCTTTCCAGCTTCTTCTAGCTCTCCTCTCCAGTTGGCTCGGCTGACCACTGCTCATGGGAGAAACTGTAATTTCGAGTTGATTTTTATTTTTATTTTTAGAGACAAGGTGTTTCTCTGTCACCCTGGCTGGAGTGCAGTGGTGTGATCAGTGGAGTAATCACTTGTGTAAACAGTGGAGGCTCACTGTAGCCTCCAACTCCTAGGCTCAAGTGATCCTCCCACCTCAGCCTCCTGAGTAGCTGGGACTATAGTTGCACACTTCTTTTTTTTTTTTTTTTTTTTGGTAGAGGCACAGTCTCACTATGTTGCCCAGGCAGGTCCTGAACTCCTGGCTTCAAGTATCCTCCTACCTTTGCCTCCCAAAGTGTTGAGATTATAGGTGCGAGCCACCGTGCCCAGCCTAATTGATTTTTTATTTTTAGAGCAAATTTTCACCCTGCTGCCCAGACTGGACTGCAGGGATATGATCATAGCTCATTGCAGCCTCCAACTCCTGGGCTCAAGTGATCCTTCTACCTCAGCCTCCCAAGTAGTTACAGGCATGCACCACCATGCCTGGCTATTTTTAAATTTTATGTAGAGTCAGGGTCTCGCTATGTTGCCCAGGCTGGTCTCAAACTTCTAGCCTCAAGTGATCCTCCCACCTCAGCCTCCCAAAGTGCCAGGATTACAGGTGTGAGCCGCTGTGCTGGTCTAATTGATATTTCTTATAGTATTCTCTAATTGATGATAACCCCATCACCTTTATTATCGTGTTTTAGTTTCCTTCTTATTCTCACCAGGATTTTTACATAGCTGTAGTAGGATTATCTGATTTGGAGATATAGGCAAATATACATTCATTTGCAAAACTTTCATTATTTAGAAATTGATTACCTTGGTCCTGTTCTTATCCCCCTTTTCTGCCCAGATAAGAACTTAAGCATTAACTGTGTAATTCCATTTACATGAAGCTCAAAGCAGACAATTTATCTGTTGGTGACAGGAATCAGAACAGTGGTTAGTTCTGGGGGAGGTATCGACTAGGAAAGGGTAAAAGGGAACTTTCTAGAATACTGGAAAAGTGCTATTTTTGATCTGAGTGGTAGTTACACGGGCATAAATGCATGTAAATAATCACTGAGCTATACATAAAAGATCTGTTCACTCTGTGTGTGTTATTCCTCCATTAAAAAAAAAATATATATGTATATATATATTTTGAGATGGAGTCTCACTCTGTCTCCTGGGCTGGAGTGTAATGGCGCGATCTCGGCTCATTGCAACCTCCGCCTCCCGGGTTCAAGTGATTCTCCTGCCTCACCCTCCCGAGTAGCTGGGATTACAGGCATCTGCCACCATGCCCAGCTAATTTTTGTAGTTTTAGTAGAGATGGGGTATCACCAAGTTGGCCAGGCTGGTCTCGAACTCCTGACCTCAGGTGATCCACCTGCCTCAGCCTCCCAAAGTGTTGGGATTACAGGCATGAGCCACTGCGGCCGGCCTAAAAAATAATTTTAAAAAATAATCTGAGCATTGCAGTACAGGATTAGTGTTTTGCTTCTGACAGTGCCACAGGGGAGACAGATATTGTTTTGTATTATTTCAACCTTAAAAGTCCTTCCCATACAAACTATGTGTTTTACTGCTTTATAGTTGGTCATATGTGTTTGCTTCTTCTACCAGCTGGCATAGATAGTGAGCTCCTTGAAGGCAGTGTCTACGTCTTACTGATTTTTTCTATACCATTCACATAATGTCTCACATGGAGCTTAAACTCAGTCAGTGCTTGCTGAGCAAATCTATTCTTTGTAACTACAGCAATAATGGCCGGGCGCAGTGGCTCACGCCTGTAATCCCAGCACTTTGGGAGGCCAAGGCGGGTGGATCATGAGATCTGGAGATTGAGACCATCCTGGCTAACACAGTGAAACGCCGTCTCTACTAAAAATACAAAAAATTAGCCAGGCGTGGTGGTGGGCACCTGTAATCCCAGCTACTCGGGAGGCTGAGGCAGGAGAATCGCTTGAATCCAGGAGGCGGAGCTTGCAGTGAGCTGAGATCATACCACTGCACTCTGGCCCAGGCCACAGCGCGAGATTCTGTCTCAAAAAAACAAAAAACAAAAAACAATCAATAATAATGATCATGATGGCCAACATTTCTTTAATGTTAACTGTGTATTAGGCCCTATGTTAAGTGCTCTGTACAATTCGTCTTATTAAAATCCTTCTAAATATCCTCTTAGCAAGCACTATTATTATGAAATTACAGATATTGAAAGTGTGAGGATTAAAGCATGTTAAGTAACTTGTCTAAACTCATACAGTAACTAAGTGATGGAAATGATACAAGGTTCTAACCTGGTACCTTCACCAAAAGCCCATTTCTGTAATCCCACTGCCAAATGTTTCCATTACTCTCAGTTTACATATCTGGTTCACAATTTACAACCTCTAACCTATCACTCTATAAAAGTAGCTTGTATTATTTTCCCTTAATCTTATGATTATAATCAGTGAAAATCCTTTGCACAAGTTCAGTTTAGTATCACATATAAAGCTATTACTGAGGACTAGGATTGCCTGTGTTTTCCGTTTTCCTTCACCGTTACCTTTTTTGTTGTTGGGGAAGGTTGGGAGGACAGCTTCTCTCTCTGTTGCCCAGGCTGGAGTGCAGTGGTGCAATCATAGCTCACTGCAGCCTCAAACTCCTGGGCTAAAGCAATCCTCCTGCCTTAGCCTCCCAAGTAGCTGGGATTACAGGCACACACTACCACACCCAGCTAATTAAAAAACAAACAAACAAAAGATTATTTTGTAGAGATAGGGTCTCACTGTGTTGGCCAGGCGGGGTCAAACTCCTGGCCTCAAGCTACCCTCTCGCCTGGCCTCCTAAAGGGCTCGCCTTCCCTTTCATTCCTTATTTTCTATTGTAATTCTGTTTGCTATCAATTACTAAACCCATGCTACCTAATATTTTTGAACTCATCTTTTAAGTAGAGAAAACTGTTAAATGGGTTTGGAAAGCATTAGTAGATGATACCTACTGATTCTCTTTAATACGCCTGAGTGTTTAATCTCTCCAAGTACCCTGAATGAATCAGAAAGGATTCCACTCTGTTGTTCTTAAGTGGCCCAAAATTCTACTCTTAGATTACACTAATTTTCTTATAAGAACGTGAATCATTTCCTTCATTAGTCATTTCCTCAAATATTATCCTAGTCTGTAAGCACTTTTATGCAGTCAGCCTATGCTAATTTATATTTATTTTGAGTAACTTTTAAAAGTGTATTTTTTGCTCCTATGTTTGTCTGGTTCTTATTTTGATTATAAGAACTTTAGAAAGATGTTTGGTCTTTCTCTTTTTAAAAACTCTGCTTCAAACATGTAGGCTCTGTTCATGGCATATGTTCCATATATGTTCTGGATTGAAATCATTCGTAACTCTGACACAGTAGAGTAAAACTAGGGGAAAACTTCAAATCAATTAATCATTCTCTTCATTTAACAGTTCTGTTACCATAACTGTTGTTGGAAGATAATGTTGAGGTTATTTTCCCCAGTGGGATTTTTAATTATTTATGGAGAGCTAGGTTTATCATATTCCCTATCCTTCTAGATAATCATAAGCTAGTGTTTCTACAGAGGACTGAAATGAAAATGGTCAGTCCGTTTTGGGATAGAACCTAACCACATCTCAAAACATTTCATGGAAAATGACAGCCTTGAAGAGGATATGGGATATGGAGAAGATAAAAAAAAGAAGGATAAATTATGAGTATCATATATGTTCTAGTAGATATTCTTGGAGTGATAACATATTTGAGGAAAATTTTAAGTTGTATATATCATGCTCTGTAAGTAGCTTATTCTATAAAAGTCCTCCAATTTGTTTCAAGGCAAATTATTATCTTAAAATGAAGGTAATCTGAAATTCCAGTAACTTTTAAAACATATACACACAGTGCATATGGTTTGTAACTTGCTACTTTTGCTTAATGGTCTATTATGAATATCTTTTTGTAACATCAAATATTCTTCTACATCATATGTACTGACTTCATAGTATTTCACTGTATGGATGTCTCATACTTTATTTAATCAATCTATTATTATCTGACACTTAAGTAGTTAATATTTCACTGTTATGAAAATTCTTTTTTTTTTCTTTGGAAACAGGGTTTTGCTTTGTTGCCCAGGCTGCAGAATGCAGTGGCACAATCATAGCTCACTGCAGCCTCAATTTCCTGGACTCAAGTGATCCTCCTGCCTCAGCTTCCTGAGTAGCTAGGACTACAGGTGCACACCACCACGCCCAGCTGATATTTTTTTTTTTTTAATTTTGTTGCCTAGGCTAGTCTCCAACTCCTGGCCTTAAGCAATCCCTCCACCTCAGCTTCTCAAAGTGTTGGGATTAAAAGCATGAGCCACTGAGTCCAGCGTATTATGAAAATTTTGTGATAGACATTCTTAAGCTAAATCTATGATTATTGTCTTTGAATGATTCTGTAAGTGAAACTCCTGGAACAGGGCATATAACATCTTGAGGCTTTGATGTATATCATAAAATAGCTGTATACTTCTATTCCCCCCAACCCCAAGCAAAAATCTATACCAATTTATATTAACACTACCAGCACTGCATAACAAATGCCTGTTTCTGTGCATCATCACCAATATTATATATTATGTTTAAAAATACTGCTAATTTGATAGCTGAAATATCTTATTAATCTGCAATTTTTAACTTATTGAGCTTGAACATTTTACCCATTTTCTACTTATATGTATCTTTTTGTTAATGACTTACAAAATGTCCTCTATATTTAAAGGATATTAATCCACTGCCTATCATAGTTTGCATGCTGAAGGTATTAATTTTTATTAGCCTAGTCTATCGATCTTTACCTCACTAATTTATTCTGGCCTAAATTCTTTTTTTCTGAACAGCAGCCAAGTGCTCATACTGGTTGAGACATCCTCTCTCTAGTCCTCTATTAAGAGTCCCCAGGGACTGGAGATGTGGGGTCATGGTGACTCCTGAGTGGAAAAGGGACACTGACGGATCTCAGGTCATCGAGCCTAGGGCTCAGACTCAACCTACATGTTGAAGTTTTAAAGAGGACTTCTAACTCATGCCTAGGATGCACATTTGCTTGGAATTTAGGCTTAGCCAGGAATTAAACCCCTTTGTTGATTTGACTGAAAAAAGCAACTGCAGCTGAAGAATACTAAAGGAAAAACTGATTCAACCTCTGCTTTTCCATTGAGAGGAATTTTGCTCTACCAATTCCCTTCACTTCTTTGGCTGCCTGCAAAGTGTATTCTTATGTCTTTGTGCCTGCAACAACAGAGAGCTATTTCTGACTTGTAAACTAGCTGGGAATGTTTGCATGGTGAGCTCATCCAGGACAGACACTCTCTATGACCTTAACTGAAATGAGCTCCTTAAACATACACAGCACACTTCCACCCATAGATCAGAAGCCATTTTCAAAAGGGGCTGAATAAAGGAAGTTGCTGGCCAAGATTTATTGATGCAGATCAGGTCGGTGTTTAGCTGTTGCCACAAACCTCTCTAACTAATGAGCACAGCATGAAATGCCTGGTGATATTATATATGTTGTCTCCTCCATCTTCCCTTATTCTCATTGTGCAGTTTCCCTAAAAGCAGTGAAGTGCTGGGCTTTTTTTTTTTTTTAATTGATTAGCAGATGTGATTTTGCTTACATCTTCCATAAATGCTCTGGCTGGCTGCATACCATTGATTACCAGGGGTTCAGTTTACAGCAACTAATTGCTCTCCTTGCTGGTATTTTGATACAAAATTCAATAGCGAATATGTTTTCAAAACTCTTTTCTTTGTGGCTTGAGTCAGAAGTGACTCAATGCAAACCCAGTGGACTGAGGTTTCCAGTCTTTAAAATAGTTGCTCTCTCATCAGTCTGTGAAGAAAGTTTCCAAATTGTAGCATTTTAATTGGAAAGTCTACATTATGCATGCGATGACAAACTATGTTGTGCTGAATGGCACTTTTTTCATCCTTTTCTTAAGGGATTAATACTGTGCCAGATTGTGAACAATGGCTGAAGTATAACAGTTGAGGTCAACAGCTTCTCCACTGAATTGGTGCCTTTTAGACCAGAAGCAAGGGCCTGTTTTGCCTGTTTCTAACTGTCCATCATTTGTGGGAAATTCCACTGGAAGGCCTGGGACCATAATGCCACTGTTGCTAAATTTTCTCATTTGGGTGAAAACCAACTAAAGGAAGATCAGCAACCAGGATATTAGTGACAGTGCAATAACTTATGATCAAATCCATTCCTAATCTTTCAGTTAAAGTGAAAGATACTCCTGATCTCAAAAATGTATACAGTATATTCTTTGGTAAAGATCCTTTAAGTTCTTCAGAAATAATTGTCTTCCATTCAACAATTCAAAAAATATTTACTGAATAACTACTCAGTAACATTAGGCAAGTCACTTTACTTATACTTTGGTTTCATCCTTTGTGACATTAAATGTCGAGATTTGATGGCTTCTCAGCACTCTTCCAGTTCTAACATTTAATATTCTGTTATAGCATATGCAGAGGTTTTTTTGGTATGTCTGTACATTACACAGTAACTCCTGTCTTTGACAACTCTTTCCAGCACAACCTCAAGGTGGACATGGGAGATTCCTGAGCTCAGTTTATCCTCTGGACTTGGAAGCTGCCCAATCCATGCTGGGCTAATCAGATTTCCTTTCTCAAAAATTTAGAATTATGTGAGATTCCAGCCTAACGTGCCCTGTTCACTTAAAATGAGATGATGAAAATACAGGCATTCTGGGGTGAGTCTCTTTGATCACAGGCATACAGAAGCAAAGAAAGATACCTGCAGTGAGAAGCAGAGACCACAGGCTGTGCAGTCCAGGGAGGGCTACCTGGGGTCCCGACAGATTCCAATGTCTGGTTTCAAAACCTACTAGGGCCCTCCGAGTTTCTCCTCTAGTATTCCGTGAGAAATCTTCTAATCACTTAAATAAAGTTACCATTTGCGGCTTAACCTATCTTTACTTGGTTTCTGTTACTTGGAACTAAAAGGGCCAAAGATAAGCTCCTGGTGGAGTGCACTGGACAGAAAAGGTACGCAATAAGAGTAGATGTTATGGCAGTGAGGATAGCAATGATACCGTGATGGCTACAGGACCAGAGAGACAACGAGGTAAAGAGCAGGGGTGGTGGGAAACCTCCCTTATGATGGCAATCTTTTCGTTCAATTATGAAAGAGGATTCTATGTAGAAACGGAGAGCGGTAAGACTGTGGTGTACGGTGGCAAGGCAAAACAGGCTTTGGAGTGGGCTCAGTGGCATCAGTGGAGCTGCAGGGAGAGAGCCTTGCAAAGATGGAACAATCAGTGTAGTTTATAACTCTCCTCAGCGGTGGCACTGGGGAAGCAGGGCCAACAGTGACAAGGAGGATACAGGCCAGGGTCAGAGAACGAAGGGCCAGGAAAAGTAATGACCACCTGTAGGCTTCTGAGGAGGTAAGTGGGATCAGAGATGGTAGACTAATGTTCAGAACAGAGAGAGACTGGAGGTCATGATGCAAAGAACAGATGCGGCAGCTGTAAAGGTGAGGGAGAGAGGTAAGGAGTTGTGGTGACAAAGGGAAACTTCAGCACTTTCACCTAATTCGGAAAAGTCCAGTTCCTGCTCCTCTGGATGAGAAGCAGAAAGACAAACAACACATTAGGGTCCCTATTCTAATCTCTGCTACTGAGGGGCAGGAGGGAGCCTGTAACAGCTTCCAGAAGGAATTAATACAGCTTCAGAGAAACAACTCTGCCGGTGAGAAAGAGGGACTTTCCCAAAGATGAGAGGGCTCCTTATCGTCAGCTGTCACAGGGTTCGATGACGTGGCTTCACCCTCAGGTGGGGAGCAAGGTCCAGCTGAGAAGAGCTGCTGGAGGACGCTGAGTCCAAAATGAGATTCTCAGCGGGAGCCTAGAGCCCAGTAACCATGTTTTCTTAAAAGTGTGTGAAGTAGACCAGGCGGCTGCCCTGCAGATTCCAGACATGAGAACCCCTGAGGTGTTGCCACTGCAGAGGCCTGCCTCTGAATGGGCCACGACCTTTCAGGGCAAAGGGAACACCAGTCTCCTAATAGCAGGAGGAGGGAAAAACTGGCTGCTCATCAGATGGAATGGATTCTGGGGAAATGCATTAGTCAAAGGACATCAGAGAGTCTACCTACTGTCTCATAATGTTTAATCTCTCATATCTGGGACGTGGAGGGTGATTTCTCTAAAAGGGGAAGAAACGATGGCACTGATTAACAATATTCTCTTGCAGGTAGCCAGAGAAAAGGCAAGCAGAAGCTCTCGGGTGTGTGGCATATGTAGTTTCTGTGTTTAGTCAACTGAAGTCCAGGATTACAAAAATGTGAGGAGGTGGCAAGTATACATTTTGGCTCCACTGTGTAGGCTGGCTCATTGAGAAAGGGGGATATTTAAGGAGGGATTTTCTTTCTCATGAAATCTTATATTTGATATAGTATAATTATTTATTTATTTATTTAAAGCCCACATACCATGAGAAATATAGTATAATCTAGGTATGTTATCTGAAAGTGGAAAAATATCAATGGAGAATATGCCTGGAGGATATAACTGTGGAAAGCTGGATGGGGCAAAACTTTCCAAAACTTGGAGACAATACAAAACTACCAATCTTTTTTTTTTTTTTTTTTTAAGACAGGGTCTCAATCTGTTGCCCAGGCTGGAGTTCAGTGGCGTAATCTTGGCTTACTGCAACCTCTGCTCACTGCAACCTCCACCTCCCGGGCTCAAGTGATCCTCCCACCTCAGCCTCCCAAGTAGCTGAGACTACAGGCACTCGCCACCAGGCCTGGCTAATTTTTTGTATTTTTTTGTAGAGAAGGTGATTTGCCATGTTGCCCAGATAGGTCTCAAACTCCTGGGCTCAAGCGACCTGCCTGCCTCAGCCTCCCACAGTGCTGGGCTTACAGGCGTGAGCTACCACACCTGGCTAAAACAACCAACTTTTAACAGCTAACTAAGACCATCTTTTCACTTCTTAGAAAGATTAAGTTTTTAACTTCAAGTTTTAGGTGATAACATAAAAGCTAACACCACATTACCAAATACATGGCTGCAGCTGCAATATTCATTAGATACTGAGTGTGGAATGAATGGTGAACAATTAATCATAGTCCCACCTCACATTCACACAGTCCTCACTAGTTTCAAAATGTTTTTGCATACATTATCACATTTGGAAAAAAAACAATTTATAATCAGCACATTTCCTGCTTTCAACGCAAATCTATTTTCCTAAGTTTCCTGGTTAATTTTCTTACATGGGCTAAACACTGCCCAAGCAATCTTTTACAGATTATTTAATCACTTGACAAACTCTTTTTTTTCTTTTAACAAATAAATTTTGCCCCAGGCTTATGATCTAGACTTCATACTACACAGTCCAATTTAATGAAAATTCTCAGCCAGGCACGGTGGCTCACACCTGTAATCCCAGCACTTTAGGAGGCTGAGGTGGGTGGATCACCCGAGGTCAGGAGTTCAAGACCAGCCTGGGCAACATGGGGAAACCCCATCTCTATTAAAAATACAAAAATTAGCCGGGCGTGGCAGCGTGCACCTGTAATCCCAGTTACTCAGGAGGCTGAGGCAGGAGAATCACTTGGACCCGAGAGAAGGGGGTTGCAGGGAGCCGAGATTGTGCCATTGCATTCCAGCCTGGGCGACAAGAGCAAAACTCAGTCTCAACAAGAAAGAAAGGAAAGAAAGGAAAGAAAGGAAAGAAAGAAAGAAAGAAAGAAAGAAAGAAAGAAAGAAAGAAAGAAAGAAAGAAAGAAAGAAAGAAAGAAAGAAGAAAAAGAAAATTATCTCATTTTATGCTTTCAATGTGGAAATATGATAAAAATTTGTCCAGGCCAAACAGCCCTTGAGAAGAAAAGCATTCTTATATTTTGGAAAGTGACTCTAATACAGCCCCTTCCTTAAGCAAAATGTTGGCATCAAAAATATTGGGAACCCCTCAAATGGTCTTATGATATTTTAAAAGGTGAAGTCACAATATGTTACAGACCTTTTGGGCAGTGACACACTAGGCAGGTATGCAGCTTTTACGGATCTTCCCCCGTGTTTAAATTTGGCATCACCAATTCCCCTCTCCAGCAAGGCCATCTGCCTTGATCCCAGCAGCTTCCTCCTCTTGATGAATATATACAATCAGTGAGATCAGCCTGATTTGGTTCACCGGCAGGATCAGAAAAGGATGTGTGAGAGGCAGAAATGCCGAGGTCCTGCCCAGACGATAGGGCTTAGCTCCCAGGCATCAGGTCCAGCTGGCTTTTAGCTTCATTTGCTAGGAAGGCTATTACGGGCTGTTGTGAATGTAAAAGGCCAGAATCAGTTTCTTCTGTTAATAGCTGAAGGCAATATGCATTTGTGTGAGCTTTTCTGTTCTCTGTCCTCAATTCTATGAAATTATTAGGAGGGCGATAAGAACAGACAGACACATTAAAGAGCTCAAAATGTACTAATCTACAGCTGAGTGTTAAGAATTCTTGGATTTTTACTTAACATTTATGACTCCTGTGAAACAAAAGGCCCCAGTGTGGGCCTTCATCCAACAGGTAGGGGAGTAGAGTCACCTTGGCTCCAGGTTCCCTGCATAACACCATCCAGTGGCCCCTCCCTTCAGCTTTTTGGACCAAGTCCATTCAGGAGAGCCCACTGGATCATGCTTCTACAGTGCAGGGACCACGCATGGCTAATGACCTTGGTATTTCCCAGCACAATGCCTTACACATCATAAGCTCTACTAAGTTAAACCGAAGGAGAGGGGTCGGGCACGGTGGCTCACGCCTGTAATCCCAGCACTTTGAGAGGCCAAGGTGGGTGGATCACGAGGTCAGGAGATCGAAACCATCTCTGCCTAACATGGTGAAACCCCGTCTCTACTAAAAATACAAAAAATTAGCTGGGCGAGGTGGCAGGCGCCTGTAGTCCCAGCTACTCGGGAGGCTGAGGGAGGAGAATGGTGTGAACCCAGGAAGCAGAGCTTGCAGTGAGCCGAGATCGCACCACTGCACTCCAGCCTGGGTGACAGAGCGAGACTCCGTCTCAAAAAACAAAACAAAACAAAACAAAAACCGAAGGAGAAATGAGGAGCAGAAGAGGCGAATTATGATGGAAAGAGGTGAGGCAACTATAGATACATCACTCCTCTCAAAAAACCTGGGTCACTTATTCCTGTACAATATCTTCAGTGTTCTATAGAATGAATTATGTTTCAATGCAAAAACAACCTCCCCCAGCCAGTACTTCACCCCTAGCCCCAACACCATTTTGGAGAGTCTCACATAAGTGATAATTTATGAAAAATATCCATTCTGACTGCTATTTCATCCACTGAGCTTATTCTCCTGCCCATCCGCTGAACACATGCTAATAGGTGCCCACACGCACAGCCTACAATGCACCAAGAAGCAGCGCCAAAGAGAAATTTAATAAGTGCCATGGCTCCTCCCTGTTCCCTTGGATCAAGTTTTCAGAAGAATCCGTATCTGTGGGAGAACTCACAATTTAGCTACATGCAGATCTTTGTATTCTCTTGACCTGGTGATAAAGGGAAAGAACAGAAGGGCAAAACAGGTGGGAAGGCTCAACTCTGAATATTACAGTCAGGAGGATGTTCCAGCAGGGATGAACGACCGGCAAAACTCTTCCTGTTCAATCACGTAATCTCTCTATTTTTGTTCTTACCAAATCTCTTCTCTGGTCTCTCTTAACACAACCAGTACTATTTTCCCACACCTCTTTCTCTTTCTTCTCAGACTGACCTTTTCACCCAAATCAGATCTGGGTTTCAACCTTTGCTCCAGCTTTTAAATCATCTTCTTTTCCCCACAGAGCACAATCTACAAAGTCTTGAGCTCTTGCTAGAAATGATTTTAAAACACTTGCCTATCCAATTCAGACCTCCTTCAGACTTACTACCAGCGTGAGCTGCGACTCGTTCCTCCTTCAGGTTCTCCCTTGGCGAACTTACTACTGCCCCTCTCCCACTGCATTCCCAAATCTGTTTATTCCGGTGGGCCATGGACAATGAAATGCTGTCTCTCTATCTACTTGTCCTGGAATTTCCTCCCTGTTAGTCCCTCCTCTAATGGACTTCTTTCATGAAATAGTTAGTGAAGGCTCTCACATGAAAACAACTACCCTCTAAAACACAAAACAAAACTATAATAAGTTGCAAGTGCTATACAATTTAAACACTTAGAATAAGTACATTTTTCTGTTTGAAAGCTGAGGTGTCTGATAAATCATAATTCTCTATGTGGTACATGACTTACCATTAAAAAAGAGAACATTAATGAGAAAAATAATAGCAACATCTCCACCAGTATATAAAGGTGAAAATCCTAACTACCAACTATAAATTCTTATAAACAAAAGATAATTAATCAATTTAATATGTAACTGTGTGATAAATCTTTTGAAGAATGGTGAGAAGCCAGAAAAATAAAGCAACATTTTATGTATTTTTTTTTTGTAGCAGCTAGAGGAAAAAATGGCTCATTAAGTTTTTCAGTGCAATTCTTTTGATCACTGGCCACTCAGTATAGTTTTCTTGATCCAGGTCTTCAAAGCTGGGATCACAAGTTTTAATTCAAACGTTTTCAGCTGAACATTAATAACGCTGGCTTTCCTAACTGCTAAACAGCTGTAATTAAACCAAACTGGTGTGGGTCATAGGACCAAAGGCTAAATGGGCAGTTGCTTTTTTTTTTTCCCTGCGATCACCTATACTGAACAGGAGGCCCAGGCAAAGGCTCTGCAAAGGGAGGGTTTGCAGTTCTCCCCACTGCTGCAGAAGATGTGAGGATGTTGTTTCTGTCTCATGAATACTCCCCAGAACTGCAGAGTAGCTTCCCTTCTTCCACATTTGTTTGGTTGAGGGAACATCAGACAGGAAAAGCATTCCCTCTTTGGAATGTATTCTGCAAGAATTGCCTTTCTAGAAATAACCCTCCCAGGTGCCGACATGAATATTCACCAGAGTGTACTGGGCACAGAGGCCAGTCTCCGTGCCATGTACACTAATCCTTCAAAATGTATTCCAGGCAAGCTACCAGGGTAAACCGTACAGAAACCAGGCTTTCCGGTGATAGACACTGGATGACTGAGAGAAGGAAATCTGAGTGATGGAAGCAGAGATGAATAAATCACTCCTATCTAGCTAAGGCCCTGCTGCAGCTAGACCTTGCGACATTGACTCAAGCACAGCATGAGGCTTCATTAGAATATTGCACTCTGCAAATTAAACTGTTTCTTTTGTTCAGCCGGCTCACTCTTCCTCATCAAGAACAAACATTTATGTCCTCTATGCCTTATAATCCTTTTTGCTGGACCCCTTTTAACTTTCTTCTTATTTTGGCTGATAGGACCTACATGGGCATCCTGAGAACACGGTCCTCGTGCCATGCAGCCATCCAATGCACATGCAAGCTTACCCCCCACCCCCCACTACCCCTCTGCATCACTGCCCTGACTCCCATTCAGGAAGGTAGAGACAAAAAAGATCAGGAATTTTCACAAGCCAGGAAAGAAATCATGCCAAAGGTGGGTGAGATCTCAGATTTCTCAGGATCCTCCCACTCTGGCACTGAATCCCCAAGAGCCAGCATTGATATTCCTGTGGTGGGGCAGAAGAGGACCCCAGCCTATCTGAGTCACACATGAGAGTGTTTGGGTGTCAGGGGCTGGGAAATATCCCTGAGGTAACCTCCAAGGCGCTGGTGCTGGAACTGTGTACAAAGGATACATATGAATAGCCTGGGGGAAATGAGGAGCTTGGAGGCTCCTAGCAGCCAAAAGGAAGAGGTAGCATGAGCAGGTAAAAGGAAAACAGTGAAGTTACTAGTTATTTCCTTAGCCTATTAGGACCACAAAGGGTTGCAATGACTCTCCTTGGGCCTCTGATGGACACAAGGCTACTGTCCACAATTCCTTGGAATGTGTAATGAATAGCAGTAGTTTCAGATGGGAGGCAGGAGTCCCAACTCTGACTCTGTCTTGCTTCACAACTGTATCCTCTCAGATTTATAATCTGGGAAGTGGGTGGTAGGGGGATAGGGGAAAGGAGGGAGATGGATTTTAATGTACGTGATTTCTGATTCCTTTTTCAAGTCTATTTTTCCCTTTTAATTACAAAGCGATATATGATAAATCTTTGGCACTTTTATAAAGTATCCATTATAAAGAGGCATTATACAACTTGCAAAGAAATATAAACCAATATTTAAAAAAATATTCTTTAGCAGCAGAATCTCTTTTACAAACAACATCTTGGCAGAATCTCAGTATCTAAAACAGATTAAAGTAGAAATGCTCTTCTGAGGTCAGAGTTGGGGAATGAAGCCTCATCCACCAGGACTTCCTGTTGGCCCCTCCTTGTGGCAGCCCACAAGGCTCATTCAATAACAAAACACAGTAGGAAAAACCCAGTGGTCATGGTATTATATATTGTCCCCAAACTAAATGCTGATTTTAATATTCCTATCTTTCAATAACAGGATTATTATTATTATTCACATTTTTTTGAAACCATGAGGGGCAAATGAACTTCCCTAACACTTCACTTTTACCTGTATGGGCCAGAAATGTTAGTGAGGAAAGGAACTGAATGGATTAGGCATTGGTAAGCCATGGCCTGTGGATGCCTATTTTTGTAAATAAAGTTTTATTGGAACACAGCCATGCCCCTCAGCAGGGTCGAATAGTTGCACCACAGAGACTGTATGGCCTGCAAAACCTAAAATATCTACTACTTGTCCTTTTATGGAAAAACTTTACCAACCCCAGGCATAGACAGAAAACTAAAGCTGTTCTATTTGAGCAGTAAAGAGTTATGGCGCCAAGGTAAGAAATAAAGATACAGTTTAAACTAAGGCTGAGCTTAGCCTAGAAATGTCTAAAGTCTCTTTCTTCTGTTGTTTCAAGAGATTTTAATGCAGCAAATTCTACATGGAGCTTTTAGATTGTGCTGTAGTCACAATCTCATTTTTGTTACTGTGACAACTGCAGTGGCAATTCTTGGCTTGCCTTTCACCCTAAATTTCTGGTATTTCTCCTAAAAGAACTACAAAGAAAATGTGGGGGGAGGGGGGGAAGCAGCAGCAGCAGCAGCTCCAATTAAAAATGAAAACCATTTCCATTCCCAAACCCTCGTTACTCCCTGAACTGATCAAGTGCCCAGGAGCTACATTCTCAAACTGATAGGATAGTCATTGACCACTACCCTCTAGAGCCCTACTAAAGGGGATGGAAGTAGTAGGGTAGGGTGAAGAAATTACAGAGACATTTAAAGTCAATAAACAATATGTCAAAAAAATAAAGTTTTATAGTCTTTGATAAGGCAGTTAATATGACAGTAGTAAAATAATAATATATCAGTTATAGAGGAAGATGACACTATAGACTAAAACACACTAATTAAGTACACAGTGCTGAGTTGTTTGTTGGTGACCAGGAGAAAATGGATTTGTACAGATCTATCCTGTTGCCAGCTCTGTCTACTGTAATTATAAAAAGCATTTTACAAGATAGCTGGCCAGGGCAGTCTATGACCACAGAACAATAAAAACCTTATAGTACTTGGCATTTTAACAGAACTACTCATTTAGACTCTTTAATGAAACCAATTTTAAATGGATGACTCTGTTAAACACGTTCTTCTCAAATAGATGCAACTAATCTCCATGAATTTTCTGCTTGTCTCTGAGTCTAATGTATACAGCTAAAATCTCACTACAGTGAACACAACCGTGACAAAGTCATTTTCCTATTTTACTAGTAGGGCTATTATCAACAAGATATTATTTATCTGGTTACCACCAATTCTCAAACAATTCTTTATAGATGATGGTTTATCTATTTCTAACAGGGTTCCTATGAACCTTCTAATAAAAACAGTACTTGATTATATGCTCTTTATTATCTTTTAACCTCAGAAAGGAGATGAATACAGAAAGGTCAGATATCAGGAAAAGAAATGACAAGAGGTTTGCATTGGACATCAGAGGACAATTAAATGGTATATAACTGTCTAAAGGAATTAGAGCTATTGTTCTAGATCCCAACCAACCCTTCTCACAAGGTTCCTGAGGTAAGTATATGCCAAGGAAAGTTCCAGCAAATGAGAAGCAAAGGGATACTTTATTGTTGGTACTTGTACAATTTTTGGCCCAAAACCCTAATGCAAAGGGTGTATAGGACATGGAGCACTCCCTGTTCCCAAGTTGCTTATGCCTGAACAGCTTCAAACCAAAGCAAGCCAGGAGGCCTTCTCTGTCCCTTTGTCAACATCCAAAGCTTATTCTTGGTTCTTACCACTATAATGTAAGGAAGAATCAACCCAGTACACTTTGTAGTACAGTAATGTCCTTTTATCCATGTGGGGTGCATTCCAAGACCCCCCAGTGGATGACTGAATCCACAGATAGTATACAACCCTATATTTTGTATACTATATTGTTTTGATTTGATAACTGAGATGGCTACTAAGTGACTCCTGGACTACGGTCCAGCTGCACATGTCAGACAAGGGGATGCTTCACATTCCAGGGAGGATGGAGCAGGCCAGTGTGAAATCTCATTACACAGTCATGCAATTCAAAAGTAGAGATAATGACATGCAATTTAAAACTTTTCCATTGTTTACTTCTGGAATTTTCCATTTAATATCATGCACCACAGTTGACTACAGGCAACTAAAACCACAGAAAGCAAAACCACAGATAAAAGGGGATGACCATACCAGAGAATCAGAGTAAATATAGGGAGATCATTGCCCCCCATTGCCTAGCACTGAGCTGCCCCTGAGCTGAGTTAGAAATTGGTTTCATTAAAGATTCTTACTCTTACTGCCCTAGGAAACAAAAAATAAGGGTATCCAAGGAGAGAAAAGGATGGATCTGCTTACCACTTTGTTGTAAAGAACAGAATAAAGGAGAAGAGTCAGGAGAGATGGAGGAGAGCGAATTACAAAGCAGGAAGGCAGGGCCTCCTTCTAGGTTGTAGTGGTCCTGGCTCACGCCACTTAGGGCCCAGTGGGAGACCAAAGACACAAGTGATTCCACTAAACTATTCTGAGCCTGCTCTGAGTGCTGCAAACAGACTAATCTGATCATCATCTTCTTGTCCACAATTTCAGGAAGGAGTGAAGATGGATATAGGGGAAGGCATGAAGAAATGGTCGAAGGAAGAGGTCCTTCACGTCCCTTGTACGTTGGATTCCTAGGTATTTTATTCTCTTTGAAGCAATTGTGAATGGGAGTTCACTCATGATTTGGCTCTCTGTTTGTCTGTTATTGGTGTATAAAAATGCTTGTGATTTTTGTACATTGATTTTGTATCCTAAGACTTTGCTGAAGTTGCTTATCAGCTTAAGGAGATTTTGGGCTGAGACAATGGGATTTTCTAGATATACAATCACATCATCTGCAAACAGGGACAATTTGACTTCCTCTTTTCCTAATTGAATACCCTTTATTTCCTTCTCCTGCCTAATTGCCCTGGCCAGAACTTCCAACACTATGTTGAATAGGAGTGGTGAGAGAGGGCATCCCTGTCTTGTGCCAGTTTTCAAAGGGAATGCTTCCAGTTTTTGCCCATTCAGTATGATATTGGCTGTGGGTTTGTCATAGATAGCTCTTATTATTTTGAGATGCGTCCCATCGATACCTAATTTATTGAGAGTTTTTAGCATGAAGGATTGTTGAATTTTGTCAAAGGCCTTTTCTGCATCTATTGAGATAATCATGTGGTTTTGTCTTTGGTTCTGTTTATATGCTGGATTACATTTACTGATTTGCGTATGTTGAACCAGCCTTGCATCCCAGGGATGAAGCCCACTTGATCATGGTGGATAAGCTTTTTGATGTGCTGCTGGATTCGGTTTGCCAGTATTTTATTGAGGATTTTTGCATCAATGTTCATCAAGGATATTGGTCTAAAGTTCTCTTTGTTCGTTGTGTCTCTGCCAGGCTTTGGTATCAGGATGATGCTGGCCTCATAAAATGAGTTAGGGAGGATTCCCTCTTTTTCTATTGATTTATAGATTCAATACCATCTCCATCAAGCTACCAATGACTTTCTTCACAGAATTGGAAAAAACTACTTTAAAGTTCATATGGAACCAAAAAAGAGCCCGCATCGCCAAGTCAATCCTAAGCCAAAAGAACAAAGTCGGAGGCATCACGCTACCTGACTTCAAACTATACTACAAGGCTACAGTAACCAAAACAGCATGGTACTGGTTCCAAAACAGAGATATAGATCAATGGAACAGAACAGAGCCCTCAGATATAACGCCACATATCTACAACTATCTGATCTTTGACAAACCTGACAAAAACAAGCAATGGGGAAAGGATTCCCTATTTAATAAATGGTGCTGGGAAAACTGGCTAGCCATATGTAGAAAGCTGAAACTGGATCCCTTCCTTACACCTTATACAAAAATTAATTCAAGATGGATTAAAGACTTAAACGTTAGACCTAAAACCATAAAAAGCCTAGAAGAAAACCTAGGCAATACCATTCAGGACATAGGCATGGTCAAGGACTTCATGTCTAAAACACCAAAAGCAATGGCAACAAAAGCCAAAATTGACAAATGGGATCTAATTAAACTAAAGAGCTTCTGCACAGCAAAAGAAACTACCATCAGAGTGAACAGGCAACCTACAAAATGGGAGAAAATTTTTGCAACCTACTCATCTGACAAAGGGCTAATATCCAGAATCTACAATGAACTCAAACAAATTTACAAGAAAAAAACAAACAACTCCATCAAAAAGTGGGCGAAGGATATGAACAGACACTTCTCAAAAGAAGATATTTATGCAGCCAAAAACACATGAAAAAATGCTCACCATCACTGGCCATCAGAGAAATGCAAATCAAAACCACAATGAGATACCAACTCACACCAGTTAGAATGGCGATCATTAAAAAGCCAGGAAACAACAGGTGCTGGAGAGGATGTGGAGAAATAGGAACACTTTTACACTGTTGGTGGGACTGTAAACTAGTTCAACCATTGTGGAAGTCAGTGTGGCGATTCCTCAGGGATCTAGAACTAGAAATACCATTTGACCCAGCCATCCCATTACTGGGTATATACCCAAAGGACTATTAAATCATGCTGCTATAAAGACACATGCACACATATGTTTATTGCGGCACTATTCACAATAGCAAAGACTTGGAACCAACCCAAATGTCCAACAACAATAGACTGGATTAAGAAAATGTGGCACATATCCACCATGGAAAACTATGCAGCCATAAAAAATGATGAGTTCATGTCCTTTGTAGGGACATGGATGAAATTGGAAATCATCATTCTCAGCAAACTATCGCAAGGACAAAAAACCAAACACCGCATGTTCTCACTCATAGGTGGGAATTGAACAATGGAACACATGGACACAGGAAGGGGAACATCACACTCCGGGGACTGTTGTGGGGTGGGGGGAGGGGGGAGGGATAGCATTAGGAGATATACCTAATGCTAAATGACGAGTTAATGGGTGCAGTACACCGACATGGCACATGTATACATATGTAACAAAGCTGCACATTGTGCACATGTACCCTAAAACTTAAAGTATAATAATAATAAAATAAAAAATAAAAAAAAGAAATGGTCAAAGGAAAAGCAGACTGTATTTGTACTTCTTCTCCCAAGATTTAAAATTGTCGTATTGCTATAATTACCCTCCCACAGACTGTACTTCTTGTTTCAAATGTCCCGAAAGTCAGGAATACTCATTATACTCCTAACAAAAAACCAACCATGTTAACCAAGAAGTTAGAACAGCAAAAGACTGGAGGTAGTATGACGGTCATTGCCTGTATCTTCTTTGAAAGTAAGAGGTCTTTTTTTAAAAAAAATCTATCACTTCATTCCAAGGCAAACAGACTTGACTTTTTCAACTCCAGATCTTAAAGACTGAAACTACTATTTATAGTGGGACTTTTGATATAATTAATCTGTCACTACAAAATAATGTAGGTATGCCGTAAAATTTCTGATCTTGGAATGTTGTATGTATACAAGAAGAGCCAACTCTGTTTTGGTTGATCAAATACATCTGGTTAACAGACTCCATGTAAACTGACAATTTAGGTAAGAGTTTGGATATGGTAAACTATAGTTAACTAAAGTAAAACGAAACCAAATAAAATTTATTCTGATTTTGATCAATCAGGAGGTACTAGTAATCTTGCCCTGCCTCCCAAATTTCATCGTGGCATGAATTATCACTATGCTGGCAAAGCACAGGAGACCAGTTACAGAAAGCCAGTATATTAAGTGTTTGCAACAGAAACTTGAAGTTTTTTTCAAGAAGTAAGTGTCATGAATATGAAACCAAACATATATAATCAATGAAGCCTCTCATTTTGGGTCAGAATTGTGCAATAAACAGACATAGGCTTTTATTTACAGAACTTTTTTTTTTTTTTGAGATGGAGTCTCACTCTGTCACCCAGGCTGGAGTGCAGGGGCGTGATCTCGGCTCACTGCAACCTCTGCCTCCTGTGCTCAAGCGATTCTCTTGCCTTGGCCTCCTGAGTAGCTGGGATTACAGGCGCCCACCACCACGCCTGGCTAATTTTTGTATTTTCAGTAGAGACAATGTTTCATCATGTTGGCCAGGCTGGTCTTGAACTCCTTACCTCAGGTGATCCGCCTGCCTTGGCCTTCCAAAGCGCTGGGATTACAGGCGTGAGCCACCATGCCCAGCCAGCTACAGAACATTTTTGAAGCTGAGAATAAGAGAAAATATTATTATCATAGTACTGTTTTAGATACATCCAGAAGCTGTGGACTCTAAGGGAAGCTTTTAAAAATAAAAGGGAAAAAGCCCCCACTGAATTATATACTTTAAATGGGTGAATTATATGGCATGTGAATTATATTTCAATAGAGTAGTTTTAAAAAATAAACAGAACACATGAAATATGGAGATCTGTTAAAATTCCAAAGCACATGTGAAATGGCAAGCAGGAGGTAGTGTTCTGTGGCAGAGCTGTTGGCTAGATAAGCCAACCCCCTTACCATGACCCTCAGTTTCTTAGCCAACCTTGCTAGGGCTGACCGTATGACATAGTTCTACCTAATAATTCTAAGTGAAAGTTGGCTGGGTAGGGCTTCAAATAAAGCTTTGGATTTTCCTAATAAAAAAGGAATAAACTTGGCTGGTAGGCTTTTATCCTTGTATCCCTTTGTCCTTCTTTTTCCTGCCTAAACACAGACATGGTAGCTAAAACTGTAGTCCCTATCTTGTTTCTCTGGGGCAAAATACACATGGAAAAGACCAAGAAAATTGTAGAGATCACTGAATTGCAGAACCAATATGGGCAGCCATGCCCCTGTGGACTTTTTGTTATGTGACACAAAAACAAACAAACAAAACAAAAAATAAAACTGAAAAAACAAGTCTTTCTTAATGAGATTATTTGTTATTTGCAGCCAAATGCAAGCTCCTTTGGAACAAATGACCTCTAGTAAAACAAATGTAAAGTCTCAGTTGCAACATATAATGGCAGTTTCTATAATTTATGACCACAGAAATCAAGGGTGGATTGAACCATAAGATGTGATGGCTCCTTTCATTTTCTTTGTAAGGCTATAGGAGGTTCTGCAGGATCACGAAACAAATTAGAATCTTTGGAGCTGGAGTTTTACCATGGGTTGTGTTGTCCTACTCCTGATGGAGAGAAAGGGATGAAACTCAAACTATGCTTTGATTTCTTCATCTTGTAAATGAAAACAGTGAGAGCAGCTAAAGCTCCAGAACCACTGTAAGACATGGTGACCAAAAGAACCATTAGCCATTTCTAAAAATTAAACTGTACAGAAGGTCTAAACACTCTTGGCTGGTGTTTGGTTACAGTAAAAGAATAATGTGGCAAGGCAGGTAATATCATAACCATTGAGGGATATGGTTTCAGGCATAATAAGGTAAAAGGAAGAAAGAAGATCCTGACCATTAAGTCTTAAGGGCAGCAAGGAAAGAAAATCCAGGGAGAAGTAAAAGCATACTCTGCATTTATCTATGTAACCAATCCCCCTTGCACTGAATCTGATACATTGCTGAAAGAGGCAGTGCAGCAGGCAAATAATGATTCCTCAGCTAGAGCTAAGACCCTGAGTGTCCAGGAAAGTTGCTGAAAGGAGTCCTTGACGGGCACCAACCAGCCTGTCATCATAATCATCTTTCCTAGAAGAAGAATGCAGAAATGGAGGTAGACAGAGAGGAGAGGCAAGAAGAGGAGATGAAAGAGTTTTTCTTGGTCTCAGTGCTTCTGCTTGTTCTTAAGTAGATATACAAGCATGTTTTGGTCAAGTGCCTCTGTGGTTACCAATGTAAGGGGCTAAGCTTTTTAAAAAGAGAGATACACTGACATCAGGTGCTATCGAGATGTACCAAAAGTATCTGAACAAAGTGACAAAGTTGGGCTCCTGGGAAAAGAGTCTCTGATTTAAGGGTACTTGGGGAAAGAATAAGAAGATTTTCAAAGGTAGATCACTGCTTTGAATTAATTCAAGAATTAGCCTTAAATGACTGTGACCCTTCATCAGTTTTTTCAGAATAGCTTTATTCTGAAAAATACTCAAAAGCTATATTAAAGCAATTTGATGTATTAAATGTGTACAAATTTCAATTTGCTTGAAGTCCTATGCTTCTGTTAGCCCTCATGAGAATAGCTGCATTTCTGTGACCCCGTGTGGCCTATCCTGGGGCAGCAGCATATAAAACATCTGCCACAGAAGGAGGAGGCTGATGCTTTCCACTCATTTCGTTTTCCAAGGTGAACAATTCTGGTTTTTAAAATGATTGCTATAATCACTACCGGTGAAGTATTTGTTTTAAAGAGTTCTTAACAATTCTAGATAATTACTAAACACACACGTGTGCATGAAAAAATGGGTCAGATGGGGCCGAAATCCTCTGTAAAAATGTCTTATTGATGGGTTAAAATCTTGGAAAGCTAAAAGGATTCTTTTCATATATCCAGCTATATCTTATGATGACTACTTGCCAAGTTCTCCAATCACTCAACAGAGGTAAATGGTTGACATGTGAGGTAAATCACACACATGAACACACAAACATATTTTTTTTTTTGGCATTTAACTTTTCCTGCTTTTCCAAAGAACATCTGAATTCTAGTGCTCCTCCTGTATTTTTAACACACAACTTAGTTGCCATAGCAATACTGTCTGGTCTTGAAATACCTCTAGGATGAAACTGGCTGAGGCATATTTACCATGCCCCCAAACTATCCTGCTATCTGTTTCCAGGATCCAGGATTTCTGGCCCTCTATGCATTCACACAGTTCAGACTTCAGCACCTACTGGGAACCATAGATAAAATTATTTGCTGTATGATTTTTCTGGGAACCAGAGCTCTGAGGTCTGAGGGTGATAAAAGAAGACTTTAGAGTGATGCAGATAGGCTCAGAGAGAAACAACACTTAGTAATAAATCATGGATCAGTGAGACAAGGAAGAATTCCTTGGTTCCGGGCTGTGACAGACGACATTCAGCATGACTGATATGAAGCAAATTTTGTAAAATATCTTTCCAATTTTGACTAGAATTATAAGCAATCTTAATCCAAGCCAGAAGAGTCATATATTTAGATGTTTGCTGTATTCTTCAGGCTATAAAAAGGAAATTTCTAGCTCTCTAGGTTGCAAAGAAGGCTGTCTTAATGTAAATAGATGTACTGCTTGCCTGTGCAGCACTCAGACAGAATGAAATGGAAGCGGCATGGAACAAGTGAGGCAAGCATTTTTACCTGTGCTAATGTCATCACCTGTGCTAATGTCAGAGCCTAACTCCAGAGCTCAATCTCAGTCATTTGCTGGAGATGTTGGATCTTTAGCAGTTTCCTCACATACACTTAGATAAGACACACTGAGCAAATATGATGTCCAATTTAGTTGCTAGATAGAACTCCCTTTAGTTGCACTAGCATCTATGTTGTCAGTTTAGTCAATGAGTGTTTATTGAGTACTCACAGCACAGAGAAGCATACTATGCATTTGGAAACTGCTGCAAAGACTCAAGCTCATCACAACATTAAAAAATCACTATCTTCAATTTGAGATTATCTGTGGTCCTACTAGAGATTGAGTGCAGCACAGATGTAGAAAATACTCAAATAATTACAAAACATTATTTGAGTCATTAGCCCCAATTCCTCTACCCACCCTTATTGACTAAGCCTTCATTTGGCTATTAAGTAGGAAAAAAATGGCATTTTTTACAGTTCCTCTCCTTTTTCTTTTCTGTGCTTATCCTTCTGGAGGGAAGTGCATGAGCAACAGTTAGGCAGGGTGGTAAGCAGCAGGAAGAAGAAAAAATAGCAGTCTAAAGGAGGTCACGGTAATTTACAAACTGAATAGATAATCTAGAGTTGGTTGTAGCCACACAATAGTGAAAGGACAATTGAACTCGGCATGGGCTTGACAGTTCACAGAGAAAGAAAAATATACCAGATGAATAAGGACCACAGTGGCATATGTAATTCTTTTATTATTATTATTTTTTTAGGATCAACTTGCTATTACTTCTTTTTATCTACTTAATAACTACAAGACATAAACTGATTTGTGGTTCAGACAGTCTGTGCCAGATTAACTTTTTAAAGTGGTAGAATTGTTTTTTCCTTCTGCAAAACAAAAAGAGCTTCACCCCACAGACTAAAGAGATTATGAATACCCATCAAGAAACTATTTTGGGCTAGACATCTTTTGTCCTAACATATTGCATTTATATAATATTTTCCAACTGAAGAACTCAAAATGTTTTTGTGTCATTAACTTCTTAATACTCACAACACCCACAGAGACAATGGGTTTAGTTAGCTGCATCTATCTAAACAGTCTTATCTTTTGACACCCTATTTACTATTATTTGTTATTTAAAATATTTTGGGTATTTCACTTACTCTATTGCACATATCAATTGCAAAAACATCGTTCAAACCAATGTAAAAATTGTTAATTTAACTGACTATCTTATAATTAGGGTTTCAACAAAGTGCTGTCATTTATTAGCTGGAAAAGACTGGATGATAGGTATACTTAATGCATAGCATATTTGAGTTCTCATACTAGCCTGAAAACACTAAAAAGGATATCACAATTAGCAAGTAGAAAGATAATAAGTCTTAAACTAAGGCGACAGAGGGACTATAAACTAAGACATTAGGTGGATTTGGTTAGTTATTATGACTCTACTCTGGTCTTTTTATGTGGTCAAGCCTCTGAAGACTTCCCGTTATTTAAATTTTAATGTTTTTAAAATGGCATGAAAATGATATAATTACTATTCAATTATCCACTTTTAAGGCACATTTCAGGTAATTTCTCTCTCTTTTCTTGAAAATAAAATGCGTAACTTTTGCTGTGCTTGTAAACCTAGCAACACCAAGGACAAACTCCTTTATTTCCCAGTTATGCTACCTTGGGAATGAGAAAGAAATGCAAGAGACGAAAGAGCTTCCTGTTAAATGGTAAGTTAGGACACCTCCTGCTGTTTCTTTTCTAGGAGCGGACTGGATCAAGGAAGGTCAGGAGCAGACAAGGTGGTTTCTAAAGGCATGAGGGCCTCCCCATCCCTGCCCCTCCTCTGCTCTGATGGCGCTGAAGAAACACTGAAACATGGGTGGTGGTGGCGGGGTGGGATGGAAACATCTCAGGCTGTCACCTCTCAAAGCTATCTCTCAGCTGGCCATGCTATCCCCTCCCTCCTGCTCCAGCCACACTGGCCTCCTAGCTGCTCCTGTGGCCTGCCAGGCAAGCTCCACTCCAGGGCTTGGCACTGCCGGTGATGCTCATCCCCAGAGGACTTACTGTCTCCATCCTTTGGGATCTGCTCACACTTCACCCTTCTCAGTGAGGCCTTCCTGACCACCCAATCTAAAACTGGACTCTGTCTCCAACCCGGTTTTTCCTCCTGATTCCCCCATGGCACTTCTAAATATCAGCCATCTAAAAAACAGCGTTTATTATCTCCCCTCAACCCCACTAGAATGTCAGTTCCATGAGAGCACCAATGTTTATTTTGTTTATTCAATGCCATATCCCCAGTGCCTACAATAGTGCCTAGCACATAGTAAGAGGATTAGTAAATTTTGTTGAATGAATCAACGAAAATGCGGGTATAGAGAGAGGGTCAGAGATCATGTTTGGAGTCTACCCTTTCTAGTATACCACAGGATATTGGTATCTGACTCACTAAGAGGATTAGACAGCCACTGACCATGCTTACTTAGGCCCAAACATTTTTCATCAAGAAAGAAGGTTCTACTTGCCTACCCAACTACGGAGTAAACTCTCAGAAAAGGAAGAAATGGCTTCTGTGGATGAAAACAGCCAAACAAAAGAAATCCTTATTCACAAAGCAATTATGTCCTTCACTTAGCAATAGCAAATGCAGTGACCAAGATAATTCATGTTTGGCCAGGTGCAGGGGCTCACACCTGTAATCCCAGCACTTTGGGAGGCTAAGTCAGTAGGATCACTTGAGCCCAGGAGTTCGAGACCAGCCTAGGCAACAAAGCAAGACCCTGTCTCTACAAAAAATTTTATAAACTAGTCAGGTGTGGTGGTGCATGCCTGTGGTCCCAGCTGCTCAAGAGGCTGAAGTGGGAGGATTGCTTGAGCCCAAGAGGTCAAGGCTGCAGTAAGCCATGATCACACCATCATGTTTGAGACCTTTGCCTCTGTAGTCACCAAATATAAAGGAATCTGAATATTTAAAACCAATATACCATTGATTGGGCCCTACCACAGCCAGGGTAAGAGAGGGTTTCCAGGATTTCCAGATCTCCTCCCTCCTAGATGGGGAAACTGTTAAGTCACTGGGCTCTGTAATACTCTCCCTCTGGTGTTGATGCAGAATCACTGGGTTTCTTCAGATACAATGCCTAGGAAAGCAAGTCAGCCATCACAAGCAATAGAAGCTGTGGGTCAAATGTCACTGACTAATCAACCTGTCATTGGTCAATTACTCATCCCCATGAAAGGGGTACCACTCATCTAGTTTCCTGTCAATAAATGTCTATCTGGCCACATCAACTGTCGCTAACTGAAGCCTGCCAAGATCTCCAGCATTGTCACAAGCATTGGTGGCTAAGCAATCTCTCTCCTTTTCCTCTTAATAATGTCACAGAAGAGGCAAATGCAGTTCCTGACAACATAATGTTAGTTTCACAGAGACGTGTCTCTTTGAAGGCTCAGCCAGTTATACAGAGCTTCAATTGCATGGATTTTTTTTTTTACTGGGAAAAAAAAGCGGGCTTAAGGAAGTTGGAGGCTTCATACTGTGCTGAGATACACAATTCTGCCTTTGGTGTGTTCATGCTCATCATCCCCGCTCTGAGTCAGGAAAAGAAAAATTGTTTGGGAGAACCACTTTCATTCCACATTTTAAAAAAACCCAAATGGGCACTGTTCTCTCTTGTCTTAAGCCCCAGTGACAGCCTTTTCTGGAGTCAGATTCAACATCTCTGATTCTTTGGGTAGAGCTAGAGGCCAAGGTGGCCTTGCCACATGAAGAGCCTGTTTGTTTCTCTGAGTTGTCACCCTGATAATAACCTCATGTAGTCCACACTAGATTAAAGATTCTAGGTTTCCTGTTGTACCCCCTCCCCCCAGTTTCCCCTTCTTTTTTGATAGACTACCTCATCAGTACATTGAATCTTTCAAGGGAAGAGTATTCTGAGTTGCCACAGGCTTTTATGTATCAGGTATGGCTGGGAGGAGGCAGCAAGTGAACATTTATAATACAAATGCTCTGATAGAAATTGTATACAAAATTTATGGGATTACTGAAGAGGGATCTATCAATAAGTTCAGGAGATAATGGACGGTTAGAGAAGCATTCCCAAAGGAGTGGAGCCTAAAAGGGGGAATAAAAAAAGAGCCAGGTAAAAAAGGAGGTAATGAGAAGGTAGTGAGAGATGCAAACAATGATATCAGCATGATCAAAGAATTGGAGGCAGGAGGGTAAGAGAGGGTGGAACCCATGTGCAATGCTCTTATCGCTGGATAGGCTGTGACAGAGTCCAGAGTAGCACAGGGTTGGGGAGGGTGGGGAGGGGTGCACACGCAGGACACGAGGTTGTATAGACAGAGGTAAGTCAGATAGCTCTTAAATGCCTTAGTCTGAACTGTCTCCTGAAGGGAACTACTAATCATGATTCCTCTGAGAGAAGGGTGTGGCCATATCAGATGTGTGGGAGGGACGGTTGTGGGTGGGGAACTGGGGGGCCCAATGGAGGTCTGGAAGATTGGGTAGAAAAGTGAAACAACTATTGTGCAACTATGGTAATGCAGTGGGACACAGAAGAGGGGAAGGATTTGTGAGATGTTTAGGCTGTACTGACAGAACTTTATGGCTGACTGGATGAGAGAGGAAGGTGAAGGAGAGGAAGGAAATCAGGGAGATTCCCAAGTTTTTGGCTCAAGTAATGGACAAATGGATGGTGCCACTGAATGAGATGGGGAATCATGACATGACGTGACTTGAACAGGGAGGGAAGGATAATGGAATTCCATTTTAGGCATCTTGGTTTGAGATGCGCATAGAACACTGTTAGATGGTGGCGGTGGTGGGGAGGGAGGTGTGGGGTACCAGGTAAGCAAATGGAAAACGGAGAACATTAAAAGAGAGTGGGCAGAGCTACTAAACTTCCCGTTTGCTTCAATCTTCATTGGCAAGGAGACTGGTCTTCAAATTAGAAATGTCAGAACAAACATAATAAAGAGAAAATTGAAGTCCCAAATAGGTGAAGTCAAAGAGAGTATCTAGTCAATTTAAATGATTTCAAGTCTCCTGACTCAGATGAGTTACACCCCAAGCCTACTGAAAGAAATTGCAGATGTAATCTCAGAGACACGATTGGTAATCTTCAAGAAATTGTGGAGGCTATCAGGGGTGCCAGAAGACAAAAGAAAGACAACTGTTTTCCAGATTTTTAAAGTAAAAAGGGATAGGTTGTAATGGAAAATATAGAGGTTTCACATCATCTTTAACAAAAATTCTAGAATAGCTTACTAAATAGATGGTTTACAAGTACTTTAGTTAATGCATACAGATGACAGAAAGGAAGGTGGGGTATTATTTGCTATTCGACAGAAGTTTATTTGTACAGGTAGCTGATGTGGCTTGTCTCTTTCCCTCCCTAAGCACAAAGTAAGCTGGTCTGGCCTGAGGTACAAACTCGAGGCTTCTCTATCTGTGATTTGTTGCCTATGGTACTCAGCCTGTAATGTGGCCCTTTATAAAAAAGGGTCAACAATTTAAATGAAGAATCCACAGTCTGAATTCTCCAAGAAACCCAGCATCAACTCCTTAGGGTGCCCTGGGGAACCAGCAAGCAGCATCAACTTCTATGGTTATTAGCCTAAACATCAATAAACCTTTGCTTATTAGAATATTAGTACCTTATTTTTTGTGCTATTTCTTTCTTTATACATACTGATTTTCAAATGAGAACAGGAAACAACAAAGCAAATGTGGTGGAACATTATGGGGGAAAGGCAGTCATGTCTTGCCAATACCTTTACTCCAGGCAGGCTAAGATATACATATACATATACACACACATACATATATATATAAACATTATATGTTTTCATTAGCCCTTCAGAGACCTTCTTAGAACATTAAATAATAAAAAGAAGAGAAGAGAAAAAGCAGCTTACTTAAGACCCAGATGGCAATCTTCAACTAAAAGTATAGTCATGCACTGCATAATGAGATGTTTTAGTCAAGGACGAACTGCATTTATGATTGTCTCATAAGATATAATGAAGCTGAAAAATGCTTATCGCCTAGTGATATCATAATGTCGCAGCACTATTACTTTATTAAAAAAATTTAGTGTTGGCTGGGCGCCATGGCTCATGCCTGTAATCCCAGCACTTTGGGAGGCCGAGGCGGGCTGATCACTTGAGGTCAGGAGTTCAAGACCAGCCTGGCCAACATGATGAAACCCCATCTCTACTAAAAATACAAAAATTAGCCAGCCATGGTGACAGGTGCCTATAATCCCAGCTACTTGGGAGGCTGAGGCAAGAGAATGGCTTGAACCTGGGAGGCAGAGGTTGCGGTGAGCCAAGATCGCACCATTGCATTCCAGCCTGGGTGACAATAGTGAGGCTCCATCTCAAAAAAAAAAAAAAAAAAAAAAAATATACACACACACACACACACACACACACACACACACATATAGCAGCCTAAATGTACAATGTTTAAAAGTCTACAGTACAGTAATGTCCTAGGCCTTCACATTCACCCATCACTCACTCACTGACTCACCCAGAGCAACTTCTTGTCCTGCAAGCTCCATTCATGGTAAGTGCCCTACACAGGTGTACCATTTTTTATGTTCTTCTTTTTTTTTTTAATTGAGATGAGACCTTGTAATGTTGCCCAAGCTGGTCTCGAACTCCTGAGCTTTCAAGCGATCCGCCCACCTCCGCCTCCCAAAGTGCTGAGATTACAGGCATGAGGCACCGTGCCCAGGCACCATTTTTTATCTTGTATATTATATTTTTCTTGTACGTTTTCTATGTTTAGACATGTTCAGATACACAAATACTTACCACTGTGTTATAATTGCCTACAGTCTTCAGTATAGTAACATGCTGTACAGGTTTGTAGCCTAGGAGCAACAGAACATACCATCTAGCCTAGGTGTGTGGTAGGCTATATACCATCTAGGTTTGTGTAAGGACACTCTATGATGTTTCCACAATGACAAAATTGGCTGACAGTGCATTTCTTACAGTGTGTCTCTGCCATTAAGCAATGCATGACTGTATATCCTCTGAGGGATATCACCAGTCTCACGTTTAAAAATTATATAATCCTATAAATCAAGCAAGGTTAAAGTTCCCTTCTTAAAACAAAAAGGAACAACAAAAAGCCCAGGCGCAAAGATCACTAAGATTATTCAAAACCAGATCTCGAATTCAGATCTGTTTGGTTCATATGTAATTTATTAAAGTTGAAAATGATTTTTCATTCTATATAACCTATCTTGACATTATCCTATAAGTCTCTAACCAATACAAATTGAGACTTGAAAAGGACATAAGCCACCCAGGGAGAAGCCTCTTGTCTAGTTCCTCCATGAGTCTAACTTCAGTGTACTGCCCCAGTGGAAAATCCAAACAAGCACGCTATATCTCGTTGTTGTCCCTTCCTTCGGCTCCCACTCCTTTCTTGATACTTAGAGCAAAGAACAGTAGAATTTCTTCACTGAAGTTATTAGGATTATCATTTTACCAAAATACAATCTATATGTGTATCTTCCATTTTAAAACTTATGAATGAGGAGGAATCTTCTTACCGTATTGACCCAATCATGTACGGTTGTGCCAACTGAACCACAATCGCACCACTTCCTAGCTGGTGACATGTGTAGCCAGAATCCCAGTCATAATTCTTAGTGTCCCCATTCAGCAAGGCATTTCGGCTCCGACTGACTCCTTCAATCACACTGGCACAATCAGCAATTGTTGCAACATTCTCCATGGGAACTGTGAATCCAAAAACAAGATTTGGCATCAGGATAAGAGAAGCCAAATATATCTCTATAGTGTGCTCAGAACAAAATTAATTAATTGCTATCTCAAATCAATGATAAAAGAAAAATTAGAACATCTGGATTATCTTCAGATATGAATACATTTTCCATGCCAAATAGCTTTTTAAAAAATGTTAAGCCCAGTGGGCATGGTGGCTCACACCTGTAATCTCAGCACTTTGGGAGGCTGAGGTGGGCAGATCACTTGAGGTCAGGAGTTTGAGACCAGCCAACATGGTGAAACCCCATCTCTACTAAAATATAAAAAATCAGCCAGGCGTGGTGGCGTGTGCCTGTAGTCCCAGCTACTCGGGAGGCCGAGGCAAGAGAATTGCTTGAACCTGGGAGGCAGAGGATGCAGTAAGCCAAGATCGCATCACTGCGCTCCAGCCTGGGTGACAGAGCGAGACTCGTCTCCAAAAAAAGAAAAAAAGAAAAAGCAAGGCATAGAAAAACACAGGCTATGTATTCACTTATACAAAGTTTTCAACAAAGTCAAAACTAAAACATACTTTGTTTAGAGCTATATACATAAAACTAAAAAGGGAATCTAGGAAATTAATACAGAAAATTAAAAATAGCAGCCAGGCACGGTGGCTCACACCTGTAACCCCAGCACTTTGGGAGGCTGAGGAGGGCAGATAGCTTGAGCTCAGGAGTTCAAGACCAGCCAGGATAATGTGGTGAAACCCCATTTCTACCCAAAATACAAAAAATTAGCCAGGCGTGGTAGCACACATCTGTGGTCCCAGCGACTCGGCCTACTGAGGTGGGAGGATTGCTTGGGCCTGGGAAGCAATGGTTGCAGTGAGCCGAGGTCATGCCACTGTCCTCCAGCCTTAATAACACGGTGAGACTCCCTCTCAAAAAAAATTTTTTTTAATTGATTTTATGTCTAATAAATACTGCTCTTGTTCTATATCTTAAGCTAGCTGGTAGGTACATAGGTATTTGTTTTATTAGTAGTCTCTAAGCTGCAGATATTTTCTATTATTCTGAATAATATCTATTATTCTGAAAGTCTGTTTAAAGAAACATGTTAAATTCAGAATTTTGAAACTCACATAATAGGAAAGTGATCTGAGACCTGGTACCAAACCCATTTCAGAATATACAGTTGCCCTCAGCCATGATTAATTTCTTTTTTTTGTCTACTATTCTGTGCATTGCAACATATATGCTCTTCCCATTGTTCATGAACTGCTGCATCTTAAAAACCCAGCTGTTCTGATTTTGAGTCTCTCTCTATATAACTCAAGTCTATATCAACCTGCTCATTTATAAAAGTCAAGAACTTCCACAAAATGATGGATGCTCACTATGATGTAAGTTCTCTAAACACTGAGAAGAGAATAAAAGGTGAGGGCCTTTTAAGTCCCCTGGGACCTTTTCTGCACGTTTAAAACAAAAACCTTTAATTTTCTTCAGACATTTAAGTTATTTAAC
Source organism: Homo sapiens (assembly GCF_000001405.40). Classification (NCBI taxonomy): domain Eukaryota; kingdom Metazoa; phylum Chordata; class Mammalia; order Primates; family Hominidae; genus Homo; species Homo sapiens. The sequence goes on from NC_000006.12 coordinate 38,289,955, forward strand.
CAAAACCTACTTACATTCAAGGTTTGTAGCTTACATCAGATAAATTAAAATAGATTGGAAAAGAAAAAAGTAATTTTACATATATCTTCTATGCAACTCATTTATTTTCCAAAGTTGGACATGCTTGTACTTAAGCCCTCATCTCGTATGCCTTCACTAATTGCTTTGCTCTCTGTAGCTGAGTAAAGCCACCCACAGAGAAGAAAGGAAGGGAGAGGAGGGAGAGAGAGAGGATGAATTTTTCTGGTGATGAATTCCTTGATTATGAAGCTTAATTCCAAAGCAACAAGTAAAAACACCGGTGAAATTACCTGTAAGGACAGTTTCCTGGCAGAGAAGGAGCTCAGAGAGAAGCTCCCTGTGACTTTGGAAAGAAACAGAAGTGGACTATATTTAGAAGGTAAGTTATGGTACTTCTATCTCCTGGAAAAAGGGCAGTATTCTTTGATTTGGAAGAGAGAATGAAAGGAAGTGGTATAAGATGTACAGTAAATTGAGCTGAGACATAACACTGTAGACAGGTTATGCTGCAGCAACTGACAGGCCCCTACTCTCTCAGTGGCTTAACATAGCACACATTTATTTTTTCACTCACCCTATGTATTCAGTGACGATCAGCCAGGAGGCTCTGCTCATTGTATCACTCAGGGATCCCAGTGACAGAGGCTTCATACTGACATGTGCTTCCCCAATCACAGCCGCAGTGGGAAGAGAGTAAGCTGGGCACAGGCTCTTAAAACTCTTCCCCAAAAGTAATGCATGTCACTTTGTACATATTTCATTGTCTAAGTCACATGGTCTTATCTAACTTCAGAGGGGACTAGAAAGCACAACCCTGCTGTGTGCCTGGGAAAAGCTCCAGGGAGAAAAAATGGGGTATTTGGTGAACAACATTTAATGTCTACTACAAACATTAAGCCTGGATGAAAGAGCATTTAACAGACAGGTACATCTGGGTCATCTGTTTCAAGTATTTAAAGTATTTCAATGTATGAATATTCTAAGATTTATATATCTATTCTCTTGCTGAAGGACATTTAGATTGTTACCATTGTTTTCTTTGCCATTACAAACAAAGATGTCTTCTTGTATTCCCAGGTAAGAGTTTCTTAAAGGAATACTTGAGATTTCTATGTATGTGGAAGTGGAATTACACTCATGGCTATGAGTTAACTTCAACTTCCCTAGATATTGCCAAATTTTTCACCAAAGTGGTTGTAAAACTTTATACTCTCTCCTTGAAGAGGTCCTTTACATCCCTTGTCAGTTGGATTCCTAGGTATTTTATTCTCTTTGTAGCAATTGTGAATGGGAGTTCACTCATGATTTGGCTCTCTGTTTATCTGTTATTGGTGTATAGGAATGCTTGTGATTTTTGCACATTGATTTTGTAACCTGAGACTTTGCTGAAGTTGCTTATCAGCTTAAGGAGATTTTGGGTTGAGACGATGGGATTATCTAAATATACAATCATGTCATCTGCAAACAGAGACAATTTGACTTCCTCTCTTCCTATTTGAATATCCTTTATGTCTTTCTCTAGCCTGATTGCCCTGGCCAGAACTTCCAATACTATGTTGAATAGGAGTGGTGAGAGGGCATCCTTGTCTTGTGCTGGTTTTCACAGGGAATGCTTCCAGCTTTTGCCCATTCAGTATGATATTGGCTGTGGGTTTGTCATAAATAGCTCTTATTATTTTGAGATACGTTCCATCAATACCTAGTTTACTGAGAGTTTTTAGCATGAAGGGGTGTTGAATTTTATCTAAGGCCTTTTCTGCGTCTATTGAGATAATCATGTGTTTTTTGTCACTGGTTCTGTTTATGTGATGGATTACGTTTATTGATTTGCGTATGTTGAACCAGCCTCGCATCCCAGGGATGAAGCTGACTTGATTGTGGTGGATAAGCTTTTTGATGTGCTGCTGGATTCAGTTTGCCAGTATTTTATTGAGGATTTTTGCATAGATGTTCATCAGGGATATTGGCCTGCAATTTTCTTTTTTCTTTCTTTTTTTTTTTTTGAGACGAAGTTTTGCTCTTGTTGCCCAGGCCGGAGTGCAGTAGCGAAATCTCAGCTCACTGCAGCCTCCGCCTGCCCAGCTCAAGCAATTCTCCTGCCTCAGCCTCCCAAGTAGCTGGGATTACAGGCGGTTGCCACCACACCTGGCTAATTTTTTTGTATTTTTAGTAGACACGGGGTTTCACCTTGTTGGTCAGGTTGGTCTTGAACTCCTGACCTCAGGTGATCCACCAGCCTCAGCCTCCCAAAGTGCTGGGATTACAGGCATGAGCCACCACGCCCGGCTGAAATTTTCTTTTTTGTTGTTGTTGTGTCTCTGCCAGGTTTTGGTATCAGGATGATGCTGGCCTCATAAAATGAGTTACAGAGGAGTCCTTCTTTTTCTATTGTTTGGAATAGTTTCAGAAGGAATGGTACCAGCTCCTCTTTGTACCTCTGGTAGAATTCGGCTGTGAATCCTTTTGGTCCTGGGCTTTTTTTTGGTTGGTAGGCTATTAATTACTGCCTCAATTTCAGAATTTGTTATTGGTCTATTCAGGGATTCGACTTCTTCCTGCTTTAGTCTTGGGAGGGTGTATGTGTCCAGGAATTTATCCATTTCTTCTAGGTTTTCTACTTTATTTGCTTAGAGGTGTTTATAGTATTCTCTGATGGTAGTTTATATTTCTGTGGGATCAGTGGTGATATTCCCTTTATCATTTTTTTATTGTGTCTATTTGATTCTTCTCTCTTTTCTTCTTTATTAGTCTGGCTAGTGGTCTATCTATTTTGTCAATCTTTTCAAAAAACCAGCTCCTGGATGCATTGATTTTTTGAAGGGTTTTTCATGTCTCTATCTCCTTCAGTTCTGCTCTCCTCTTAGTTATTTCTTGTCTTCTGCGAGTTTTTGAATTTGTTTGCTCTTGCTTCTCTAGTTCTTTTAATTGTGATGTTAGGGTGTCGATTTTAGGCCTTTCCTGCTTTCTCCTGTGGGCATTTAGTGCTATAAATTTCCCTCTGAACACTGCTTTAGCTGTGTCCCAGAGATTCTGGTATGTTGTGTCTTTGTTCTCATTGGTTTCAAAGAACTTATTTATTTCTGCCTTAATTATATTATTTACCCAGTAATCATTCAGGAGCAGTTGTTCAGTTTCCATGTAGTTGTGCAGTTTTGAGTGAGTTTCTCCACTGCTCAAGGAAATAAGAGAGAACACAAACGAATGGAAAAACATTCCATTTGTTTTTCATGGATAGGAAAAATCAATATCGTGAAAATGGCCATACTGCCCAAAGTAATTTATAGATTCAATGCTATCCCCATCAAGCTCCATTGAATTTCTTCATAGAATTAGAAAAAACTACTTTAAATTTCACATGGAACCAAAAAAGAGCTTGCATAGCCAAGACAATCCTAAGAAAAAAGAACAAAGCTGGAGGCATTATCCTACCTGACTTCAAACTACACTACAAAGCTACAGTAACCAAAACAGCATGGTACTGGTACCAAATAGATATATGGACCAATGGAACAGAACAGAGGCCTCAGAAATAATGCCACATATCTACAACCATCTGATCTTTGACAAACCTGACAAAAACAAGCAACGGGGAAAGGATTCCCTATTTAATAAATGGTGCTGGGAAAACTGGCTAGCCACATGCAGAAAACTGAAACTGAACCCCTTCCTTACACTTTATACAAAAATTAACTCAAGATGGATTAAAGTCTTAAATATAAGACCTAAAACTATAAAAACTCTAGAAGAAAACCTAGAGGCAGTACCATTCAGGACATAGGCATGGGCAAAGACTTCATGACTAAAACACGAAAAACAATGGCAACAAAAGCCAAAATTGACAAATGGGATCTAATTGAACTAAAGAGCTTCTGCACAGCAAAAGAAACCATCATCAGAGTGAACAGGCAACCTACAGAATGGGAGAAAATTTTTGCAATCTATCCATCTGACAAAGGGCTAATATCCAGAATCTACAAGGAACTTCAACAAATTTACAAGAAAAAAAACAAACAACCCCATCAAAAAGCATGCAAAGGATATGAACAGACACTTCTCAAAAGAAGACATTTATGCCAACAAACGTATGAAAAAAAGCTCAACATCACTGGCCATTAGAGAAATGCAAATCAAAACCACAACGAGATACCATCTCATGCCAGTTAGAATGGCGATCATTAAAAGTCAGGAAACAACAGATGCTGGAGAGGATGTGGAGAATTAGGAACACTTTTACACTGTTGGTGGGACTGTAAACTAGTTCAACCATTGTGGAAGTCAATGTGGCGATTCCTCAAGAATCTAGAACCAGAAATACCATTTGACCCAGCCATCTCATTACTGGGTATATACCCAAAGGATTATAAATCATGCTGCTATAAAGAGACATGCACACATATGTTCACAATAGCAAAGACTTGGAACCAACCCAAATGCCCATCAATGATAGACTGGATAAAGAAAATGTGGCACATATACACCATGGAGTACTATGCAGCCATAAAAAGGATGAGTTCATGTCCTTTGCAGGGACATGCATGGAGCTGGAAATCATCACTCTCAGCAAACTAACACAGGAACAGAAAACCAAACCCCACATGTTCTCACTCATAAGTGGGAGTTAAACAATGAGAACACATGGACACAGGGAGAGGAACATCACACACAGGGGCCTGTCAGGGGGTGGGGATCTAGGAGAGGGATAGCATTACGAGAAATACCTAATGTAGATGATGGGTTGATGGGTGCAGCAAACCACCATGGCATGTGTATACCTATGTAACAAACCTGCACATTCTGCACATGTATCCCAGAACTTAAAGTATAATAAAAAAATAAGAAAATAAAATTTTGTGCCAAAAAAAAAAAAAACCTTTATACTCTCAACTAATTGCTCCACATCCTCACCAACTCCTGGTAATGTCAGACAGGTAAGTGTGAAATGGGATCTCAGTGTGATTTTAGCTTTTAACTTTTTTGTTAGGTGAAGTTGAACATTTTTTTTTCTCTTTTTTTCCCTCTGGAATCATTCTCAATTTCTCTTCTGTAAACTATTTTTATCTTTTGCCTATTTTTCTATTATCTTTCTAATTGATTTTCAGGATGCCAAGCTTTTGTAGGTCAATTTATTGAGTTGAAATATTTAATCTTTTTCTTTATGACTTATGCTTTTCCCTTTTCAAAAAAATTCTATTATTGTTGTTGTTGTTGAGACACGGTCTCATTCTGTCATCCAGGCTGGAGTGCAGTGGTACGATCACGGTTCACTACAGCCTTGGACTCCCAGGCTCAAGCAATCCTCCTGCCTCAGCCTCTCGAGTAGCTGGAACCATAGGCAGGTGCCATCATGCCTGGCTAATTTTTTAAATTTTTTATAGAGACGAGGTCCCATTTTGTTGCCCAGGCTGGTCTTGAACTCCTGGGCTCAAGCAATCCTCCTGCTTCAGCTTCCCAAAGTGCTGGGGTTATAGGCATGAGCCACCACGCCTGGCAAACTTTTCCTTTCTTGTTTATAAGTTCTTTCCTACACCAAATTCATAAGGATATTTTCCTAATTTTCTCCTACAATTTCTCAAACTTTTCTTTTTATGTTTGTTTCTTTAATCTATTCAGAATTTATTTTTAGTATGCTGTGAGATGAGGATTTTCATCTTTTATTTATAAATATGACTAATTTCCCCAAATAGCATTTAGTGAACAGCCCATCCTTTCCCCCACTAATTTATGTTACTTTAGTCACATATGAAGTTTTTGTATATATTTGCATCTCCATTTAAGATCTGTATTCTGAGGCTGGATATGGTGGCTCATGCCTGTAATAATCCCAGCTCTTTGGGAGGCGGAGGCAGGCGGAGCACTTGAGGCCAGGAGTTTGAGACCAGCTTGGCCAACATGATGAAACCCCATCTCTACTAAAAATACAAAAATTAGCTGGGTGTGATGGTGCATGCCTGTAATCCCAGCTATTGGGAGGCTGAGGCAGGAGAATCGCTTGAACTTGGGAAGTTAAGGTTGCAGTGGGCCGAGATCATGCCACTCCACTCCAGCCTAGGCAACAAAGCGAGACTCTGTCTCAAAAAAACAGAAACAAAAACAAAAAAAGATCTGTATTCTGTTTCACTGGTTGATTTGACTAGCCTTGTGCCTTTACCATGCTGTCTTAATTACCATAATTTTAAAGTAATTGTAAATCTTAGTTAGCTCCTCTTCTCCCCCTCCTTTTCCTTTTCTTTTTTCTTTTACATTGTCATATATTCTTGGCCCTTTCAGGAAAATTTTTTATTTTGTTTAAGTTTTCAAACATACTGGCATACAATATTTCACAGTATAGCTCTTTTTCATTCAAAGTATTATTTATTATACCTTGCCTTTCTTTTTTGCCCAGTTCTATACAGGTTTATCTATTTTATTAGTGCTCTTAAAGAACCAACATTGGGTTTTGTTGATTCTTTTCCTTATTTCCTATTTTACTAAATTCCTGTCTTCTCTTTATTATTTTCTTCCTCCTGCTCCTTTGGATTTATTCTATTTTTTTCCTAACTACTTGAAATGAATGTTTAACTCACTAATCTTTTTCTTTTCTAAAAAAATGTATTTAAAGCTAATATAGTATTTTACTTCTAACTCCTGTTTCACCTTTACAATTTTTTGATATTTAGTGTTTTGAAGTGTACCAGTCAGGTATTGTGTAGAATGTCCCTCAATTTGGGTTTGTCTGATATACAGTATTTTAAAAGTTAATCATTTCTAAATATTTTATAATTTCCTTTATCATTTTTCCTTTGACCCACGAATTATTCAGAAGTACGTTTTCAACTTTCTAAACATCGTTTTTCAAGTTGTCTTTCTGTTACTGATTTTTAATTAAATTGCAATGTGGAAAAAAAACTGTGGTGTGTCCGATGTGACTTCGTAAAATCTTAGATTTACTTTGTGGTCTAGTACATGGCTAATTCTTATGAATGTCTTATGTGTGCCTCAAAAGAATGTATATTCTCTAATTTGGGGGATGTATGGTTCTATATATATTTATTAGATCAAAATTGCCAATTGTATTATTCGAATATTTATATGCTTACTAATTACTGGGAGATGTTTGTTAAAATCTCCTGCGGTCAGGCGCGGTGGCTCACGCCTGTAATCCCAGCACTTTGGGAGGCTGAGGTGGGCGGATCACAAGGTCAGGAGTTCCAGAGCAGCCTGGCTAACGTGGTGAAACCCCGTCTCTACTATAAATACAAAAATTAGCTGGGCATGGTGGCGCGCACCTGTAATCCCAGCTACCCAAGAGGCTGAGGCAGGATAATCGTTTGAACACGGGAGGTGGAGGTTGCAATGAGCTGAGATTGCGCCATTGCACCCCAGCCTGGGCAACAGAGTGAGACTGACTTGAAGAAAAAAAAAATCTCCTGTTATGACTATGACTATAGATTTGTCAGTTTTTCCTACAATTCTGTTGATTTTTGCTTTATGTGTTTTGAGACCACATCATCATGTACATCATCTTAGAAATTATATCTTCCTGGTAGATTGAACCTTTCATCATTATGTATTACTGTTCGTTATTCTTAACAATGTTTTTGCCCTAAAGTCTATGTTGTCTGATGTCAAGTAACTATAACACCTTTACATTGTCTACTATTTCCTTAGTATCATGTCACTTTCTATTTTTCTGGTCTCTTGTAAATAACATAATAGATTTTTAAAAGATTCAGTGTCCTTAACTGGCAGTGCGTATTTTAACTGGCAGATTTACATGACTCCCATTAATTGTTATTACTAATTTATTTGAACTCGCTTTTATTTTCTATTTACATGTTTTTTCTTTGCTGTTTCTCTTACCTTTCTGCCCATTCTGCTCCAGTTTTCTTTTTTTTTTTTTTTCTGAGATGGAGTCTCGCTCTGTCGCCCAGGCTGCAGTGCAGTGGTGCTATCTCGGCTCACTGCAAGCTCCACCTCCTGGGTTCATGCCATTCTCCTGCCTCAGCCTCCCAAGTAGCTCGGAATACAGGTGCCTGCCACCACACCCGGCTAATTTTTTTATTTTATATATTTTTTATTTTTAGTACAGACGGGGTTTCACCATGTTAGCCAGGATGGTCTCGACCTCCTGACATCGTGATCTGCCCGCCTCGGCCTCCCAAAGTGCTGGCATTACAGGTGTGAGCCACCACACCTGGCCTCTGCTCCAGTTTTCTAAGAATGGATAGATTATTTCATTTCCCCCACCAGCTATCCCAACTGATTTGGTTTGGAGGTTATATATACATTAAATTTTTATCCTTTTATGTCTCTTAAATTTTAGACAAGCATACCAGATTTAATAATCTCTAAAATTAATAATTATATATTCCTTCTCCTGACCAATATAAAAGACCTTAACACATTTTTGCAATTAAAAATAGTTTTGACACATAATATTTGTACATACTTATGGAGTACATGTGATATTTTATTACATGCATAGAATGTACAATGATCAAGTCAGAGTATCCCTCGCCTCAAGTATTTGTTGTTTCTATGTACTGAAAACATCTCATGTCCTCTCTTTAAGCTATTCTAAAATACACAATACATTGTTATTAACTGTAGTCCCCTACTCTACCAACAAACATTAGAACTGATTCCTTCTATCTAACTGTATATTTGTACCCTTTAACCAGTCTCCCTTTATCCCTTCACCCTCCCAACCCCAAACACACACAAAACCTTCCCAGCCTCTGATGCCTATTTCTTTACTCTCTACCTCCATGAGATCAACTTTTTAAGCTCCCAATTATGAGTAACAACATATGATATCTGTCTGTCTGTGCCTGGCTTATTTCACTTAACATAATGACCTCCAGTTCCATCCATGTTGCTGCAAATGAAAGTATTTCATTCTTTTTTTTTTTTTAATATACTTTAAGTTTTAGGGTACATGTGCACAACGTGCAGGTTTGTTACATATGTATACATGTGCCATGTTGGTGTGCTGCACCCATTAACTCGTCATTTAGCATTAGGTATACCTCCGAATGCTATCCCTCTCCCCATCCCCCACCCCACAACAATCCCCAGTGTGTGATGTTCCCCTTCCTGTGTCCATGTGTTCTCATTGTTCAGTTCCCACCTATGAGTGAGAACATGCAGTGTTTGGTTTTTTGTCCTTGCGATAGTTTGCTGAGAATGATGGTTTCCAGCTTCATCCATGTCCCCACAAAGGACATGAACTCATCATTTTTTATGGCTGCATAGTATTCCATGGTGTGTATGTGCCACATTTTCTTAATCCAGTCTATCATTGTTGGACATTTGGGTTGGTTCCAAGTCTTTGCTATGGTGAATAGTGCTGCAATAAACATACGTGTGCACGTGTCTTTATAGCAGCATGATTTATAGTCATTTGGGTATATACCCAGTAATGGGATTGCTGGGTCAAATGGTATTTCTAGTTCTAGATCCCTGAGGAATCGCCACACTGACTTCCACAATGGTTGAACTAGTTTACAGCCCCATCAACAGTGTAAAAGTGTTCCTATTTCTCCACATCCTCTCCAGCACCTGTTGTTGCCTGACTTTTTAATGATCGCCATTCTAACTGGTGTGAGATGGTATCTCATTGTGGTTTTGATTTGCATTTCTCTGATGGCCAGTGATGATGAGCATTTTTTCATGTGTTTTTTGGCTGCATAAATATCTTCTTTTGAGAAGTGTCTGTTCATATCCTTTGCCCACTTTTTGATGGGGTTGTTTGTTTTTTTCTTGTAAATTTGTTGGAGTTCATTGTAGATTCTGGATATTAGTCCTTTGTCAGATGAGTAGGTTGCAAAAATTTTCTCCCATTCTGTAGGTTGCCTGTTCACTCTGATGGTAGTTTCTTTTGCTGTGCAGAAGCTCTTTAGTTCAATTAGATCCCATTTGTCAATTTTGGCTTTTGTTGCCATTGCTTTTGGTGTTTTAGACATGAAGTCCTTGACCATGCCTATGTCCTGAATGGTATTGCCTAGGTTTTCTTCTAGGGTTTTTATGATTTTAGGTCTAACATGTAAGTCTTTAATCCATCTTGAATTAATTTTTGTATAAGGTGTAAGGAAGGGATCTAGTTTCAGCTTTCTACATATGGCTAGCCAGTTTTCCCAGCACCATTTATTAAATAGGGAATCCTTTCCCCATTGCTTGTCTTTGTCAGGTTTGTCAAAGATCAGATAGTTGTAGATATGCAGCATTATTTCTGAGGGCTCTGTTCTGTTCCATTGGTCTATATCTCTGTTTTGGAACCAGTACCATGCTGTTTTGGTTACTGTAGCCTTGTAGTGTAGTTTGAAGTCAGGTAGCGTGATGCCTCCAGCTTTGTTCTTTAGGCTTAGGATTGACTTGGCAATGCGGGCTTTTTTTTGGTTCCATATGAACTTTAAAGTAGTTTTTTTCCAATTCTGTGAAGAAAGTCATTGGAAGCTTGATGGGGATGGCACTGAATCTATAAATTACCTTGGGCAGTGTGACCATTTTCACGATATTGATTCTTCCTACCCATGAGCATGGAATGTTCTTCCATTTGTTAGTATCCTCTTTTATTTCATTGAGCAGTGGTTTGTAGTTCTCCTTGAAGAGGTCCTTCACATCCCTTGTAAGTTGGATTCCTAGGTATTTTATTCTCTTTGAAGCAATTGTGAATGGGAGTTCACTCATGATTTGGCTCTCTGTTTGTCTGTTACTGGTGTATAAGAATGTTTGTGATTTTTGCACATTGATTTTGTATCCTGAGACTTTGCTGAAGTTGCTTATCAGCTTAAGGAGATTTTGGGCTGAGACAATGGGGTTTTCTAGATATACAATCATGTCATCTGCAAACAGGGACAATTTGACTTCCTCTTTTCCTAATTGAATGCCCTTTATTTCCTTCTCCTGACTGATTGCCCTGGCCAGAACTTCCAACACTATGTTGAATAGGAGTGGTGAGAGAGGGCACCCCTGTCTTGTGCCAGTTTTCAAAGGGAATGCTTCCAGTTTTTGTCCATTCAGTATGATATTGGCTGTGGGTTTGTCATAGATAGCTCTTATTATTTTGAGATACGTCCCATCGATACCTAATTTATTGAGAGTTTTTAGCATGAAGTGTTGTTGAATTTTGTCAAAGGCCTTTTCTGCATCTACTGACATAATCATGTAGTTTTCGTCTTTGTTTCTGTTTATATGCTGGATTATGTTTATTGATTTTCGTATGTTGAACCAGCCTTGCATCCCAGGGATGAAGCCCACTTGATCATGGTAGATAAGCTTTTTGATGTGTTGCTGGATTCGGTTTGCCAGTATTTTATTGAGGATTTTTGCATCAATGTTCATCAAGGATATTGGTCTAAAATTCTCGTTTTTTGTTGTGTCTCTGCCAGGCTTTGGTATCAGGATGATGCTGGCCTCATAAAATGAGTTAGGGAGGATTCCCTCTTTTTCTGTTGATTGGAGTAGTTTCAGAAGGAATGGTACCAGCTCCTCCTTGTACCTCTGGTAGAATTTGGCTGTGAATCCATCTGGTCCTGGACTTTTTTTGGTTGGTAAGCTATTAATTATTGCCTCAATTTCAGAGCCTGTTATTGGTCTATTCAGAGATTCAACTTCTTCCTGGTTTAGTCTTGGGAGACTGTATGTGTCCAGAATTTATCCATTTCTTCTAGGTTTTCTAGTTTATTTGCGTAGAGGTGTTTATAGTATTCTCTCATTGTAGTTTGTATTTCTGTGGGATCGGTGGTGATATCCCCTTCGTCATTTTTTATTGCGTCTATTTGATTCTTCTCTCTTTTCTTCTATATTAGTCTTGCTAGCAGTCTATCAATTTTGTTGAGCTTTTCAGAAAACCAGCTCCTGGATTCATTTATTTTTTGAAGGGTTTTTTGTGTCTCTATTTCCTTCAGTTCTGCTCTGATCTTAGTTATTTCTTGCCTTCTGCTAGCTTTTGAATGTGTTTGCTCTTGCTTCTCTAGTTCTTTTAATTGTGATGTTAGGGTGTCAATTTTAGATCTTTCCTGCTTTCTCTTGTGGGCATTTAGTGCTATAAATTTCCCTCTACACATTTATGGGGTAAAGTATGATGTTTCGATACGTGTATACACTGTGTAAAAATCAAATCAGCATCTTCAGGATATATCGTCTCATACATTTAACATTTCTTTGTAGTGAAACATTCACAATCCTCTCTTCTAGTTATCTTGAAATATACAGTGCAACACTGTTAACCACAGTCAACCTACTGTGCAACAGAACACCAGAACTTATTCCTCCTCTCTAACTGTAACTCTGTACCAGCTGACCAGTTTCTCCTTACCTCCCAACTCTTCTCAGCCTCTGGTAACCACTACTCTACTCTCATAGCTATGAGATCAACTTTACACTTCACATATGAATGAATCATGCAGTGTTTGTCTTCCTGTGCCTGGCTTTCTTATTTCATTTAATTATCTCCAGGTTCTTCCATGTTGCTGCAAATGACAGCATTTCATTCTTTTAATGGCTGAATAATATTCCATTGTGTGTATGTATATATATATATATATATATATATATATATATATATATCACATTCTCTTTATACATTCATACATTGATGGACACTTAGGTTGATTTTATGTCTTGGCTGTTGTGAATTATGCTGTAATAAACATGGGAGTGAAGATATCTCTGTCATAGATTTCATTTCCTTTAGATATATACCCAGTAGTGGGATTGCTGAGTCATATGGTAGTTTATTTTTAGTTTTCTGAGGAACTTCCATACTGTTTTCCACAATGGCTGTACTAATTTACATTACCACCAACAGTGTATAAGAGTTCCCCCTTTCTCCACATCCATGCCTGCATTTGTTCTTTTTTATCTTTTTGATACCATCCATTCTAACTCAGGTGAAGTAATATATCCCTGTGGTTTTTATTTGCATTTCCCTGATTAGTGATGCTGAGTATTTTTTCACATACCCATTGGCCATTTGTATGTCTTCTTTTGAGAACTATCTATTCAGATCTTTTGCCCATTTTCCATTGGATTATTTATTTATTTTGCCGTTGAGTTTACTTCCTTACATATTCTGAATATTAACCCCTTATCAGATGCATACTTTGCAAATAGATTCTCCCATTCTGTAAACTGTCTATTCACTCTGTTGACTGTTGCCTTTGCCGTGCAGAAGCTTTTTAGTTTGGTGTAATCCCATTTATCTATAATTGCTATTGCTGCCTATGCTTTTGGGGTCTTATCCAAAAAATTCTTGCTCAGACCAAGTCATGAAGCATTTCCCCCATGTTTTCTTCTAGTAGTTTTATTGTTTCAGGTCTTACTTTTAAGTCTTTAATTCATTTTGAGTTTATTTTTGTATAGGTAACATTCTATTTCTTAGGCTGCGTGATGAATATGCGACTGTTCCTGCTCACCAAACTTTATATATATTGTATTTATGTTCTTTTGCACATATGGAATATTGGTTTTTTAAAAGTTTCACACATCTTAACACTGTTTTTATGAAAACCAGAAAGATGGTAAGCCTCTGAAAGTATAAAACCTTTTATGATTATGTTGAATGCTGATATCCTCTGTAGACAGCTTGGTCTCACCAGTTGTCTCTGTTTACTCTGTGTTAGTTTGTCAGTTTCCACCTACGCTATGCCTTACTGCTTCACAATTTTATCCCTAGGTAATCTAATTCAATTAGAGCATCAACATCACAGACTATCACAAAATCATTACTGATATGCTTTCAAACTCTTTGGGAAAAAAAGGCTGGGATCAGCACTCAGAATTCCTTTTCTACAGACACATTTATAAACGGATTTGTTAAACAGATTATTTCTGTCTCCAACATATTTTCTAAGTTGCTAATATCTAGCAACTTTAGTTGCTAGATATATATATATATATATATATATATATATATATACACACACACACATGTGTATATATATACGTGTATATATGTGTATATATATATATACACGTGTGTGTGTGTGTGTGTGTATATATATATATATGTGCTGGTGAATAGCATACTATTCTTTCTACTTTGATCTCGACATAATTATTCATTAATGTTTATTAGTCAAAGTATGGATCTACAAAACGAGCCAAACAGAGACACAACCAGACACACTCCACACACTCACATGTATGTATATATATCAGTGATATATATGCATATGGATACGTGTATATCAGTGAAATCTACCCCAAGTCCTAAATTTCCTTTCAAGAAACAGCTTTTACTAGAAATCAACTAGCAATTTGATAATCAACTCTACTATCTAATTCATAAGGCAAAACATCAAAAGAAGGCTGGGTGTGGTGGCTTACACCTGTAATCCCAGCACTTTGGGAGGCCGAGGTGGGCGGATCACGAGGTCAAGAGGTCAAGACCAGCCTGGCCAACATAGTGAAACCCCGTTTCTACTAAAAATACAAAAATTAGCCAGGCATGGTGGCGGTCACCTGTAATCCCAGCTACTCGGGAGGCTGAGGCATGAGACTCGCTTGAATCCGGGAGGCAGAAGTTGCAATGGGCTGAGACCATGCCAATACACTCCAGCCTGGGCAACAAAGCAAGGCTCCGTCTCAAAAAACAAACAAAAAAAAAAAAAAAACCAACATCAAAAGAATACCATCTCTCTTAATTCTTTTTTTGTTTGTTTGTTTATAAAGACAGGGTCTCTACATGGCCCAGACTCCTGGGCTCAAGCAATCCTCCCACCTTGGCCTCTCAAAGTGCTAGGACTACAGGCATGAACTACCATGCCTGGACTTCTCTTAATTCTGATTCCTACTTTTTGCTAATAAGTCAAATTAACAGTATAATAACCAAATGATGCTGACACCTGGAAAGAAGAAGAAAAGGACCTAAGGCACAAGCCCAGTGGATTTACCTTCTGTAAATCACCAAGATGAGGCAATCATTCTAGCACTGTCCCACTTAATAGCCAAATCAGTACTACAATCTGATCTAAACTGACAGCCAGAGATTCAGAATGTGAGTTTCATAAGGGCAGGAACTTTTTTTTTTTTTCTGCAGCTGTATTCCCACCGCCAAGAAACAATGCCTAGCACATGGTAGGCGCTCAATAAATATTTGCTGAGTAAATGAATCAAAGATAGAAAACGATGCCTATGTAAGGTTGTGGCGCTTAACCTTGCTTAACATAGTTCTTTACGGAAAGCTAGGAAAATCTAAAAGTTACTGAATAAAGCAGAAAAAAATTGCTTTATCAGTGGAAGTTTTCTTAGAAAAGTAAAATATGATCAATCTCTGGGTCTTGACCTAAACATTAAAAAGAAAATAAATATGCCCATGGTAGAAGAGTTGCTATCTAAGCACTACCCACACCTTCTATTCTCTCAACTTCTCCCCTAAAAGTCTGCCCCACATGCAGAAAGTTTGGTCACTCATGGTAGACTAAAATATTGTTTGATGGAGAAAACATTTTGAGGGGCAAAAGTGAGAAGAAGAATGCAGATAACAATGTAGCTTTTAAAGACTATAAAAGGTTATTGTTTTTGTTTGTTTTGTTTGTTTTTGAGATACAGTCTCACTCTGTTGCCCAGGCTGGAGTGCAGTGGCACGGTCTCAACTCACTACAACCTCCAACTCTCAGTTTCAAGCAATTCTCCTGCTCAGCCTCCCGAGTAGCTGGGACTACAGATGCACGCCACCACACCGGGCTAATTTTTTTTTGTTTTTAGTAGAGATGGGGTTTCACCATGTTGGCCAGGCTGGTCTCGAACTTGTGACCTCAAGTGATCCACCTGCCTCAGCCTCCCAAAGTGCTAAGATTACAGGTATGAGCCACCATGCCTGACCCTTAAAGACTATAAAAGGTCTTTTATGCCCGAGGGGGAGAAATGTCTGCTTTAGTCACACTTACAGTAGTTGTGACAGAAGATGTTTGTATCAAATGTCACCACTGGTTTACTAATATACATAGGCCAAATCCTCCATTTCAGCAGGGAATAATTGTGTTATGAATTTTTCTTTCTAGAAACACAAACCTCAGCCTACCTAGTTGGACTGCCTTAAACAATTACTCAATGGTTTGAATAAGTTCTGTGGTCTTTCTTACTGGGAAAAATTAGAGAGTGATTCTATATCTGAATGCAGCACACAGAAGGTTCCACACTGTTTTTCTTCCCAGAGGAACTGGGCCACTCCCCATTTTGAATGTTCATTATCGTCTTTCATATGCGTCTGATAAATTTATTAAAAACACCATCTGGATGGGACTGAGCTTTCTGCTCTATTTCTAGTCTTCCAGTTTCCTCCCTTGTCCCACTGGAATTTCTGTCCCAATTTGTGTCACTTTGTTTACAAAACCATGCTGCCAAAACCCAGTGTCTTGTATCTGTCTCTTTCTGGTGTTCCTTTGCCATCCCTCACCTACATCCCTATTACAACAGCCTGTGCTAGGAGCAAAAGGCAAAGGTGAACCGCCTGGACAGAAATTACTTTTCCCCCTCTGTGCACATAGCAATTCTGCTCAGACAAATTTAATCTGCTGCTTCTGAATGCAAAAGTTGCATGTTAACAAAGTGTATACATTCTGCAAAGTGTATGAATATTGGAATGACTCAGACTGCAGGGAACTGCAGAAAAAGTGATCTGAAAACAATTTTACTGCTCTCTGTTCTTACAAAGCACCAGGGGTGGCCAACGACTTGCCTCTAAATTTAATTCAGGAGTAATAAATTTTTTAAAAGGCAGTATTACTTCAGTAGGACATGACCTGAGGGCCACCTGTACCAGCTATATTTAAAGATAAGACTGACATGTTATTTAACTGTCTCCAGAGATCACTTTTGAGAGGTGGAGGAAAAAGACCCACTTGAAGCAGATTTTGTAAAAGGAAATAACACTTAGCAGTTACAGAGGACTGTCATCTTCAAACACTGTGCTCTGCTGGGCTTTATTCAATGTTTCCCTGGCTGTTTTCATTACAAAATTGTTTTCTAACAGCACAGTGGTTCATGCAGCAAGCAAATGGTTAATAATCTCTGAGTAGATCATTCTCTATTGCCAAGATTTTCATAGAGATACAAAGATTTCCTGTTTAAGAAGATAACTATTAGCTTAAGGTCCTACCTAGAGGTCTTCCCACAGACCTATCACTTCTTTTTTTAAAGGAGGAAACACACCAGTGGCCTAGCCCCAGGCCTACACAGGAATTTGTTGCTGATCAGGCAAGCTTCTAACCCAACTGTAATCCAACCTTCTGTCAAATTATTCAAGAGGAAAAAATATCCACAGCTGTTCTGTCTTAACAGCTGTAAAAGAACAATAGCTAATTAGAGAACAAGCCCATCTTTCTTGGAAACTATCAAAAAGCTGTAAAAATGTATTCTACAACACAGGCACTTAGTTATATTAATGCCTAGTTTTATCTATCAGGTTAAGAAAATCACTTTTCAATCATATATTACATCACCAAAGAAAAACCATGGGTTATATATAGCATACAATTTTTAAGCTTTTCCTTTCCCAAAGTTTCCCCCACCTGCTTCTGTGAGAAGGCTGCTTCTGAACACACTTCCAGAGAATTCAGTCCTGACCACCTCTCCATACCTGTGGGTGAAGCCCATGGGTGGAAAACAGGCTATGCCTTTTGAAAACTGGAGCCCCTTTCCCCTAATCGATTTTTCCTTCTTTCTTTGCTATTTTGTCTGTTTAATTAGCATTAATCCAGTATTCTGATCTTTCCTGTTCTAGCTCCAATTTTTACATTAGCAAGGTTGCCCAAATCACATCTTATCTTAAGATTATAAGGGCTCCAAAAATCATGCTGAGTCCATTTTAGCCAGTGATAAGAAGAGGTTAAAACTTCCCTAAACTTCAGATGTGTTCCCCTCCACCTTTTGCCCCTCAAACACATGCAAATTTTATGAAGCTATAGCTCTAAACACTTCAGAGGAAGTGGCCTGCTTTCTAGAAGATAAGAAATCAGAGATGGTTATCCCCAGGGACAGAAGTGAGGTGATGTGGCAACAGTAGATCTCAAACATACAAGTTCACCAGGATCAGTGAATTTTCTCTCTCTCCTCACACTGGGGCCTTTGAATGAAAGCACTTTCCAAAAATAACTGTATGGTTTACTCTCTTATGTGCAGTTTGACAATCCTGTAGTTTAAATGCTAGAGGTTTTAGCTGAGAAAATCAATTCAAAGGCCTTAAAGAATCAAGCATCAGATGTTAGCAGTAATAACCACTGCAGTATATCAAAGAGGGATTCACTCTGAAGGTGAGGCCTTGAAATTGAGGACAGAGGCATTTCCAGGTATAAAGAAAAAAGATAAACCAACCATCCAATTCTGTGTTTGAACTAACAGGCAATATCTCTATTTTTTTCTTTCCTCCGGACATAACTTGTCAGGGAAGAGACTTTACATCTGCACTGTAAACATAACGTGATTTATACAAACACAGGAGAAGGAATAACCAACATACAAATAGTCACTTAAACTGGTTTTGCAAGTTTTCAAAATGATTTCTCAAAAAATTAAGAAGTTTTAATATAAAGGGCATCTTTTTCTGTGAGTAGTATCATAAGTTTCACATGAATTTATTTTTCCTTCTTCCCTAAAAGATGTTCAAATTGTTGCAGGATTGCTACTTAAAATCAACAGAGTTTTGTTTTGTTTCTGTTTTTTTGAAGCAGGGTCTCACTCTGTTGCCCAGGCGGGAGTGCAGTGGCATGATCACGGCTCACTGCAGCCTCGACCTCTCACAGGATGAGGTGATCCTCCCACCTCAGCCTCTGGAGTAGCTGGGACTACAGGTATGTGCCACCAAGCCTGGCTTATTTATTTATTTATTTATTTTTTGTATTTTTTGTAGAGATGGGATTTTGCTATATTGCCCAGGCTGGTCTCAAACTCCTGAGCTCAAGCATTTCTCTTGCCTCAGCCCCCCAAAGTGCTGGGATTACAGGCCTGAGCCACTGCGCCTGGGCCAACAGAGTTATTTTTGTACCACACTACGAGTTTAAAGGGTCGTCAGGTCACAACAGGTTTGTGACTCAAGTCAGAGATGTCACCACAGCTTGGGGAATATTTCTCATTCACATTGAACAGAGAACAAAAGACATGCAAAAGGTTGTTTAAAAAGCCCACAAAAAGGCCAGGTGCAGTGGCTCATGCCTGTAATCCCAGCACTTTGGGAGGCTGAAGCAGGTGGATCACCTGAGGTCAGGAGTTCGAGACCAGCCTGGCCAACATGGTGAAACCCTGTCTCTACTAAAAATACAAAAATTAGCTGGGCGTGGTGGTGGGCGCCTATAATCCCAGCTACTTGGAAGGCTGAGGCAGGAGAATTGCTTAACCCAGGAGGCAGAGGTTGCAGTGAGCCGAGATCATACCATTGCACTCTGGCCTTGGTGACGGAGTGAGATTCCATCTCCCAAATAAACAAACAAACAAACAAACAAAAAAACCACGAAAAAGTGGTGGTTTATTTAATACTTTTTTTTTTTGAGATGGAATCTCTCTCTGTTGCCAGGCTGATGTGATCTCGGCTCACTGCAACCTCCAACTCCCTGGTTCAAGCGATTCTCCTGCCTCAGCCTCCCGAGTAGCTGGGACTACAGGCACGCACCACCACGCCCAGCTAACTTTTGTATTTTTAGTAGAGACGGGGTTTCACCATGTTGGCCAGGATGGTCTCAATCTCCTGACCTCATGATCTGCCCTCCTTGGCCTCCCAAAGTGCTGGGATTACAGGTGTGAACCACTGCGCCCAGCCTATTTAATAATTTTTTTTAACGATCCTTTAATAAAGAATAAAGTAGCAGCCTTTCTTTTTTTTTTTTAAGCTAGAGGCTGTATCTGGTTCAAACATTAATATTTCTTTAAAATGCATCAATAACTATAAAATTTGATTTTTTCTAAAAGTAGTACTAACAGTGAGGTGTTTAAACATTAAATGGAGCTGGGTATGCTATAGAGAAAATGTCCCCATCAGATCTGTGGCAAGTATGCTCCTACAATCCCACTTTGGCAGAATCTTCCTGCCAGAGCCTTTGGAGGCAGAGAGAAAAAGGTGAGACATAACACCAAATCTCTTGTGCCTTAACCCTCACAAACCATCCTGGATTGAGTGAGAGGTGTGAGAAGGAAAGAATCTCCGCAGATCTCATGAAAGTAAGACTGGAATGTCGAAGAAACACACCAGGGGGAAAAGTGAGTACGAACTTCTGAATACTGCATTCAGTATTGAGACTCCTTAATCAAACCACAAAGGGTGCCTGAGGGAACAACTTGTCCCACTGGGCACTCTCAGTTCTACCCTGAGGCACCAGTCCAGGTCTGTGGGTAAATTGGGCAAATCCCTGAGTGTGAAGGACGCCTCCTGAGCTGTGAACTTGGAGACCTGGCGCAGTTTGGCTTCAAAGGCAGCCAAAGTCTTCCAAATCACCTGGAATGACCCTAATCAGACTTCTGAAGTAGTTATCAGAAAAAAAAAAAAATCTGGGCAAAATATATAATTTATACTATGTTCTGGGGGCCAAAATTAATCTAGATTGAGGAAACAAGATCATGCCATGTTTTTCAGTAGACTTAACTGAATGTGTGATGAAAAAAGTACAATAAAAGGTAATTTTAAAAGAGCCTTTTACTATTGTTTTAAATTCTTTTAATGACCTACATTCAGTGCTTTTGGAAATGAAAAAATGGATACAGTAGTTTTTTTTATTTTTTAATTTTTGCGGGTACATAGTAAGCATATATATATTTACGGGGTATACGAAATATTTTGGTACAGGGTATCCATCACCTCAAGCATTTATTCTTTGTGTTACAAACAATCCAATTATACCCTTCTAGCTTTGTTTTGTTTTGTTTTGTTTTGTTTTGTTTTTTGAGACGAAGTCTCGCTCTGTCACCCAGGCTGGAGTGCAGTGGCGTGATCTTGACTCACTGCAACCTCCCCCCGGGTTCAAGCAATTCTCCTGCCTCAGCCTCCTGAGTAGCTGAGTTTACAGGCAGGCGCCACCTCACCTGGCTAATTTTTTTTGCAGTTTTAGTAGAGACGGGGTTTCACCATGTTGGCCAGGCTGGTCTCGAACTGCTGACCTCAGGTGATCTGACTGCCTCGGCCTCCCAAAGTGCTGGGATTACAGGCGTGGGCCACTGCACCCGGCCTTTCTAGTTATTTTTAAATGTACAATTAAATTATTATTGACTATAGTCACCTTGCTGTGCTATGAAACGCTAGATCTTATTCATCCTATTTTTTTTTTTTTTGTATCTATTAACCATCCCCACTTGCCCCCTACCCACCCACTGCCTTTCACAGTCTCTGGTAAGAATCATTCTACTCTCTATCTCCATGAGTTCAATTGTTTTCATTTTTAGCTCCCACAAGTAAGTGAGAGCCTGGCTTATTTCACTTAACATAAAGACCTCTAGTTCCATCCACGTTGTTGCAAATGACAGGATATAATTCCTTTTTATGGCTGAATAAGTGCTCCATTGTGTGTATGTACCACATTTTCTTTATCCATTCATCTATTGATGGAGACTTAACGTTGCTTCCAAATCTTGGCTATTGTGAACAGTGCTGCAATAAACATGGGAGTGCAGATATCGTTTCAATATACTGATTTCCTTTCTTTTGGGTACATATCTAAAAGTGGGATTGCTGTATCATATGGTAGCTCTATTTTTAGTTTTTTGAGGAACCTCCAAACTGTTCTCCATAGTGGTTGTACTAATTTATATTCCCGCCAACAGTGTACAAGGGTTCCCTTTTCCCCACATCTTTGTCAACATTTGTTATTGTCTGTCTTTTGGATAAAAGCTATTTTAACTGGGGTGACATGATATCCCATTGTAGTTTTGGTGTGCATTTTTCTGAAGATCAATAATTTAGAGTACCTGAGCACCTTTTCTTTTTTATTTTTATTTTTTTGAGACTGAGTCTTACTCTGTCGCCCAGGCTGGAGTGCGGTGGCGCGATCTCGACTCACTGGAACCTCCACCTCCTGGGTCCACGCCATTCTCCTGCATCAGCCTCCTGAGTAGCTGGGACTACAGGTGCGCACCACCATGCCCAGCTAATTTTTTATTTTTAGTAGAGACGTGGTTTCACTATGTTGGTCAGGCTGGTCTCAAACTCCTGACTTCAGGTGATCCACCCGCCTCGGCCTCCCAAAGTGCTGGGATTACAGGAGTGAGCCACCATGCCCGGCCAACCTGAGCACCTTTTCGTATGCCTGTTTTCCATTTCTATGTCTTCTCTTGAGAAATGTCTATTCAGATCTTTTGCTCATTTTTAATCGGATTATTTGATTGTTTTCCCTATAGAGTTGTTTGAGTTCCTTATATATTCTGGTTATTAATCCCTTGTCAGGTAAGTACTTTGCAAATATTTTCTCCCATTCCTGTGGAATATTTCTTTGCTAATTGTTTCTTTTGCTGTGCAGAAGCTTTTTAACTTCATGTGATCCCATCATCCATTTCTGCTTTGGTTGCCTGTGCTTGTGGGTTATTACTCAAGAAACCTTTACCCATTCCAATGGCCTGGAGAGTTCTTTCAATGTTTTCTTTTACTAGCTTTGTAGTTTGAGAGAGTAAATTTATGTATTTAATCATTTTGATTTGATATTTGTATATGGAGAGGGAGATAGAGGGGTCTGGTTTCATTCTTCCACATATGGATATCCAGTTTTCCCAGCATCACTTATTGAAGACTACCTTTTCTCCGGTATATATTCTTGGCACCTTTGTCGAAAATGAGTTCACTGTAGTTGTGTGGATTTATTTCTGGGTTCTCTATTCTGTTCTATTGGTCTATGTGTCTGTTTTTACGCCAGCACCATCCTCTTTTGGTTACCACAGTTCTGTAGTATAATTTGAAGTCAGGTAATGTGATTCTTTCAGTTTTGTTCTTTTTGTTCAGGACATCTTTGGCTATTCCAGGTCTTTTGTGGTTCCATATAAATTTTAGGATAGTCTTTCTATTTCTGTGAAGAATGTCATTGGTATTTTAATAGGGATTGAATTGAATGTGTAGACTGCTTTGGATAGTATGGACATTTTAACAATATTGATTCTTTCAATCCATGGACATGAAATATCTTTACTTTTTTTGTGTCTTCTTTAATTTCTTTCACCAATGTTTTATAGTTTTCATTGTAGAAATCTTTCATTTCTTTAATTCCTAAATATTTAATTTTATTTGTAGCTATTGTAAATAAGATTACTTTCTTGATTTCTTTTTCAGATTGTTTGCCATAAGCATATAAAAATGCTACTGGTGATTTTCTATCTTACAACTTTACTGAATTGATCAGTTCTAATAATTTTTTGGTGGAGTCTTTAGGTTTTTTCAAATATAGGATCATATCTTCAAACAAGGGTAATTTGACTTCTTCATTTCCAAACTGGATGCTCTTTATTTCTTTCTCTTCTCTGACTGCTCTGGCTAGGACTTCCACTACTATGTTGAAAGTCCTAAGTGGTGAAAGTGGACATCCTTGTCATGTTCCCGATCTTAGAGGAAATGATTTCAGTTTTTCCCCATCAGTATGATACTAGCTGTGGGTCTGTTTTATATGGCTTTTATTATGTTGAGGTATGTTCCTTCTATACCCAGTTTCTTGAACTTTATCATAAAGGGATGTAGAATTTTATCAAATGCTTTTTCATCATCAATTGAAATAATTATATGGTGTTTGTCCTTTATTATTGATATGATATATCATGTTGATTGATTTGCATATGTTGAACCATTCTTGCATCCTTGGGATAAATTCCACTTGGTCATGATGAATTATCTTTTTTTTTTTTTTTTTTTTGAGATGGAGTCTCACTCCGTCGTCCAGGCTGGAGTGCAGTGGCGTCATCTTGGCTCACTGCAACCTCCGCCTCCGGGGTTCAAGTGATTCTCCTGCCTCAGCCTCCTGAGTAGCTGGGACTACGGGTGCATACCCCCACATCCGGCTAATTTTTGTATTTTTAGTAGAGATGGGGTTTCACCAGGCTGGTCGCAAATTCCTGACCTCAGGTGATCCACCTGCCTTGGCCTCCCAAAGTGCTGGGATTATAGGTGTGAGCCACTGTGCCTGGTGAATGAACTTTTAATGTGATGTTGCTAGTATTTTGTATTTAAAATATTTATGTATTTCAAATACAAAATACTAGCAACATCACATTTGTTGTTTGTTAGTATTCTGTTGAGGATGTTTACATCAGAGGTATTGACCTGTAATTTTATTTTATTTTATTTTATTTATTTATTTTTGAGCTGGAGTCTCGCTCTGTCGCCCAGGCTGCAGCACAGTGGGGTGATCTCGGCTCACTGCAAGCTCCGCCTCCCGGGTTCACGCCATTCTCCTGCCTCAGACTCCGGAGTAGCTGGGACTACAGGCGCCCGCCACTACACCCGGCTAATTTTTTGTATTTTTAGTAGAGACGGGGTTTCACCATGTTAGCCAGGATGAATTTTATTTTTTTTTAATGTGTCTTTGTCTGGTTTTGATAACAGAATAACACTGACCTTGTAGAATGAGTTTGGAAGTATTCTCTCCACCTTTATTTTTCAGAATAATATGAGTAGAATTAGTATTAGTTCTTCTTTAAGTATTTGGTAAAACTCAGCAGTGAAGCACTTGGGTCCTGGGCTTTTCTTTATTTCTTTCTCTTTCTTTTCTTTCTTTGGGAGACTTTTTATTACGGCTTCAATCTCGTTACTTGTTATTGGTCTGTTCAGGTTTTGGATTTCTTCATGGTTCAGTCTTGGTAAGTTGTTAAGTTAGAAATTTACCCATTTCCTCTAGGTTTTCCAATTTATTGGCATATATTTGCTTATAGCAGCCTCTAATGATCCTTTAAATTTCTGCAGTATTGGTTGTAATGTCTTCGTATTCATCTCTGATTAATTAATTTATTTATTTTTGAGACAAAGTCTTGCTCTGTCGCCCAGGCTGGAGTGCAGTGGCGGGATCTCGGCTCACTGCAAGCTCCACCTCCCGGGTTCACGCTATTCTCCTGCCTCAGCCTCCAAGTATCTGGGACTACAGGCGCCCGCCACCACATCTGGCTAATTTTTTGTATTTTTAGTAGAGACGGGGTTTCACCATGTTAGCCACGATGGTCTCGATCTTCTGACCTCATGATCCGCCTGCCTCAGCCTCCCAAAGTGCTGGGATTACAGGCGTGAGCCACCATGCCCGGCCTCTGATTTTCTTTCTTGGCATCCTCTGTTTTTCTAAGTTAGACTGGCTAAAGGTTTGTTGATTTTATTTTTCAAAAAGGAAACTTTTTGTTCCATTGATCTTTTGTATTATTTTCTTCATTTCAATTTCATTTACTTCTGCTCTGATCTTTATTCTCTCTTTTCTTCTACGAACTTTAGATTTGGTTTGCTCTTGCTTTTCTAGTTCTTTAAGATAAATCATTAGGTTGTTTATTTGAAGTTTTTCTTCTTTTTTTGATGCAGGCACTTAACAGCTATAAACTTCTCTTTTAGTACCGCTTTCGCTGTATCCCACAGTTTTGGTTTTTTTTTTAAATCCCACAGGTTTTGGTATGTTGTGTTTCCATTATCATTTGTTTCAAAAATATTTTCAATTTCCTTCTTAATCTCTTCCTTGACCCACTGGTCATTCAGAGGCATACTGTTTAATTTGCATGTGTTTGGATAGTTTCCAAAATTTCTCTTCTTACTGATTTCTAGTTTTATTCCATTGTGGTCAGAGAAGATATCTGATATTATTTCAGTTTTTTTGAATGTTTTGAGACTTGTTTTGCGGCCTAAGATATGGTCTGTCCTTTAGAATAAACCATGTGTTGAGCAGAAGAATGTGTATTCTGCAGCTGTTGGATGAAATGTTCTGTAAATATCTATTAGGTCCAGTTGGTCTATAGCACAGAGTAAGTCTGATGTTTCTTTATTGATTTTCTGTCTAAATGATCGGTCCAATGCTGAAAGTGGGGTGCTGAAGTCTCTAGCTATCATTGTATTAGAGTCTCTCTCTTTAGCTCTAATAATATTTGCTTTATATATCAGGGTGCTCCAGTGTTGGGTGCATATATATTTATAATTGTCATATCCTCTTACTGAGTTGACCCCTTTATCACTATATATGATCTTATTTGTCTCTTTTTATAGATTTTGTCTTGAAATCTATTTTGTCTGATAAAAGTATAGCTACTCCTGTTCTTTTTTGGTTTCCACTGGCATGGAATGTCTTTTTGTATCACTTTAGTTTCAGTCTATGTGTTTCTTTATATGTGAAGTGTGTTATGTGTAGACAACAGATTGTTGGGTCTTGTTTGTTTATCCATTCACCCACTCTATGCCCTTTGGAGAGTTTAGTCCATTTATATTCAGTGTTATTGCTGATGAGTAATGACTTACTCCTGCCATTTTATTATTTGTTTCCTGGTTGTTCTGTGGTCTTCTCTTGCTTTCTGTCATCTTTTTAGTGAAGGTGATTTTTTCTGGTGCTATGTTTTAATTTCTTGCTCTTTATTTTTTGTATCTATTGTATGTTTTTAGATTTGAGGTTACCATGAGACTTGCAAGTAATATGACCCATTATTTTAAACTGTTAACAACACTGATTACATAAACAAACAAGAAAAAAGAAGACTAATAAAAATTCTATAATTTAACTTCATCTCCCCACTTTTTAACTTTCTGTGGTTTCTATTTATATATTATTGTACTATATATGTCTTCAAAAGTTGTTGTAGTTATTATTTTAATCAGTTCCTCTTTTCATCTTTCTACTTAAGATATGAGTGGTTTATATACTACAATCTCAGTCTTCAAATGTTCTTTTTCTGTGTACTTATTATTAGCAGTGAATTTTGTACCTTCAGATGACTTCTTATTGCTCATTAACAACCTTTCCTTTCGGACCAAAGAACTCCCTTTGGCATTTCTTGTAGGACAGGTCTAGTGTTGATGAAATCCCTCGCCTTTTGTTTGTCTGGCAAAGTATTTATTTCTCCTTCATGTTTAAAGGATATTTTTTCTGGATATACTATTCTAGGGTAAAAGGTTTTCCTTTAGCACTTAGTTTTTTATTTTTTTTTTAGATGGAGTCTTGCTCTGTCACCAGGCTGGAGTGCAATGGTGTGATCTCGGCTCACTGCAACCTCCACCCCCTGGATTCAAGTGATTCTCCTGCCTCAGCCTCCCAAGTAGCTGGGATTACAGATGTGCAGCACCATGCTCAGTCCATTTTTGGTATTTTTAGTAGAGACAGGGTTTCACTATGTTGGCCAGGCTGATCTTGAACTCCTGACCTCGTGATCTACCAGCCTCGGCCTCCCAAAGTGCTGGATTACAGGCATGAGCCACCGTGCCTGACCTTCCTTCAGCAGTTTAAACATGTCATGCCACTCTCTTCTGGCCTGTAGGTTTGCACTGAAAGGTCTGCTGCCAGACATACTGAGCTCCACTGTATGTTATTTGTTTCTTTTCTCTTGCTGCTTTTAGGATCCTTTTTTTTTATCCCTAACCTTTGGGAATTTGATTATTAAATGCCTTGAGGCAATTTTCTTTGGGTTAAATCTGCTTAGTGTTCTAAACCTTCTTGTACTTGAATATTGATATTTTTCTCTGAGTTTGGGAAGTTCTCTATTATCTCTTTGAACTGACTTTTTACCCCTATCTCTACCTCCTCTTTAAGGCCAATAACTCTTAGGTTTGCCCTTCTGAGGCTATTTTCTAGATCTTGAAAGCATTCTTTCTTCTTTTTTATCCTGTTCTGTTTTGTCTTCTCTGACTGTGTAATTTCAAACAGCCTGTCTTCAAGCTCAGGCTTTTCTTTTTTCTGCTTGATCAGTTCTGCTAGTAAGAGACTCCAATGCATTCTTCAGTATGTCCATTGCATTTTTCAATCCAGAATTTCTGCTTGATGCTTTTTAATTATTTTCTTTGTTAAATGTATCTGATAGGATTCTGAATTCCTTCTCTGTGTTATCTTGAATTTGAGTTTCCTCAAAATAGCTTTTTTTTTTTTTTTTTTGAGACAGAGCCTCGCTGTGTTGCCCAGGCTGGAGTGCAGTGGCGTGATCTCGGCTCATTGCAACTTCCACCTCCTGGGTTCAAGCGATTCTCCTGCCTCACCTGGCTAATTTTTGTATTTTTAGTAGAGACAAGGTTTCACCATGTTGGCCAGGCTGGTCTTGAACTCCTGACCTTGGGTGATCCACCCGCCTCAGCCTCCTAAAGTGCTGGGATTACAGGCGTGAGCCACTGTGCCCAGCCAAAACAGCTATTTTGAATTCTCTCTTTGAAAGGTCAAATATCTCCGTCTCTGCAGGATTGGCCCCTGTTGCCTTATTTAATTCGTCTGGTGAGGTTGTTTTCCTGAATGGTGTTGATACTTGGAGATATTTGTCAATGTCTGGGCATTGAAGTGTTAGGTATTTCTTGTAGTCTTTGTAGTCTGGACTTGTTTGTACCCATCCTTCTTGGGAAGGTTTTCCAGGAATTCTAAGGGACTTGGGTGTTTGATCTAAGTTTTTGGTCACTGCAGCCATATCTACACTAGGGACACCCAAGCTCAGTAATGCTGTAGTTCTTATAGACTCATAGAGGTACTGCCTTGGTGGTTGTGGATAAGATCCAGAAGAATTCTCTGGATTGCCAGACAGAGACTCTTGTTCTTTTCCCTTACTTTCTCTCAAACAAATATAGTCTCTCTCTCCCTCTCTGCTTCATGCTGGGGGAAGAGTGACACAAACACCGCTGTGGCCACCACTATTGGGGCTGTGCTAGGTCAGACCTGAGGCCAACACAGCACTGGGTCTTGCCCAAGGACCACTGTAACCACTACCTAGCTACCACCTATGTTTGTTCAAGGCCCTAGGGCTCTACAATCAGCAGGTAGTGAAGCCAGCCAGTCTTGTGTCCTTACCTTCAGGGCAGTGAGTTCCCCCAGGCCCCATGCAGGTCCAGAGATGCTGTGTAGCAGCCAGAGCCTGGAATCAGAAACCTTAGAAATCTACCTGGTGCTCTATTCCACTGCGACTACGCTGGCAGTGAAACCACAGACAAAGTGCTTCCCACCCCTTGCCCCAGCCAGAGGGGTCTCTCCTCATGTCCATTACCACCACAAGCCCACAGGGAGTACTGCCAGGGTACCACTGATGTTCACTTCAGGCCCAAGGGCTCTTCAGTTAGTTTGTGGTGTATGCTGCCAGGCCTGGCACTCACCCTTAATGGCAGTAGGTTCCCCTCTGGACTAGAGTAGGTCCAGAAATGTTGTCCGAGAGCCAAGACCTGGAATTGAGGACCTAAAGAGCCCACTTGGTGCTCTTCCTCACTGTGGCTAAGCTGGTACCTAAGCTGCAAGATGTTGCTCTACCTATAAAATAAAGATAATAATCCCTTTATTATTCCGTCTCCTTTTCTCAAGCAGTAGGAGTCTCTCCTCATATCCACCACAGCTGCGAATATGCTGGGCCACACCCAAAGCCAGCATGTCTTAGAGTCTCACCCAAGGCTCACAGTGTGTACTACTTGGTTACCACTGCTGATTATTCAGAGCCCAAGGGCACTTTAGTCAGCACGTGATGAATCCTGCCAGGACTGGGTCCTTCCCGTCAGGGCAGCAGGTTCCCTTCTGGCCCAGGGCGTGACTAGAAATGTCATCTGGGAGCTAGGGCCTGGAATGGAGGCCTCAGGACTCTGCCCAGTGTCCTATTCTACTGTGGATGAGCTGGTATTCAAGGTGCAAAACAAAGTCCTCTTTACTCTTCCCTCTCCTCTCCTCAAGCAGAAGAAAAGGGTCACTTTCATTGCTGTGAGCTGTGCTGCCTGGGGTTGGGAGAAGGATGGTGCAAGCATTCCCTTAGCTGCCCTGGTTGGTGTCTCACTAGGTTGCATACTCCCCAAGTCACTGGCTCTTAGCCCAGCACAGCACTAGGGCTTGCCTAGGATTTACAGTCCTTGTGGCCTAGACAGCCTTTCAAGTTTATTTAGAATCCCAGAGCACTTTGCCCTGTGATGGTGAGGCATGCCGAAACTCAAGTTCCGACTGCTGGGATGGGGGATCTCCCTCTGGCAAGGGCTTGTCTAAGTGCTCCCTCCACGGGCATTGGCTGTGTTCTGCCCAGTGTTGGCAGCACTGAGTTCCAATGCAAAGCCCCACAATCGCAGCACTCTCCCCCTCCCCCAAATGCACGGATTCTCTCTCCATGCCGTGTGGCTACTGGGGGAGAGATGGCATCAGCAATTCAAGACTGTCATTCCTATCCTTTTCAGTGCCTCTTTCAGTGATATTGAGTTAACCAGGTACTGTGACCACTCACCTGATTTTTCATTCTTACTAAGGTGCTTTTTTGGTAGACACTTGTCAAATTTGGTGTTCCTGGGGGGAGGATGACCAGTGGAGGCTTCTATTTGGCCATCTTACTCTGCCTCCTTCTCAATACAAGTATTTTTAAATGACACTTTACTATAAATATTTTCGTATCTGCCTTTTAAGGAATATCTTATTTCTGCATTTTAACTCTCTTTCCATCATATCTACATATTAATTATGCGGGAGGAAAACAGCTGCTCTTCCCTTCCCAGCTTCTGCTTGAAAGTCCACTGCACAAGGCAATGGACTAGAAAGCAGGCATTCAGAGAACTAACCTCACTTCTGTAAACAGCTTCCTAGGCAACGTCAAGGAAGCCATTTAACCATTCTGTGACTGTTTCTCTACCTATAAAGATAATAATCCCTTCTTCTCCCTGCCTTTTTATGAATATTGACAGAATAAGTTAGACAATGTTTACAAAAGAATTTTGAGAGTTTCAGAGAAGCATAAGACCTAGGCTTGGCACTTCCCCAGACACAGAAAGCCAGATTTTTCCCCATGTGGAATGGGTAGGTGGGACCAGCATTTCATAAATCTGGGTATTACACAAGATGGGGGACAAGCCACCTTTAAGGATAAGAGGCAAAGGAAGAACCAATAACAATTCTACCGACCTGCAAAAAACTATTAGCACCTGCTAGTGTAATATGCAGCTGGCAGTTTCAGAATAACCGAGAAAGCAGTTCCTTCTGATCGATATTTGCTGGGGACAGCAATTTCTGACCTACTGAATCAGATCAAGATCATCTGAGTCATTTGACCAAAGTAGCCTCTTTGTGCTAACAGTACAGTGGCTAAGGGAGGTCTCTTTTAATTAAACGAAGGGGTCTTCCCACAGTCTGCCTTTTACAATCGTCACTGCTTTAAGGTTTCAAGAGCTATCACAAAGGAATAAGCAAATCACAACATATGAAACGAATCACAGACAGAAATAGGCTTATAATTTATCAGTGAGACACACAGTGACATTGCCATGTGGCTGCTCCATTCTTCTTGGGGAAAGGCAGGAGGGAGAAGAGGGAGAGAGGAGAGAAAGAAGGAAAGGTACCCTACAGTATTTAGATGGTCTTCAAATGTTCATAATTTCCTTAGGGTGTGCTCGTTGCCAAGTTGACAGATGTTGCAGGAAAAACCTGTACTATTCTGAAGAAAGGCTAACCTTTCAAGAGAGGAAGAGGGGGAGGGAAGCAGCCCATCCATTCGGTGAAGGGATGACATTAAACTGGACAGCAAACCACCCTTAACATGCTGGATCTTTGAAAGGCTGTGTGATAACACTGCCAAAGAAAACTGTTCTGGAAGAAATCTCATTTCACTATGGTTTTCCTTGCCATAAGTTTAAATTTGTTTTTAACACTAAATATTAGAACTCCTTAGACAAGAAAATGATGATTATTACTTTTCATACCACCATGACTCCAAGTGATAAGTTGCACAACACTCCTCTAAGGGAA
Source organism: Homo sapiens (assembly GCF_000001405.40). Lineage (NCBI taxonomy): Eukaryota > Metazoa > Chordata > Mammalia > Primates > Hominidae > Homo > Homo sapiens. The sequence goes on from NC_000006.12 coordinate 38,321,751, forward strand.
GCCATGGGTATGCCATATTACACTTTCTCCTGTTTGCCTACTTTCTTTTTCATTCATTCCTTCTTGTTTTATACACACACACACACACACACAAAACTACACACCACACATATTTACATATATATATAAAGAGAAACAGTTTTTTTCAAAGCAGTCACTGTCAATTCTTTCATCCCAGTCTTCCCACTGGGTGCAAACTTACACTGCTCTTCTGCTTGCTTGGTCCTTGACATTTCCTAAAAAGAGCCTTCTAACAAAGGATTGCGAATGCTGTGTATTAGTATATGAGACAAAATGGTAGTTTTACAAAGCCCTGGCCCTTTCCCACCAAACGAGAAGGAAGAAAGCACATTAAGACTTCCTTGTTTAGGATCCTCAGCTGTTAAGTCAGTCAGTGCAGCAAAATCAGCATTCTGGCTGATAAGGACGGAGAAGAGACAGCCAAGCTATATCCCTTCTCACTGTACATTGCCTTGGTCCTCTTCCTGGGGAGGATTGCATCTCCAAGATACTCTTCCGTTATTTCCAACTCTAAACCTCCTGCTTAAAAATCCACATGCTCTTGCTCACTAATGTGACTATTAGTCATTTTTTCCTGTGCCCTAGTTATACCTAATGTTTTTGTCAGCTGTGACTTACCTAATGCATTCTTGAGGAAGGCAGATTAACTAACCTATCCCTTTAAAGATTAACAGCAACATGCCATAAGGAAAATTATACCTCCAGCATGAAAATCTGCAATTGGGGAACCATTTTACAGGATCACATTCATTTATATCAATTATCTTGTTTATCAAAGACAATGAAACACCAACTGGTAGTAAAAAGGTACAGAGGGTACAGTGAGGAATAATTAGGTCTTACCCACCCAGAGGCCAATAGCCATTTACCGCTCCATTTTGGGGAGTGACGTTTACAGCGTCTGTTTTATAACTCACTTCACATTAACTTTGAAATGTCAAAAGCAGGCAGTTAATTGTTTATTATACAAAATGTCACAAATGTAAAGCACTGAGATATAAAATTATTATAACTGATTTACTACAAGAAATCCTGCCTTTTAGCTTTTATAGCTTGTTTGACAGTCTCTGGATCTCAGCTTAACTACCATAATGTAGCCTGTGTGTGCCAGACAGTTACTGTCTGATAAATAATCTTTTCTTCACGTACTATATCCTCAAGACAATTGAAAAATAAAAATAACATGATATGAAAATTACTAATATGGTTTAAAGTAATATGTACTCAGAAGAAGGGGAGATGTCTGAATAGTAACATCATGTGTTCTGATTTCATTCTAGCTGAGACTGAGATTCAGAGAATCATGACACAAAGCTTATCGAAGTAGTTTAACAAGATTGGGTGTGCACTGCCCAAGTTCTCCAAAGCTGCTACAGGTCTACAATAACATTATGTATCTACTCTAAAATCTTTGGGTCATGAAATTACACAGCAGCATGATAATTTTTTCCCATCACCTGCCAAATTTACAGAAACCAAATCCCCTCCCTCTGCTAACCACTATTTCAATTTTGCCATTTTGCCAAACCTACCCTTTCGGGCAATCCCCTTGTCTTTAGGCTCAAAGAACTCAGTTTTCCTCTAGAGCCATAAAAATCAAACAGATGGGAAGAAAAAGGGTGCAGAGGGACAGAAGGGATAAAGTAGGAGTAGAACAAAGCAGTGTGTCTCCATGGGGAAGGAAAGAAGAGCCAAGGAAGCCAGCTGGGTAGGGGTGAGTGTGAGGTCAGGAATGCTCCTTAAAATTCTATTAGATACAACTTATACATCATATGTTTTGTGGCAAAAATTTAGTAAAACAAATAAATGACAATAGATATCAGTGGACTACTGAACTTCTGTTTACAGTCGTCAATTTCCATATGAGAGAAAACACACCATTTTGTACTTATAGTAGGTTAACTCTCCCTCCTAGTATTGCTGAGGTCTTAGATATATGTTAATTTGCTTGGCTAATTCACACAACTGGTGAAGGCCTGGTAAGAATCTCACAAGCATGTGATTCACCAAATCATAAAATTAATAGTTAAAAATTACTCTGTAAAGCCCAGGTGTGGTGGCTCACACCTGTAATTCCAGCACTTTAGGAGGCCAAGGTGGGAGGCTGCTGGAGCCCAGGAGTTCAAGACCAGCCTGAGCAACATAAGCAGACTCTGTCTCTACACTTTTATTTTTCTTAAAATTACCCAGGTGTGGTAGCATGTGCCTGTAGTCCCAGCTACTCAGAAGGCTGAGGTGGGAGGATGGCTTGAGCCCAGGAGGTGGAGGCTGCAGTGAGCTTTGATCATGCCACTGAACTCCAGCCCAGGTGACAGCCTGTCTCGCGGTACGGGGAAGGAAAGAAAGAACTTTGTGTAACACTTAGTTCAAAAAACGGATAATTTACATCTTGTTATACATTGGTCCAGAAAACAGAAAAAGAGGGAAAGCTGTTCAAGCCATTTTAATATAGCTTTGTTTATAAAAACAGCTTAGAGATAGGCCAAGAAAATAAATTTATAGACCCATTTTATTTAAGGAAACAGATGCAAAAATTCTAAAATACGCATTAGCCAACCAAAGCCAATAATTACTTATAGAAAACGTCATGTCTAGGCAGCAGGTGTCCTAGGAATGCAAGTATGGGTCATCATTAGAACATCTATCATTTCAGTGGATTAAAGAAAAAATGCTCAGTGATTTGAGCAAAAGAGTGTTCTATTAGATTATTCTGACTGAAGTGTGGAGAAGGATGAGAAGGACTAGAGAAGCTGCAGGGCCTGCTGAGCAGACAGACTATGGCAACAGGGAGAAGAGGTGATGGTAGCTTGTACTAGGGTAACAGCAGTAGTGGTGGTGAGAAACTGACCAGGAATCACAGCAGTGATATACTACTTTATGGCCTTCATAATGGCAAAGGGTACGTGGGAGGAAAAGGGCTCTTTTGTACTCCTGGCCCTGGGAGTATGAACTGACAGGAAGACAATCTGGAAGTATGAAGCAAAATTAAATATGTGCATACTTTAGTACTCAGGCATCTCACTTTTGGATAAAGGTCCCAGAGAAACTAACACACAGGTGCAAAGGAGATAGACACAAGGAAATTCATTGCAGTCCTGTTTTGGAGAACAGGAAGCTGAAGACAACCTAGGTTTCCATCACCAGGGGAATCAATGAATGAAACACGAGAAAAATAATGGCACCTACCTTGTGAGACTGTTGCAAGGGTTAAATGACTTTATGTAAATTGCTTAGAACAGTGATGACATACGGTAAGGACTATATAAATTTGCTAATAATATATTTGTAATTATTATGATGGAACATTAAGTAACATTAAGACACATGATGTATAAATCTTAATACTGGGTGAGAAAGTATAAAAAAGAATAAGATCTATAACATAAAAACATTTCTGAAAATTAAAACACATATACAAAATTGCCCAATATTATAGATTTTACAAGAATAGGAGTATATTAAGGAAATAAACATACTAGAGATGGTATCATAAAGAGAAGGGAACAGAAGCAGGATTCAAAGAAGAAAAAATATGAATAAAAGAGAAGGTATTGCATGGAAAACTAAGGATGGCATATACGATTAACACAGTTCTCTATACCTAATGGATACCTGTTTAAAAACAACAAAGAGGCTGGGTGCGGTGGCTCATGCCTGTAATCCCAGCACTTTGGGAGGCCGAGGCGGGCGGATCATGAGGTCAGGAGATTGAGACCATCCTGGCTAACATGGTGAAACCCTGTCTCCACTAAAAATACAAAGAATTAGCTGAGCATGGTGGTGGGCGCCTGTAGTCTCAGCTACTCGGGAGGCTGAGGCAGGAGAATGGCATGAACCCGGGAGGTGGAGCTTGCAGTGAGCCAAGATCGTGCCACTGCACTCCAGCCTGGGCAACAGAGCAAGACTCCGTCTCAAAAACAAAAAAACAAAACAAAACAAACAAACAAAAAGAGCCCCAGCTCATTAGGTTAGTTTTTTTCATTTTAGAAATTAAGGCTCAGAAAGATTGTCTTATTTATTACATAGTAAATCAGCAGCAGAGTGGAAACCAGGATTTGGGTTGATCTTCTGGTCCTCAGAATGCAACACATCATTCCACTTATTCATTCATTCAACACTTACTGAGTATCAGGGTTCCAAACGCTGGGAATACAGCAGTGAACAAAACAGACAGGCTCTTCTATTATCGAACCATGTAAATAAATGTATAGTTACAAATGAAACTAAGTGCTCTGAAAGAAAAAAACTCCACATCTATAAGCATCATACTAAGAAACTTTACCAAGACTAGGGGTAGGGGGGGTCAGGGAAGCCTTTTCTGAAGAAGTGACATTAATCTGAAACTTAAAGGTATAACAGAAGGTCATCTTAAATAAAAGGGGTGGGGTTTGACAAAGTGAGAGGAAGGATAAGGAGAGGGTGAGGGGCATTCCAGAGCGAACAGCAAGTGCAAAGACACTGTGGTCAGAGAATGAATGGTGTATTTTTGAAATGGAAAGGCCTGTGTGGCTGGAATACAGAAAGCTAGATGAGAATTGGTATAAAATGAAGCAAATATGCAGGCATCATACCATGCAGGGCCTTGAGCGCCATGGTGAAGATTTTGAGCTTTCTCCTGAGGGCAACAGAAAGTCTCTGAGTGATTTCGCGTAAGAGAGCATCCCGATAAGACAACGCTGGGGGGAGCGTGGAGAACAGCAAAAAAAGACTAGGGAGGACATGAGACCAGTAAGTAGACAGAAATGACAACGGTGAGGAGAGGTGGTGGTGGCTTGCGCTAGGGTGGCAGTAGCAGTAGTGACAAGAAGGAACAGATTTGTCATTTGGAATATAGTATCAATATAAAAGTTTTCTATAATTAGAAAATCTCTCTGATCATGTATATTTTACTTGTGTTTCCACAGCTTACTGAGGTTTTACTGAGATGTGCTTCCAACTTTTTATAACAGGCATCTACTGAACATTAATTCATCAAAGAATCACTGCAAAAAAAAAAAAAAACAGCTGGTGTTGCGGGTAGGGGTATCCTCCTCCTCTACTTTCCCCACAGCCGTGGGGCCTGTCTGTACTACTGACAGTTCTGAATTGAGAACTCAATCAACTCATGTTTGATATTTTACAGAGTCATTTCCTGAAGATTCCAATTCAAACATTCTAGCACCTTCTGCACTTTTACACCTCACTTGAGTCCCTCACTTTTACATTCGGCTTTATTACCACTTTAGTTGATTTCATCACAGCTTCATGGAAAACAACTTCACCAAGGACCATTTCCTGTCATTACAGGGGCAGAATTGAAGTAATCCCCTGCTTGAGCACTAGGTAGTTTTTATGATAATTTTACCACAGGTAATGTTGTGATTTTTAAGTATATTTCCCTCTTGTAGCACTGTACCAAATCCTGTCTTAAAAAAAAATAAGTATCTAATGCAGCTATAAAAGAAACACACCCATCTTCACAATATTAACGAGCCAATAAATTTAAAGAGATTGCTGTGGCCCAGACTGGCTCACCCACCAGGCTTCCACTCCTATACAATCATTTCTTTTTATGCAAAACGGTGACAAGCCCAAGCCCTGTTATATCGGATTATGAAGCAGGAAGGGGCCAGCAGGTTTAGAGGCCCCTTCCCAAAACTGTATACAGCAGTCTGCCCCCATAGCCTCCAAATACTAAAGGTTTCTTTTGGTTCACAAAGCACAGCCCCACATCACTATTTTAATAAGTAATACTGTAATGCCCCAAAGACTGCCAAAATCTTTTCTTCCAGTGCCCTCTCCCATTTTCAACATCTTTCCTGAGACATAACTGACATATAATAAACTGCACATATTTTAAGTGTACAATGTGAGTCCTGATATATGTAGACACTCGTGAAACCATCAGCACAATCCAGATAACAAAGCTTTCCATCATCCCCTGCCCATTTGTAATTCTTCCCCCAAGCTTCAGAGATCTGTAGATCTGCTTTCGTTGTCACAGATTAGTTTGCATTACTTAGAATTGTACATAAATAGAATCACACAGTACATATTTTTTCATTTGGTATCTATCATCTAGATTCTCAACTCTTGGTTTATTCAGTAGAATCATCAGGTGTATCGCCACATTTCATGAAGAAATTACCCTGTCTCACCCAGAAATAGGACTTTTCTTAGTTTAGTGGCTATATTTGGGAGCGCGTGGAGTGCTGAGGCGCACCAGAAGGCACTGCTGCTGGCCCTGCACATCCTGCCTTGTCCCTCACTTAAAGTAGGCAATGTGGAAATAACTTTTTTAAAATTAACTTTTTTCTGATTTTAAAAGTAACACATATTCACTGAAAATATGTAATACTTTCATTCATAGAAAATATATAAATACAGGAAAATGTAATAAAAACCCAATAATCTCTGGTAATCCCATAATCTAGAAAACGTGTGAACATTTAGATGTTCTTCCTTACAATTTTACGCACTATTATGGACTGAACTGTGTCCTCCCAGAATTCATATACTGAAGCTTCACCCCTAACTTAGAATGTTACTGTATTAGGAGACAGGGGCTTTAAAGAGGAAATTAAGGGTAGGGCACTAATCCAATATGACTGATGTCCTTATAAGAAGAGGAAGAAACACCACAGGCCACTCAGACAGAGGAAGGGCTATGTGAGGGTATAGCGAGAAGGTGGCCATTTACATGCCAAGGAGAGAGACCTTAGAAGAAACCAAACCTGGCAATACCTTGATCTTGATCTTGGACTTTCAGCCTCCAGAACTGTGAAAAAAATATATTTCGGCCATTTAAGCCACCGTGTGTGTGTGTGTGTGTGTGTGTGTGTGTGTGTGTGTGTGTGTGTGTTTTATGGCTGTCCTAGCAAATTCATACATGCAATTAAAAATACGTATATTTGGGGCCGGGCGCGGTGGCTCACGCCTGTAATCTCAGCACTTTGGGAGGCCGAGGTGGGTGGATCCCGAGGTCACGAGATCGAGAACATCCTGGCTAACATGGTGAAACCCCGTCTCCATTAAAAATACAAAAAATTAGCCAGGCGTGGTGGCGGGTGCCCAGAGTCCCAGCTACTTGGGAGACTGAGGCAGGCGAATGGCGTGAACCCGGGAGGTGGAGTTTGCAGTGAGCCAAGATCGTGCCACTGAACTCCAGCCTGGGTGACAGAGCAAGACTTCGTCTCAAAAAAAAAAAGAAAGAAAATATGTGTGTGTGTGTGTGTGTGTGTGTGTGTGTGTGTGTGTGTGTGTAATTTAAAAATACTGGCATCGATCTGGCTATAAAGATGGCATCCTACTTCTATTTTATATTCTATTATGGTTATTTCCCTATATTATGAAATGTATGAATATTCAGAAATTTTGATGTGTGAGTGTGCCATAATTTATTTTGTTATGCCATATTATTAGACATTCATAATCTTCCTCTTTTGCGGTTATTATAAATAACACTGTGCTGAACATTTATGTAGAAGAAATGCTGTTCCTGAATATTCCTTTAGGATGAATTATTAAAGGTCAAAGTAGTAGATAAAGGAGTATTTTAAAGACCTTTTTTTCCTTTTTTTTTTTTTTTTTGAGACAGAATCTGGCTCTGTCACCCTGGCTGGAGTGCAGTTGCATGATCTCGGCTCACCGCAACCTCCGCCTCCTGGTTTCAAAAGACTCTCCCACCTAAGCCTCCGGAGTAGCTGGGATTACAGGGGCGTGCCACCACACCCAGCTAATTTTTGTATTTTTGGTAGAGGCGGAATTTTGCCATGTTGGCCAGGCCGGTCTCAAACTCCTGACCTCAAGTGATCTGCCCGATTTGGCCTCCCAAAGTGCTGGGATTACAGGGCTGAGCCACGGCGCCCTGCCTAAAGACTCTTAATAGATATTGCCAAGTTGTCTTCTATAAAACATGTACTGGCTGGGCACAGTGGCTCACGCATGTAATCTTAACACTTTGGGAAGCTAAGGCAGGCAGATCACTTGAGGTCAGGAGTTCGAGAACAGCCTGGCCAACAGGCAAAACTCCCTCTACTAAAAATACAAAAAACTAGCGGGGCGTGATGGCGGGCGCCTGTAATCCCAGTTACTTGGGAGGCTGAAGCGGGAGAATTGCTTAAACCTGGGAGGCTGAGGTTGCAGTGAGCTGAGATAGCACTATCGCGCTCCAGCCTGGGCAACAAGAGCAAAATTCCATCTCAAAAAAAAGAAGATACTTAGTATTACTGAGACTGGTAAGAAATAGGCAGTCTCATATGCTGCCAAGACGTGGATGGTACATGTTTCCTTTTTTTCTTTTCTTTTTTTTTGTTTTATTTTGAGACAGAGTTTGGCTCTGTCACCCAGGCTGGAGTGCAGTGGCGTGATATTGGCTCACTGCAACCTGCACCTCCTGGGTTCAAGCAATTCTCCTGCCTCAGCCTCCTGAATAGCTGGCATTACAGGCGTGCCACCACACCTGGCTAATTTTTGCATTTTTAGTAGAGATGGAGTTTTGCCATGTTGGCCAGGATGGTCTCGAACTCCTGACCTCAGGTGATCCACCCATATTGGCCTCCCAAAGTGCTGTGATTACAGGTGTGAGCCACTGTGCCTGGTCAGTATTTTCATTTAAACTACCTTTGCCAACAGGATTTTAAAAATGAAACTTGAGCCAGGCACAGTAGTGTGCACCTATAGTCCCAGCTACTTGGGAGGCTGAGGTGAGAGTATCACTTAAGCCCAGGAGTTTGAGGACAGCCTGGGCAACATAGCAAGACCTCGTCTCATAAAAAATAAAATACCGTCAAATTATTAGAGACGCCATCTCTAAAAAAAAATTTTTTTTAATGAAACTTGACAAGCCGATTTTCAAGTTCATTGGAAAAGAAAATTGGAAAGAATAGCCTAGAAAACTTAGAATAACTATGAGTGTAGATTTGCAGCACTAGAGAGCAAAATAGATGACGAAGATGCTGTGATTTAAATGATACAATGCAGAAGCTAGAGTAGATATAAATCTATGATATATCTATTTTAAGTCAATGAAACAAAGAATAAAATAAGCAAGAAAGAATTTCAAGACAATTGGCCACAAATTTTAGAAATAAAAGTTAAACCTCTACCTCAGACCAAACACAAAAGAAATGTTAAATGGAGTAAAGAGCTAAATGCTTACACACACCCCAACAATAACAAAAAAACAACAAATCACTGACAACTACTGCAGAAGAACATGTTTTTATATTTTGAACTGGGGAGGGAGTTTCTAAGCAAATCACAAAATCAGATGACAAAAAAAATGACTGATAGGAATAACTCAAAATTAAAAATATCTATGCAAAAAGGCAACATACACAAAGTTAAAAGGTAACTAACAGGGTGAGAGAAGACATTTGCAATGTATATAAAAGGCAAGGAATAAATATCCATAATCCACAAATTAATAATAAGAAAGAAGCAACAGGCCAGGCGTGGTGGCTTATACCTGTAATCCCAGCACTTCGGGAGACCGAGGTAGGAGGATTGCTTGAGGCCAGGTGTTTGAGACAGCCTGGCCAACATGGTGAAACCCTATCTCTATTAAAATTACAAAAATTAGCTGGGAGTGGTGGCGCATGCCTGTAAGCCCACCTACTCAGGAGGCTGAGACATAAGAATCACTTGAACCCAGGAGTGGAAGTTGCAGTGAGCTGAGATCACGCCACTGCACTCCAGCCTGGGCAACAGAGACAGACTCCCTCTCAAAAAGAAAAAAAGAGGGGGGGCCAAGAAATATTTAAAAATACTCAGTTTTAGTAATAACTAGGCTAATGCAAGTTGAAATACAAAAACATTTTATTTTGGCCAGGTGTAGTGGCTCACACCTGGAATCCCAGCACTTTGGGAGGTCAAGTTGGGAGGATGGCTTGAGCCTAGGAGTTCAAGACCAGCCTGAGCAAACATAATGGGACCCCTGTCTCAACAACAATAACAAAAATAGCTGGGTGGGTGGTGCATGCCTGTGGTCCCAGCTACTTGGGAGGCTGAGGCAGGAGGATCATTTGAGCCCAAGAGGTCAAGGCTGCAGTGAGCTGTGATTGCATCACTGCACTCTAGCCTGGGTGACAGAGACCCTCTCTTGGAAAAAAAAGCAAAAAAAGAAATATTTTACTTATGTACTTCTGTATTGTTTGATTTTTGATGAGACATGACTTTGTCTTATTTATATACATATAAAACATTTTTAATGAAAAATATTTGCCAATTAAACAAGCCAAAAAATGGTATTTTGTTTCGATAAGCACTTAATTATTAGCGAGGCAAAACGCTTTCAAGTTTATGGACTATTACGTTTTTCTTTCTTTTTAAATAACTGCTGTTTATATACATTTTCTGTAAGGGAATCATCTTTTTTTTGTACTTATTTTGTCATGTATGTTGCAATTATTTTTTCCCAGTTTGTCAAACACCTTTGAATTCTGTTTATGGTTTCTGCCTTTGCTTTTGTGCTGAGGAAGTTGTTCCTCACCTTGAGATAAGATAAATACGTATTAATACAGTTTCCTACAGCTCTTTTGGAGTCACATTGTAAAATCTACCTCTTTAACAAGAAATGCTTTTGTATCTAGCATGAGGAAAAAATTTCATGTAACTGTTTGCAATTGTTAACTGTCTCACTTGCTGTGTTATCCTTCGGTTCTTAACTGATGTGAGATGTCACCTTTATCTCACATTATATTCTTACACATACTGGGATCTAATTCAGAGTTTGGATGATTGCTTTATTTATCTACCAGTTTGTTCTTGCATTAATGCCACATTACTATGCAGCACTAATTTTAACACCTGCTGGGAATAGACCCCTCATTCATTTTTTATTTTTTATTTTTTTCAGGCTTTTTTAAGGGGATGGGGAGAAGGAAAAGATATTTTTACTTATTTATTCTCTTGGAAAATATTTTAAAATAACTGAGCAAAATATTAAAAAAACACACACATAACTGGGATTTTGAGTAGTAGTACTGTATTAAATTTATACATTAAAATGGGAAGAACCAACATCTTTGCAATATTAAATTTTCCTATCCAGGAATATTTCTTTCCATTGTTCAGTGCTCTTTAAAAATTTATAGTTTCTTTACATTAAAGCCTGTGGATTTAGTAACTTTTTTCCAAGGTAGGCATTTGTTGTTTGTGGGAGAAACAATTTAAAAACTCCAGCAGATCTCCTTGTCATGCTTACTTCACAGCAACAGAATTTGTGACTGCACATCATCCTACTGCCTCCCACCATTGTTCTAGACCGTTATCCCATCTCTAATGGCATGAGGTAGGTCAGGGGTGGATGGTTCTTGGTAATATGGCTAGTGATGGAGTAGAAAGAAGGCAAAGGCATTCCAAGAAGCACCAATGACCAATCTCAGATGCAGATGCTGGCCATGTAAAGATGTTCCTGCTTCTATCATATCCTTTTTCACTTTTGTTATTACCCTGTATTAGCCAAATACACATGCTGAAAATAATGATGTAAAAAGAAAGGGCAAGATAGGGCCACCCATAGGTCCCTTCCCTTAAGTCTTTCCTTATTCATCAAAAAGTCAAAGGTAGAGAGTATCAGTAAAATGTGCAAGTATTACGAAGTGAAATAAAAACAGTTAAGTTAGTTTTGTGCAGTATTTTCACTCTTCTGGTAAAAACTTAGATACATGTATGATATGGTTTCAATCTGTTTCCCCACCCAAATCTCATGTCAAATCGTAACTCCCAGTGTTGGAGGCGGGGCCTGGTGGGAGGTGACTGAATCATGGGGTCAGACCTCCCCTTTGCTGTTTTCATGATACAGTTCTCACAAGATCTGGTTGTCTGAAAGTGTGTAGCACCTCTTCCTTCACTCTTTCTCTCTCTCTCCTGCTGGCCATGTAAATAAGTGCCTGTTTTCCCTTCGCCTTTTGCCATGACTGTAAGTTTCGTGAAGCCTCTGCAGAAGCAGAAGCCCGTACAGCCCACAAAACCATGAGCCAATTAAACCTCTTTTCTTTATAAATTACCCAGTCTCAGTTATGTCTTTATAGCAGTGTGAAAGTGGACTAACACAGGAAACGTGTACCAGAGAAGTGTGCCATTGCTACAACGATACCTGAAAATGTGGAAGCAACTTTGGAACTGGGTAATAGGTAGAACTGGAACAGCCTGGAGGGCTCAGAAGAAGACAGGAAGATGAGGGAAGGCTTAGAAGTTCTTAGACTTGTTAAATTGTTGTGACCAAAATGCTGATAGTGATGTGACAGTGAAGTCCAGGCTGAGGGGGTCTCAGATGCAGATGAGGAACTTATTGGGAACTGGAGTAAAGGTCACTTTTGCTATGCTTTAACAAAGAGACTGGCAGCACTGTGCCCCCTGCTCTAGGGATGTGTTGAACTTCAAATTTGAGAGAGATGAGTTAGGGTATCTGGAGGAAGACATTTCTAAACAACAATGCATTCAAGATATGTCCTGGCTGCTTCTAAAAGCATATGCTCATATGCATGAACACAGAGATTATCTGAAACTAGAACTTATATTTAACAGCTGGGCATGGTGGCTCATGCCTGTAATCCCGGCACTTTGGGAGGCCAAGGTGGGAGGATCACTTGTGGTCAGAAGTTCGAGACAGGCCTGGCCAACATGGTGAAACTGTCTCTACTAAAAATACAAAAATTAGCCAGGCGTGGTGGTGCACACCTGTAATCTCAGCTACTCGGGAGGCTGAGGCAAGAGAATCACTTGAACCCAGGAGGCGGAGGTTGTAGTCAGCGGAGGTTGTAGTGGTTGCACCACTGCACTCCAGCCTGGGTGACAGAGCGAGACTCCATCTCAAAAATAATAACATAACATAACATAACATAACATAACATAACATAACATAACATAACATAAAATAAATAAAATAATAAAATAAAATAAAACAAAACAAAACAAAACAAAACAAAAACAAGCTGTACGCATTTACATTTACCTAGACACACACATCCATACTACTATATGTATCCATCCTTATAATAATAAGGGAATACATAAGTAGAGCCCAAAAATTCAATCCTGTAAAATAAAGTAAATCCTATAAAACAAGAGCAGTAAAAATTTTTTTCCCGGCAATCTTTATTCTTAAAAAAAAATGGAAAGGATAATAAGATACATATTGATATGGTTTGGCTTTGTGTCCCCACCCAAATCTCATCTTGAATTGTAATCCCCACGTGTTGAGGGAGGGACCTGGTGGGAGGTGACTGGATCATGAGGGTGGAATTTCCCCATGCTGTTCTCATTATAGTGAGTGAGTTCTCCTGATATCTGATGGTTTAAAAGTGTGGCACTTCCTTGCTCTCTCCCTCTCTCTCCTGCTGCCATGTAAGGTGTGCCTTGTTTCTCCTTTGCCTTCTGCCATGAATGTAAGTTTCCTGAGGCCTCTCCCCAGCCATGCACAACTGTGAATCAATTAAACCTTTTTTCTTTATAAATTATCTAGTCCCAAGTAGTTCTTTTATTTTATTTTAATTTTAAATTTTTTTTTTTTTTTTGAGACAGAGTCTCACTCTGTTGGCCAGACCGGAGTGCAGCAGTGCAATCTGAGCTCACTGCAACCTCCGCCTCCTGGGTTCAAAGGATTCTCATGGCTCAGCCTCCTGAGTAGCTGGAGCTACAGGCGTGCACCACCAAACCTGGTTAATTTTTGTATTTTTAGTAGAGACAGGGTTTTGCCATGTTGGCCAGGCTGGTCTTGAACTCCTGACCTCAAGCAATCCGCCTGCTTTAGCTTCCCAAACTGCTGAGATTACAGGCGTGAGCCACTGTGCCCAGCCTCCAGGTAGTTCTTTTTTTTTTAGTTTTTTTGAGAGGGAGTCTTGCTCTGTTGCCAAGGCTGGAGTGCAGCAGCATGATCTCGACTCACTGCAACCTCTGCCTCTCAGGTTCAAGCGATTCTCCTGCCTCAGCCTCCCGAGTAGCTGAGACTACAGGCGTGCGCCACCATGCCCAGCTAATTTATTTATTTATTTTTTTGAGATGGAGTCTCACTCTGTTGCCCAGGCTGGAGTGCAGTGGCACAATCTTGGCTCACCGCAACCTTTGCTTTCCGGATTCAAGCGATTCTCCTGCCTTAGCCTCCCGAGTAGCTGGGATTACAGGTGCCCGCCACCACACCTGGCTAATTTTTGTATTTTTTTGTAGAGATAGGTTTTCACCATGTTGGCCAGGCTGGTCTCAAACTACTGACCTCAGGTGATCCACCAAACCTCAGCCTCCCAAACTGCTGTGATTACAGGTGTGAGCTACCGCACCCGGCCTCCAGGTAGTTCTCTATAGCAGTGTGAAAATGGACTAATACACATATGTACACACTGACCACATACTAAGCTGAGAACCCTAGAAGGGAAAAGTGAAAGGCTACAGCTCACTGTAACTTCTACTCCAATTCCTCCATCAGGTGCAAGGTGGTCCACTAGAAGGGGCTCTGCCTGTGGAGTGGGTCGGAAATAAGCTTTTGCACACACTGACCATTTTGTGTGAATCTCTCCTGAGCTTCCCCACTCTTCCCTTCCTTAAGGACTGACTGTATTATTCCATTCTCATGCTGCTATGAAGAAATACCCGAGACTGAGTAATTTAGTAAAGAAAAGAGGTTTAATTGACTCATAGTTCTGCATGGCTGGGAAGGCCTCGGGAAACTTATAACCATGGCAGAAGGGGAAGGAGAAGAAAGGCACCTTCTTCACATGGCAGAAGGAGGGAGAAGTGCCGAAAAAAGGGGGAAGTCCCCTTATAAAACCATTAGCTCTTGTGAGAACTCACTCACTATCACAAGAACAGCATGGGGGTAACTGCCCCCATGATTCAATTACCTCCCACCGGGTCCCTCCCACAACATGTGGGATTATGGGAACTACAATTCAAGATGAGATTTGGATGGGGATACCGCCAAACCATATCCCTGACCCAATTTATACCCTCCACTAGGAGGTCTTCCTGATACCAGTACCCCAGCTCTGGTTAGTGCCCCCTGTTCAGTGTTCCTACAGCATCTGCTGAAACTTCCCGATACATGACTTATTTTACTGAGTTGTCACCTTCTGTTTAAGTGTCTTTCTTCTCTATTAGCTCTTAAGATCCTTCAAGGCAGAAACTACACCCATGTGTCTTTCTCTCCCCTGTGTCTAAGATACACTCAGCAGCCTCTTAATAAATGTCTGCTTAATGCCAAGAAATTTACAGTAGCTAAAGAAGTTAAGCTTTACTGACAAGCAGAACCAGCCTTAATATCTGGTTAGAGAAATAGGACTTGGAAAAGCACAGCCTCCTGGTCTAGACTAGTTCAGACTCACTAGTGCCACTGTAGGAAACTATCTGCATTAAGGCCCTTAAGGCCCCTCTGCCAAGCCAGGAAGTTTGCTTCTTTGCCACATTCTAACACCTTCATCTGCTACTGAACTTCCTCACACCCAAATCTCTGTTTCTGCTCCAGAGGACATTCACTTTACTAAACACAGTTGTGAAGCACAGAAGTTGTGTTATACGTCTAGGTCACTGGATGCCAAAAACCCTTAACAGCCCAGATTTCCAACTCTGTTTACTTTCCCAAAAATTTTACAGCATTCTAAACATACTGTTACAATCTCAAAATAGTTTTAAATGACAGTAGTAACCATAGACAACCTATTTCTATTTACTATCTTCAGCTCCTCTGAGGGAAACGGTATTATTGCTATGTAAATTAGCACTTCTGTAATGCTCCTTAATATTTACTGAATTTTCCAAGGCCTAGCTCAAAATACCATTCTTCATGAAGCCTTATCTTACTAGGCAAGAGATACGTTCAGTTCCTTTGCAGCCCAAATCAATACTTAACCTTTCTCCACACCTGTTTATGCCTTTGTCTGTTGTTCTCCACTCCACTTATTTCCATACCTTGCCAATGTGACTGTCCGGCTACTTTGAATCAGATGGTAAGTTTCCTGTTGGAAGGAGCCCCCTTTACAGTGCCTGTCTTCCGGTCTTTGTGCCAGGAATCTGTTTTCTTTCAGCTCTATTCCTTCCCTTGTCCTACACTGGATCTCAGAGGCTAAACCTTTGAAAACTACGGTTTCCCAGACTCCCCTTACCAGCCTGTTTTTTTGTTCTGCCAACAGAAGAGACTGGTGGAAGACTGAAATATAGGAGGAAGGAAAAAGACATGTTCTTGTCTATTTGTTTCCGGTGGTACTGAAGGTAGCAGCAGGTGAATATGGACTCCGGTGTTTCTGTTCAGATAGCACAGTTCCAGTGGTGGCAGCAGTAGTAAGTGTACCGACAGCTTCAGCAACAGAGTTCTTGTGCTTCTGCTGCTGATTTTGGTTGCCCTAGATCCAATCCCAGTAGTCCCCCCTTATCTGCAGGGGATATGTTCCAAGATGCCCAGTGGATGTCTGAAACTTCATGTAGTACCAAACTCAATATACACTATGTTTTTCACTACACAGTAACAGGCAGCTAGCATATACAGCATGGATACACTGGACAAACAGATGATTCACATCCCTGGTGGAGCAGAGTGGGATGGCACAAGATTTCATCATGCTACCAGGAATGGCATGCAGTTTAAAACTTATGAATTGTTTATATCTGGGATTTTCCATTTAATATTTTTGGACCACAGTTGACTACAGGTAAATGAAACCACGGAAAGCAAAACCACAGATAAGGGGGTCTACTGTACAGAACAAAAAGTTACCAGTCTTCCTGGATCCATGCTGGTAAGACACAAAAGTAACACTTTAACGGCCTAAAGCTGATAATAGAATCTTATTCCTATTCTTTGAAAGGGTTAAAGAAACCATAATTTTGAACCTAGAGCTCTATGCCCTAGTTATTATCTCTCAAGCAGAGAGGTAGAACCAGGGACAAGGATGAGAGGGACATATGAGAACTTCTATTTTCCAGGAGAACCAGGAGACCTTAGGAAGCACAACCAGACTTCTGTAATGCTGAATGCCACACTCTAATCTCAGTGTAAAGTGTTTACTGCTCCCCCAAGTCTTACTAAAAGCATATTCTCTATTCACCTAGAAGACTCATAAGAAGAGAAGAGCCATTTAAAAAAGAAAAAAGGGAATGCAAATGGCCCTTAAACATATGAAAAGATGCTCAATTTCTCTCCTAAGAGAAATGCAGTTAAAATTGCACTGAGATACCATTTCTCACCTATCGAACTGGCTAAAGTCCAGAAGTTTGACAACATGCTCTGCTGGCAAGGCTGTGGGGAAACAGTCTTTATCATACAATACCAGGGAGAATTTAAAAATGTTATAATCCCTGTGAAAGTGAATTTGGCAATATCCAGGAAAATTCTATGTGCATTTACTCTTTGATCATACAATCCCTTCTCTAGAAATCTATCCCAAAGATATATTGGCAAAAATAGGAAAAGACTTATACACAAGGCAATAGCACTATTTGTAGTAGTGGAAGATTGAAAACAACCCAAACGGTTCATCAATAGAAAACTGTTTATTTAACATCAGTTAAATAAACGATGGTATATCTATACTAATGAGGACCATGCAGCTATAAAAAGAAACAAATAATATCTTTCTCTATAGCTAGCTCCAAAATAAGTGTTGTACAGAAAAGCAAGGTGAAACCAAGTGTGGTGGTATGTGCCTACAGTCCTGTTTGCTACTCAAGAGGATGCCTAGAGCCCAGAAGTTCTAGAACAGCCTGGGCAATAGAGCAAGACCCTGTCTCAAGAAAAAGAAAAAGAAAATAAAAGAAAAAGAAGCACAGTAAGGTAAAAAATATATAATATGTATGGTATATAGTGTGCTACCAATTATTTAAAGACGTTGGGAGGATACAAAATATAAATTCAGAAATAAATATATTTTCCCACTTTTAAATGGAAGGATAACAACAACAACAAACTAAAGGAGGAAAAAAAGAGATTACTTACAGAGGTAGAGAGGGCAGGAATAGAAGCTTCATTTCTCTGAATATAGCTCTTTTGCAGGTTTGATTTTGGAACAATGTAAGTATTTCACATAGTTAGGAAACAAAAGTCTTTTAAAGGCAATCCCTAAATATTGAAAGCAAAATGGAACAGATGAACCTAATTGTATACTGAAATAGTGGCATAACTACACAGAGAATCGTTGCAAGTGACTTCAAAACATAGTCATTTTACTGTATATTTCTAGAGACAGAAGGACCTAAAAATCAGTAACAAAAATCTTAAAACTCATTTCGGTAATCATATGGTTCATAGCTGTTATGTATGTATTGGGGATAGAGCAAATGAATATTGTACTGTATCACTGATAACCAAGATTTTACCTATGAGGAAAAAGAGATGAAAGAAAGATCAAAAGCTTAAACAAAAATCTTGAATGTGAATTAGAAGTGTCAGCATATACTCATGATATATTTCATCTGCTAAATATATGTCATATAAATAATTAAGTGTATGTGCACGTATTTCCTAGTTCTGTCTACTGAAGGTCTAGAAATAGCAGCAAACACAGTAGCAAAGATCATCTACAGTATCTACACTGAGGTTTCCAAATGTCATTTTCCTCTATACGGTATCAAGCCTTCAGGAAGGAATGGCTGATTCTAGATCAAGGGCAGGAAATGTACAAAATAAACCTAGTACATCTTGTTATGCCAGAAAGCACGGAACTATCAAGGACTACTAAAGTCTTATCAAAAGGACTCAAAAACCAATTTGAAGAGACTAAAGATACAATGATTTGAATATCATTACTAATAACTGCAAGTGATTAAAAGATTTCAATCGTGTTTATTCCCACAAACTCAAAATGTATGTACTTACCTCCCCCTAACAAATCCCACAAACAAACCTTTGTCACCCTTGAAGGATGCTAGGGAACCACCTCTTTATTTTGAAAACTGGTGAAGAATGTAACATTTATCCTTCTTTTCCTGAGCGAATTGTATCTCAGGGTTACTAAATGAGTGTTGAGGAAAATTTTCTCTTTCTAGGGACTAAATGAAGAAGGAATGACGTATTTGGAAAATAACCATTTGCAATCCAAAATTACGAAATAATGAACCCAGGAAATAATCATCAATGGATGTGAACATCCAAAACAGAGAGACAACTAGAGGTTTTCTCTGCTTCTGGATAGATACACACAACACTACCTATGGAGCATTATTACCAAAAAATAATAGTTGAATCTGATTAAGGCTCTATCTAACTACCAAGTTACAAGAAATGCAACAGATAAACATGCTAAATGTTACCACGGAAATTCAATGGCCAAAATCCAGACTGGTAGACACTCTATACGAGAAAAGCCTAGTTTCTTAACAAATAAATAATTAGAGAAAAACAGACAAAGATAGACAGATAAATAGAAGAGAACATATAGATTTAAAGAGATTAAAGAATCACAACAGCTATTTGCCTAATATGGACCTTAACTGAGTTCTGATTTACTCAACCTATAAAAACACATTCTCACTCCAGACTTTGAAACAATTAGGGAAATTGGAACACTGACTGCATATTTAATGCTCTTAAGGAATTACTGTTCAGTTTTAGGGTAGTATGACGGTATTGTGTTTATGGCTACAATAAGGAGGCCTTACTTTTAGATGTGTATAATAAAGTATTTATAGGTGAAATGATAAAATGTCCGAGATTAATTTCAAAATAATCTGATAGGAACAAAGTAGATCACATACAGATAAAACTAGGTTAGCTGTGAATTGATAATTTTTTAAAGCTGGGTGATAGGTACTATTCTCTCTACTTGGATAACTAGTAGGGCATTAAAAAGTGAATTTAAACACAAGATTAAAAGGAAGATTTGGAAATCCTTACAAAAAGCAGAAAAACTTGGCAAATACTATGCAAGTATCACCAAAGTGGAGTGCTAAGGCAAAGTAAATACATTCTTTGGGAGGTTGAACATTTATGAAATAGCAGTCACATCTCTTCTAATTACTTCTTCCATGTCTCACTGGTAAGACAAGTTAGGGTTTCTTACAAATGCCTCCTAACACAGAGGAGACAGTCATCACAGGCTGACTCTCCCAGGAAAGAATACATTCTAGCAAGATCCAGAGGCAGCCACCAAATGAGAAGAGGCTGTAGTGGCAGCAGCAAAGGTGGAAGAAAGGCCCAGCTCTGGGCAATGTGGTTGAGCGAGGGCCTCTTCTCGTGGCTATATGAACCCGAGGACTACAAAGCCTCCCATGAGTCTGTGCAAGTGAAGCTGCATGAGGCATGACACACAGTCATAAAAATGGGAAAGAACCCCTTTGGTGGGAAAAGAAGACTAAAATCTCATATAGTGGGTGTGCTTAATTTTACTTATGTTATTTCCTGTCATCATTATATATTTTAAATAATAACATTAGAATCTGACTTTTTAAAATGATAAATATTATAAAAGTGATTTTTAAGGCCTAGAGAATAACTAAAGGAGCCTGCACTATGAAAAGAAGACCAGGAACTATGAAAGAAAAATGTTCTGAATCTAGAAACATAAAGGTAGGATTTGAGGGCCGGGCATGGTGGCTCACGACTGTAATCCCAGCAGTTTGGGAGGCTGGGGCAGGTGGATCACCTGAGGTCAGGAGTTCGAGACCAGCCTGACCAACATGGCGAAACCCTGTCTCAACTAAAAATACAAAAATTAGCCAGGCGTTGTGGCCGACACCTGTAGTCCCAGTTACTTTGGAGGCTGAGACAGGAGAATTGCTTGAACCCAGGAGGTGGAGGTTGCAGTGAGGCAAGATTGTGCCACTGCACTCCAGCCTGGACAACAGAGCGAGACTCTGTCTCAAAAAAAAAAAAAAAAAAAAAAGTAGGATTTGATACTCTAATTACTTATGATGACATTATCTTAGTTTTACTTTTTTTCCCCCAAGAAATCATGGAGTTCATATCAGTGATTCTCAGGAGGGGAGTGCATATTTCACAGGATATAAGAAAGTGTAAGAAGTAAGCATCTGCAATTTAAAAATAACTCCAGGTGATTTTGACATACCTGTACCCCCGTAGAGGACCTGTCAAGGACCAGTAGGGTGACTGGCCAAGGCCTGTGTGCTGCTAAAATGCACCTGAGATTATCAACATGGAAAGCTGGAGATTACTGTTTTAAACACCTCTGTAAGGTAAGCAGAGCTGCAACGTCAGACAGAGGATAACGAAATCCCCCTGAACTTCCTCACCACCCACACCACTGCCGAGGATGAGCAGCTCTGAGCTGTGAGGATGGTCCAAGGAGGGTCAGAGGGGGTTCCACTGCAGGCAATCTTCTGGCAAGCGCATGTACATATCTGCCTACCTGCACCACTGCTCCCACTTGGCTGAGGGACAATAAGAGGCAGATGATTACAGTGCTCTTTGCAGTCAAACTTGTGAGCACCATGGAAGAGTGCTTGAAGAGTGTTTAACCAGACACCAAAAACACTTCTTGTTTCTCTGTAATTTTCTTTCATCACCAACATATCTGAGACTGTTACAGCTTCTGATGATGCTGACTAGTTCAATTTGGACAAAACATGCATGCCAACAACAGCACCCCTCATTACAACTAATCCTGAGTCTCATGCCAGATAGGCTTATTTCTTTCATAATTACAGTGTCCACAAACCTGTTCTTCCTAAGAGGGGGCTGACTGATGTAGATGGTACCTTCCATGCAGCATGTTCAAAATGCAGTGCTCTGAGCTGAAATGAGTAGCCAAATGCTACACATCTTGTAAATAAGAAGGGTCTTGGTTTCTAAGATCCTTCTCACTGAGGGCTCTCCTAACTACACAGTCAGATATACAGTGAGGCCTACAGTCTATGGAAGAGCCTGGACAACAGGTGAAAAAGAATGCCCTCCCCACAACCCTCCATCACCACAATTCTGTACAGCCTATAGAATTAAAAAACAATATCAGGTAATGCTTCAAACTTGATAACTTTCAAATTACTTAAAAGTCACACAAATTATTAATATTTATATTTAATGTTAAAATTATGTTCATAACAAAATTAAAACCAAGGCAGCTATTTCAGTTGAGCTCTAAACACTCTCTATATTGGAAAATTTTCCACTCCTGCTACTTTATTAATATTATTCTCCCAAATCTCTATAAGTAAAGGATTAGGTTTTAGACACAGCAGGTGTTAGGAAAATTTAGGCTACGACCATTCAAAGAGTTAATAAACATTTGCAAGTTACACTCATCTTTCCCATTATAGTTATTCCCATGCTTTTAGGTCAGTATGGACATGTGTGCCAACATGAACAAAACTTGGGAAAGAGAGGAGACATGAGTCCCTTTGTAAAGGTACAGAATTCTGTTTTAGACCACAAGGCAGGGACATCTTATCCCCACACCGGAACATATGAAGTCCCTTCTCAAAGCAAACTGCAATAAAGGGACAGAATCAAGGAGCTAATTGATCTAAGCATGATCTTTGCAGCAGGTGAGTGAAAACCTATGGGCATGGGGGAAAAAAAAGCAGAATAAACAGTCTGGATGGGCAAAGCCACTCATGGTATCTAGAATGTCAAGACCTGGGATGGACTGTGCACAACGCCCAGACTACCCATTACTGAAAATAAAAACAAAACAAGACAGAAAACAACCAAGCAAACAATTACACTAAAATTTAAAATCCTCTTTCCAAATATCAGTCAGGCAGTATTTCCCACCAAATAACTTGACTTTTGCAATGACAATTCAAAAGTGACAATTCAGTCACTTTGGTCTTACTTAAATTATATGGAGGCACTTTTGTGAGTTGAACTTTCTTGAGGCTACTTCGGGCAAACATGAATTCATATATCCATGAAAAGAAGATACCTCCACAGCTAAGCATACCACTCATATCCAATCAAAGGCCAAAATACCTGCACAGCCATGGAAAGTCTGAACATCCAATCAATATCATACAGACTTCTCTTCAAACTCGCCTATCATTAAATCCCTTGGTGTGAGGGGCTTCACCTGACTATCACAAACATTCCCTACATAGCAAATCTGAATGAATTACTAAAATATTTTCAATTCTTTAGCACTAGTACAACATTTACATTCATTCTTTTAAGTTCATTGGAATTACTATATTGAATACTTCTAAAAAATGTAAGCCATTCCCTATGTCACCTAGCAATAAGGCATTTAAATCAACCAGAGTCCTTAGAACTGATTAAGATAAGTTAAGAGAGTAACAAAGTATTTGAAGATAAAATATCCAAATATACATACAAAAATCTAATGGTAATACTTACCTATCAGCCCCTTCTCAAGAGTGAAGGTTTTGTTTGTAAACATACATTCAAAAGCCACAATGTGAAAAATCTTGTTCACTGTGTTGTGAGTCCCAACAATTCGAATATACCTGACGGTAAAAAGAAAAGAAAATGTGTTGAAAATGAGCTCCCACCACAACCAATCCAAGGATAACAGAGTAAGACACGTCACCTAAACATAGAGTGCACCAGGATATAGACCAAAGGAGACTCTGAGCTTGACTTCAGACTCTATATCTGCTCCTTATGGGTAGCTCCAATTGAACCTAGAAGAATT
Organism: Homo sapiens; assembly: GCF_000001405.40. Classification (NCBI taxonomy): domain Eukaryota; kingdom Metazoa; phylum Chordata; class Mammalia; order Primates; family Hominidae; genus Homo; species Homo sapiens. The sequence goes on from NC_000006.12 coordinate 38,345,282, forward strand.
ATAGCAAAATAAGGGACATGTCATTTTGCAGGGAATTAAGTAGAACTTAGATTTGATTTACCCAGAAAACCAAACCAGGTACTGTTCAGTTCAACCCTTGAATGTCAGTCAGGTACATGACCGTAAGACATTTATACCGGAGAATAACAAATAGCTTCTGCTCTTGCCTTGTGGTTAGGAATGTGCTGGAGCACATGTGCACAAGCAAATGCTTTCCAGCTCAATGGAAGATTTAATCCACTGCAGATGAACACACGAAATCAATATTGCTTTCTTGTTTAAAAGAAAAAATCCAGAAACTACTGAAAACTACTCACAGTTTCTTTTATTTTACTACTGCTCCTAAATCTTTGTTAGGAAGTTAACCTTATATACTTACGCCAGCCCCCCACTTGACTGCTGGGAAGTCTCCTGACCACAGGAAGCGATCTGTAGAGATGGCCCAGCCTGCTCTGCAGCCTCCCTCCTGGCCACGTGAATCTGGCACCTGCACACAGTGCAGAGTTTCACTGGGCAGCCCTTGAGCATCTTGGCCTGTTCATCCTCTTTAACTCCCTGGAGACTTCATCTCCGACAAACAAGCATTAACCTTGGAGTAACTTGCTCTCTTCACTCTCCAAAGGGACCTGACAGTTCACAGGTTAATGAACAAACTCATTCTTCTGAGTGTCACACAATTCCATGAGGGATGTGCCACACACCGTCTTACTGGAATTCAAAGTAAGAACCAGGAAAAATAACTAGATTAACTGATAATGCCTCCCAGATTATGAACTATGCACTCTGAAGGATGGGGTATATTAAATGAACAGATTTCAATTAGGATATGACAGACTGGACAAGGTTTTAGTAATCTCCTCCCCTCTGCTGTGTAAAACAACCTTCAATTTAGACGATATAATTTTACTTCTGAGTTAATCGCTATTCACTAATTTGGTAATTTCCTTACATTTCTCATCAGTCCAAGTTAACTGTATAATGTAAATGCTGATTTAGAAAATTCACATTAAGGAAACTATATTTGGGGTTTTTATATCATGGGCTATTTTCCCTCCTGATTCTTCAAGCTTGACTCTCACGGCATTCCCTGTGCACCTCATTTAGCCATCTGCTCCTTGACATAAGCTGATCACTCACCTTTATAACCAATATTAATGCTATGTCCTGAACTGACTGTCCAGTGTGCTCACACCTACTGCAAGGAGACACCACTCTTCCCGTGTTGAGAATCAGGGCAACTGCTACATGTACCAGAGCCCACTGGTTAAGCAGGAATTTGGCCCTAATCTGTTCCTTCAAGCCCTCAAGGCAGACAGAAGGTATTGATTTTACTGGGTTTGGGTGGGTGGGTAGGTTCATTCAACATAAGTTCTTACCGGTCTGGGTAGTAAAGATTATATTGTCCTTCACTTTGGCAGTGACAATCTCCCTGGTGCTTTCTGGAAGGGAAGGGGTGTATTAATTCTGGCACCTTGGCCTGAATCTAATTTTGTCCATTTCCTTAAACCCACAGGAACTCAACCAGCATAGCATTTTTCAACTACATATGGCTGTGTCAGCCTGAGTGCTGCTGTCTGCAACCTTGGAGGGAATAGAGGGAATGTGGTTTAGTGGAATTTGATCAGATCATTTCGCTATTCTCTAGCTCAAGTCTCTACCAAAGGAGAGACAGCTCTCCTACTGTGCACAGAAGAGCCAGGAAGTGACTAACAGGGCCTTTTCCCAATGGCGGTTCTTAAGGTTAATATATTCCAGGCTGACCTAAGGGATGCAATAACCTTCCTTCCCTCCTGTTCTTTCTTTTTAAAACACTATATGGAATCAGATTTTCCAAGTTTAGATAACTAATTTCCCAAATTTTACCCAGTGCAAACATTAGGAATGCGAGAAAATGTGCAACCCTCCCCTCCTTTGCCCCGCAGTTATAAGCAACTGAGAATAAAAAGTTATACTGGAATACATTTTATACCCTTATGATAGTATTTGTGATCACAAACAAAATAATATATATGGTGGGAAAAGCATTGAGAGATGCCTCCAGATAAAAAGTTCTGTGTAAATGAAGATAATGTTATCTCTGCTGCATAATCCTGAAGTCAAATTAGCAATTCACCATTATATCTCACACCTTTTGATCAGCCTGTTATATGTAATGCTCATAACAAGTTTAATTATTCTAGTTCTACAATGCTAAGTTTCTAGAAAAAAATTGTAGCATAATTTGCAAAAATGGCATAAAGTCCCTACTCAAATACACATTTTAAAAAATGTGACATCAAAAGAAAGAAGCCAAGCTCCTTTTTCTCAAGCAAAAAGTTATAAATATCCTGGACCTTCCCCATATAAAGATCTAGCCTAGAAATGGCAAAAGGCTTCAATTAATGGCCCAACATCAATGACTGGTAGGAGCAGCCTGAAGCTCTACATTAAGAATTCAGGGCCAGGCGTGGTAGCCCTGTAATCCCACCACATTGGGAGGCCTGGGTGGGTGGATCACTTGAGGTCAGGAGTTCAAGACCATCCTGGCTAACACGGTGAAACCCCATCTCTACTAAAAATACAAAAATTAGCCAGGCTTGGTGGCACGTGCCTGTAATCCCAGCTACTTGGGTGGCTGAGGCAGGAGAATCGCTTGAAACTGGGAGGCAGAGGTTGCAGTGAGCTGAGATCGCGCCACTGTGCTCCAGCCTGGGTGACAGAGTGAGATTCTGTCTCAAAACAAACCACAACAACAAAAAAGGCGCTGTCCAGCACAGGAGTAGTGCCCTGCTCCATGAGCAATGACTGAAAGTGGGAGGAGGGAGCACAGGTACCATCCTTGACAACGAGCATATTTCCTTAACGGGGCTCACGGTGGAGCATCCCAAGATAAAAGAAGTTATTACTACCCAAGTTATTGAAAAATCCAAGGGATAGGAATGGGAGAGTCCTCTCTCTTTCTGCTTTTTCTGAAAAACAAAACAAAACTTGGTTCTCGGTCATAACACCAAAACGGGAGAAGTAGGTATCACATTTTCTCTGTCACAAGAAATCCTGAATATAGGTAAAGTTTAAGATTTATTTCTTTGCCTTTTCAGCACAAGTCAGACTCTGATTTAACCAGATAATAAGGGCAGTGGCAGCTAGTGACTTCATCAGTGTGTAGAGAGGAGAACTGCTGAAAAATAGAACAGATATCCTTTGTTCTTGCTGAGGTCCTCAACAGCAGCTCAGACAGTTGGAAGATAATTAAAACTTAAACAGTGCAGAGAAAGGCAGATATGCAACAGATTGGCCATTTCTGATGAGGATGAACGCTGTCCACGTGAGCCATAGTGTAACAGTCTGTTTCCAATATTCCCCTCCCTTCCCTATGTTAGCTGTCTTCAAGTAGCTGACAAAGACTGGATACTGAACATAGTTCAGTACACAATGTTTCAATACAGAAATTTTCTAGGAGCTATAAGATTACGGGTGAATGGGATTCTGTCTTCTTTAATAAAATAAAACTGAAACCCTCCAAGGACAGCACTCTAAAACTGAAAGGCACTACAGAGTTTTGACACAATGTGGCTTTTAGCATCCAACAGAATCAGGTTTGTTGCCCAGCTCCATCAATTAAGTGTGTCACTTAAGGGAAAAAAATAAAATATGCATATATTTTTTGAGACAGGGTCTCATTCTGTTGCCCAGACTGAAGTGCAGTGGCATGATCATGCCTCACTGCAGCCTCAACTTCTGGGCTTAAGTGATTCTCCCACCTCAGCCTCCCAAGTAGCTGGGACTACAGGCATGCACCACCATGCCTAGCAAATTTTTTTGTAGAGATGTTGCCCACATTGGTCTCAAACTTCTGGGCTGAAACGATTCACCTGCCTCAGCCTTCCAAAGTGCTGTGATTACAGGTGTGAGCCACCGCACCTGACCCCCAAATTTTTTTTTAAAACTTAGTTTCCTCCTCTATAAAATGAGGTCAATAACACGAACTTTACAGGGTACTTAAATGAGACAAGTATTGAAAATATCGAATGCAGTGCTTGGCAGAGTAGGATACCATTAAACAGAAATTCAAAGAGTAGATTATAGGATGCAGAATTTCTTGGTTAGGACTTTGAGAATGCTGGTTGTCTTGGAGAGTACAGTAGTTAGTCCCCCCTTATCTGTGGTTTTGCTTTCTATAGTTTCAGTTATCTGCAGTACAGTATAATATTTGGAGACAGTGAGAGGGAGAGAGACTGCATTCCCATAACTTTTCACAGTATATTGTTATAATTGTTCTATTTTATTATTAGTTATTGTTGTTAATCTCTCACTGTGCTTAATTTATAAATTAAACTTTACCATAGGTATGCATGCATAGGAAAACATACAGTATATATAAGGTTCAGTACCATGCATAGTTTCAGGCATCCACTGAAGGTCTTAAAATTTATCCCCTGAGGATAAGGAGGGGATTACTGTATTACTGACTTTAGATGTTAAAATGGTGCATCTATGAGAGGCAGGCCAAGGAGAAGACTTCAGGAACACAGGGAGGGGCTTGTCCTTCCACTTAGGACACCACAGTATGGGGTCTATGGGCCATAGAAAGCAAGCGACATTCAGAATGTAGATTTCCTAGCTCTGTGGCACTTCTCGCTTTAATCCTCAAGCCTTTAAAAAATGTTCTTGACCTGTCTTAGCTAAGCATGAGGAAGCAAGGGAACAATCTTTTGCCCATATTTGGGTTTAAAGTTTAAAGTATCTTCTCCCTTCCTCCAACCCAGGATCCCTTCTTGGCAGAGAATGTGAAATCCAGGGAGACTGCTCAGGGCCATGTGGTCCAGCTAACCATACCCAGTGACGTGGTTCTTTTTTTGTAAGCCCTGGAAGTTAGGAATTTGAATTTGTTAAGAAAAATGAATTTCTTTACAGAGAGACAGCATAGTACTATGACCTAAAGAAATTTTGCTTTGGAGATTTCACAGCATTCTCTGCCTGTTCTGGGAAGGTACGAGTTCCTTTTCTTAATCTAGCTTTCCGTCATTGCTTATGAGGATGCTACTAGATTTAATTTCTAAGGCACATACAGTACACCTTTAACATACTAAAGACAATATAGAAAAACAGCAACTTCTGCATTCCAACTTTAAACCCGTGGTATTCCGCAGTCTTCAGTTCTAGTGGAGCACAAGCCTACCTGTGGTTACAGTTAATCCTTAACCTTTGCCTTAGTTATGTGATCACCTAACTTCTGTACTGAGCACATTTTATTACAACATAAAATTGAATTTGGTAAGAAATATTTAAATGAGCTCTCAAGGGATTAACTAAAGCTAAAATCCATCTGAATTCCACTCTTTGGTAAACAAATATTTATTCTCAAATTGAACTTTATATTCTTAGGTTAAACAAAGAATCTTGAAAACTAGAGTTAGCCTGAGATTGGTACAAAAGAAGGGAACCTTAACATTTTGGCTCTTCCTTCAGTAACCATAGAGGACTCTGCGGAGAACATTGTTGTTTGTTGTGGCCAGAGGCAGGCACCTAACAAGAACTTAAGCTACAGCATTCACTAGAGATTTGAGATCACCCAAGGTTTAGATGCACCATTTCCAAGATTCCTATTTGACCTTTTCCTTTAAGGAGATACTAAGATTATACACAAATAATTCTCTAACCCAAGAAGCACGTAATGCCTGTGGTTTTCCCCAGTGTAAAATTTTCTTCTAGTTCTGTGTATAATGTTAGTGCTCTTATAATCAAGCCACTGACTGGAGGGGGTGTGACTTCAGGTCTTGTTGCTAAGGCAGCAAGTGGAAAACAAGTTTACTGCCAGAATGACAAAAAGCTTCTAGAAAAGCATGTTGCAAAGAAAGATTTGTTACTCTTAGAAAACCTTCCCTCTGGCTGGTCTGTGGAGCTATAGATTCTCTTGTACTGACTTCAGCAAAGGGGCCAAGCAGCATTTGCTTGTTTGGGAGAGGAAGGATTATTGAAAGGTTAAACACTACACACAGGGCTAAGCAGAGGCTACTGTCTCAGAGAGCAGCCTGATGCTATCTGACCATTTGCCCTGCAAAGGGAGCTATCATGTCCTGGCACCTCCACTATTCAACCTGAAGAGCAAACAAAACAGAAAGTCTTGTTTTTGAGAGAAAACTCATACTATATAGAATCAATTATATGGAAGGGATGAGATAGGTAGAAATAATTACTAATACACAAAGCCATTCCAATACTAAAGACAAATATTTAATTGTTGTTGTTTTTTTTTTTTTTTTTTTTGAGATGGAGTCTCACTTTATAGCCAGTGCAGTGGCGTGATCTCAGCTCACTGCAAGCTCCGCCTCCTGGGTTCACGCCATTTTCCTGCCTCAGCCTCCCGAGTAGCTGGGACTACAGGCACCCGCTACCACGCCGGCTACTTTTTTGATTTTTAGTAGAGATGGAGTTTCACCATGTTAGCCAGTATGGTCTCGATCTCCTGACTTCGTGATCTGCCCGCCTCGGCCTCCCAAAGTGCTGGGATTACAGGCATGAGCCACCGCCCCAGCCGTAATTGTTTTTTATTTGGGGGAAAAGTGAATTTTGAACAGTAGGCTTTTGCTGTTCACCAAATATGCACAATCTAAAACCTGCCATGATGTGCCTGATGTGCCTTCAGTGTATGAAATTATATTTTGAATTAATATCACAAAAATTATAATATTTACATAAATCATATAAAAATGACATAAGATCTAAAATGTATTTAATTCATGTACTTTTTTGCCTGCAAATATACCATACGATAGCCTTTAAGGTATACTGGGTAAATCTGCTAGTATCAAGATTTAATAAAAATCTACTAGGGGTCAGGCACTGTAGCTCATGTCTGTCATCCTAGCACTTCAGGAGGCCAAGGTGGGAGGATCACTTGAGCCTAGGAGTTCGAGACCAGCCTGGGCAACAGAGGGGAACCCTGTTTCTACTAAAAATTTAGAAACTAGCCAGGCATGGTGGTGCACGCCTGTAGTTCCAGCTACTTGGGAGACTGAGGTGGGAGGATCAATTAAGCCCAGGAAGTTGAGGCTGTAGTGAGCCATGATCATACTACTGCACTCCAGCCTGGGTGACAAAGTGAAACTCTGTCTGAAAAAAAAAAAAGAAAAAAGTCTACTAAATAATGCTAAGCCCCATGAGGAATCGGCCAGAAGCCTTGATCAGACATAAGCCTTGATCTGGACAAGTTTATAATACAGTTTGGAAAGCAAGATGAAAACATATCAAACTATATGAATTGACAGAACTGAATCAAAAGAAAGGCCTAGGTTCTAGTCAGAGCTTCATAATGCATTAGATAATACAAATGGGGTAAGCTCCTTAATTTTTCTCAATCCCAGGCTCCACATGTGTAGTAGTGGTAGAGAGAAGGCCATAAGAGCTTATTACCTATTCACATATGGTAGCTTAATCTTGAAACACTGAATTTAGCAACATGAATATTAAAAGTCCTCCCAGGAACTACTCTTGCTTCAAAGACCAAAATAAAACAAACATAGCTAAAGGAGAATTAATTCTCTTCCTACCCGCTCTTCCCAACTCATGATCACTGATTCATCCAACAAATATTAACTGAGCACTTACTATGTGGTAGCTATTGCTACTGGGTGCTGGGATATGGGACTGAATAATACAGATAAAATCCCTCCCTCACAGATTTTCTATTTAAAGTTGAAATAAACAACAAATTAAAAAATCAAATAATTATCCAATGATTGATAGGTGATCTATTTAGCACTGAACTTTATAGACAAAGTTGCTAAATTAGAAGGATAAACAGACATAAAACTTCTACCTTCTGGAATAAAAGAAGAGTCAAACGGGAAAGTACAACTAGCTCTGTCTAAGAACACGGCTATAATGTAAATGAGTCTAAGGTGTAAACATAGTACACCTATTATAGCTATTTAGCAGGATACAGGCAAAAATCTAATTAAATAGGCTTCTTAGCATCTGGAAAGAGGAACTGATTTGAATTTCAAGCAATGTCTTGCTTATTTCATGGTTTAGTTTTCTTTTTGTTCTTTCCATTTTTTTCAGATTGTAATTTTCAAGGGATTATAGAGAGAGAAAATGAGATGTGGAGTATATAAAATGAAAAATGAATAAGGGAGAGGGGAAGAAGAGAGACGGGGGAGAAAAAAGGGAGGGGGATAGAGAAAGAGAGGAGCAAGGGAGAAAGAGAAAAACGAATATGAACAAACCAACCCCTTCTCCGTCTCTGTTATGTGCTAATGTGAACAAATTCCCATATGGGAATAATTTTAACCAATGTCATTACTCAATAAAACATCTGAAACCAAGAAGTATACTTTAAGAAATAGAACTAATTTACCAAAAGTTCAACATTTGCATTTTTTCACTACTTTTCCCCTAGCCCAAGATGCTGGGGGTGGGGAAGAGAATTTCACTAGTTTTATCTTCAAAATGTCTGCATTATCTTTTCCAGTTTATCCAATAAGCTATGCGTTTCCACGAATGTAGACAAATGAGTCTAATGGAATTGTGAACTAGAGAAAAAGCAGAACAAATTTAAATTTGTTAGTTTCCCTATGAATCTATAAGAACTCATTTGGCGACTATGACCTGTAACATGCCTGCTACTTAGTGTCAGGGCAAGGGAAGTTTCTCCTCTTTTTAACCTAAGACTAGGGTGGGCATATGCCGTTAATTGTAACTTAAAAGTTTAAGGTTTGGAAGAATCTGTTTTTCTCCTTTTTTTTTCTTTTAGAGTAGAGAGTTAAATAGAGGAGGAAGAGAGGCAAAAGAAGGAAAAAGAATTAGTCTCTCCCCAAAGAAAAATCTAAGAATACTTCTAAGAATGTAAACATTATATACCCTGAGAAATCAGAACAGGAATTGCCCAAGATGGCTTAAAAAACAGAAGTGAAAACTAAGCATCAAAACCAAGAGAGTGATAAAGAGAGCACAGGGAGTGAGGAAATCACAAATCCTTACTCTAGACTCCTGAGAAACTAGCACTGGAATTAAAATAAAAGCTAATCACTTCTGCATATTGTACAAACAGCATCTGCAGGCATTATTTCTTTTCATGGAAAACCCATACTCCGTACACTCATACAACCAGTTGTGTTGTATGTTCATATATATAATATATCTAATGAATATATCTAATGTATACAGTATTGTTATATATGATAATACTATAGGTTCAGCTTCAGGCTAGAGATTTCAAAGCTCGACAGAACATATGGTCCTTGAAGCCTCTGTATTCTCTACAAGCTATGTAAAGAAACCTCTGTTCCAGGCAATTGCTTCTTAGAGAACTACTTGAAATGTATTGATAGAAAACAAGCCCAATGCATTGAAGTCCCACCTATGCCACATACTATCCCTAGACTGCTTCAATTTTCACAGAAAATTTCAAGGACCCTCCTTTTCCCCTTGTGAAATTCTGAACCTCTACTTAGTGAAAGGATCGTTAAAGAAAAAAAATCCAAAGATTTACTTAGCATGCAATTTGAGCATCAATAAACTTATGCATAAAGCTACCAAAAAGAATCAGAATAGTCAAAGTAAATAAAAATAATACTGCAGAAAACTTGAGGAAAATGCTCACCACAGCACAGAAATGCAAACAATAACAGGAGAGAAAGAGAGAGACAGAGAGAAAGAGAGAGAGAGAGAGAGAGGAGACACACACAAGTATTTTTGTGTTAAGTGCCAAAACTAGTATAGATATGTATAATACACTATCCCAGGGACTGTCAAAGCTGGAAGTGCATGACCAATTTCACTGTGGAAGCCTATACTCCAGTTTCCAAATAGCATGAAGGATTACTAATTTCAGCACTACTGGTATAAGAGATTTTGCTGCTGAAATCTGTCAATGTGTTAGAACTTTAATGCAAGCAAAACAGAAACCAAAATAGCAAGACGCTCCAAGTGGCACTATTTGGTGGTCTACAGAGACTGCTTATAGTAGGGGCTGAGCAGACATGGGATTCAAACCTAACAGTCTACCCAATCATTTAAAAAGACATTTCCCCAGATGTACACTTTATGTGTTAGGAGTCCTATGCACTGTTGAAGTTCAATTTTGAAGCCTGTCTCCAATCCATATTTCTGGTGGATTAGCAAGCAGGTTGGGAGGGGGAGTAGTTTGGCAAGGCTGTTTTTTTCCCCTCCCCAAAGCTTCTTGAGAGTTTTACCATTCATGACCTAGACTCTGCTGGTACAGCATTAGTGCTAAGCCAGTGATCAGAAAGAAAATGTCAGTCCTCACACTTGTTTCAGAAATTCAGAAAAAGAAAAACTTAACGAGTGGAATGAACAGAAAGTAAACTGTGTACTTTGTAAGAAAGGACGTTTTTTAATATGCAAGAAGATTCTATCATATTACTAATAGTCGTTGCTACTGCTGTGCTGCTTGGCCTCTTCATTAAAACAAAACAAAGCTGGTTTCACTATGAAGCAAGCTATCATCCTGGGATCAACCTTCACCATCACTGTAGGGATTCTTTCATCTCTCTCCTGTGTTAAACAGCCTGCACACTGTATCTCACACTTTCTTCTTTCTTGGTCTCTTCTCTCATTTTGGTGGAGTACATTTACAAACAGTTTCCTGAGATATGGTTTCAAGGAGATAAAATTTTTAAGACGTGGTCTGAACATTATCCTTAGTCCACCTTCGTATATGATTGGTTGTTTGGCTGGGTACAGAATCTCAAGTTGGAAATAGATTTCCTTCAGTACTCTAAATGTATTGTTTTACTGCCTGTGAACCTTCTAGTTTTGCTTTTGAGAAGCCACTATGATACCAGATCAGGTTATTTTCTTCCTTTTGTCTTTTTTTTTAAAAAACCATGTCCTGCTCTTGGAGCATGTAGATTTTCTCTACATCCCTTATATTCTGAAATTTCATGACAATGATGACGTGACTTGCTGTGGGTCTATTTTCTTCCAGTGGGCTGAGCACTCAGAAGGCTCTTGCAATTTTGAAACCCATGTTTTCAATTTTAGCAAATTTTCTTGAATTACTGTTATTAATTTATTCCCCTGGATTTTTTCTAATTTTTCTTTATGAAACTCTTAGTTTTCAGTATTGGACTTCCTCATCTTGACCTGCATTTTTATATTTTCTCTATTTGCCATATTTTTGTCATCTTGTTCTACTTTCTGGGAGAGTTCCTCAACTTTATCAGCTATGATGCCTCCTGAGTTTTCCATTTTTCCTTTAACATTTTAAATTTCCAAGTGTACTTCTTATTCTCTAAATGCTCCTTTCTTTTTGGTCTAGGGTTGCCATATGTACCTCAATCTCTTTAAAGATAGCAACATTTTTTTTAAAGTTTCCATATCCTTATACAGGTTCCCTCTATTTGGTGTTTTTGTTTCAGATTAGTTTCCTCACATGTCTGGTTGTCAGGAGGGAAACTAGAAATGCAATAAAGATTCTAAGAATATAGTGAGGCTCATAGACTTTTAGCTTCATGTTAGGATTACCTAAATGGGTTCACTGTTAGGAAAACCCTACTTTTAGATTCTTTAGCTCTTCCCTCTCAAGATGATCAGATTATCCTAGGAAGATGTTTCTAACCCTTGCATGGAAGACATGGGCCTGACTACCAGAGTTCTAGAAGCTAAGTGGTGAAACAGGATAGAAGAATGTGTTTGTGGATGGGGGTGCTGGGGAGGGTGGTTATGTGTGTTGGAGGTGTTACTGAGTTACTGAGAGGTAGGGTCTCAACAAATGACCACTGAATCCTCCTATGGTATGACCTTTCTCAATTGTGCACGTTGTCTCTCCTGTTTTAGAGACACTCTGTTTTATCCACCTCAGAGAATAAATTTCCAATTTTCCATCAGGATGAGGGAGAAACGGTCAGAGTTCTAGAAATAGGGGAGAGGATCTAGAGCTCTTGATTGTTTCATAAACATGTAGTTAACCAATCTTCCTCACAGTAGCCCTTCCCTACCCACTTCATTCATCACAGTTTCAGAGGTACCTGGTGCCTTTAATTCCTAAGCCTTTGAGAATTCAGTAGCTTAGGATTCAGTGTTTTGGGGGCCTGTTAAGTCATTTACCACTTGTTCATCTGCTTTACATCTTTCTCTTCCACATCTTTGCCTCCTCTTCCCATTTTCTTTATCCTTGTGGGTTTACACCTAAAAGAAAATCTCTTTACTGTTATTTTAGTGGAGTTTTGTTCAGAAGGGAGTGAGAATTGATGTGTTCTGAAGGGAGTAAGAATCTGCCATCATAACCTGAAACCTTAACTATTTTTCACAAGAACAAAATGGATTATTCAGGCTCTCTGCTCCACTCTCCCCATCCCTTTGGTTATTCCTGTAAAAATAAAAATTTGAGCAGAGGTCTTTGCTGGACTTACTGAGTCTGAGATCTTGGCCTTTCCAGGCTGCTATCACTTGGGTACAACCACTGAGACTGTCTGGTACTAGGACAACAATACAGGAGACGATAACCATTTCTCTTCATTTCCTTTCCCATCTTCAGCCTGAGGGCTACAACTCTTTATTCCTTCTTGTCTTAAAATAAAATTTCACCTTGTTGCTGCTCCTCCATCCCCCTCCTTATCCCATTCCTTCTACCAGGTCTTCAAATGGCTATCTTAGATTACTTAGCTATTTTATCTTCTGAACTTGTTTTTTCACTAATTAAATTCCAAACAAGGATATGTCCAGACATTCCCATAAATTATCACCATTCTGCAGAAAGATTCAAATCATTGAGTAATTTTGTTAGCCGGTCTCTCTCTTTCTCTCTCTCTCTCTAAAAGAAAGAGGGGGTGTGTTAATTCCTACTGAGTAAAAATAAAATAACTCAGCTCATCCTCACACTGAAACAGCTGCACAGACAGCACTGGCTGCTCTGTTTATCTTGATAACTGTGGAAAAACACCATCTCCTCCCCTTCCCGCTCTCTCCAGAACAATCACTATATTCCACATGCAGATGGGGTGATTTAGATCCTCTCAAGCAGAGACAGGCTTGTCTGGTGTTCTTCCTGCACATCCACACTGCACCCTTCCTTTGCTTCTGTTGGCACAACCCAGTTGCTTCAGATAACAGCTGCTTCAGGAAGACCTGATAGATTCAGCTGTGGATCCCCTGTAGGCTTCCTGATGCCCCAGCTTAGCCAGCTGCATCTAAGCAGAGCTACGGGAATAGAGTGCCAAAGTAGGAGAAAGTACATACTGTACATCCTCTTTAATCCATGGAGTTACTGCCGCAGCAGCAAAACGGGAGGGGAAGGAAAAACAAATAAATACCTCATAGGTATGGGGAGCAGGGTGGCCAAGGATTCTAACTCAGAGGAGTAGTGAGCAAAATGCAGGTGAGTAGGAAGAGAGCTTTCAACAAGGGTCCATTCCATTTTACTGCTTACTCCAGGGAGGCCAAAGAAATCCTCTGTTTTTTGTTTGTTTGTTTGCTTTCCTGAGTCATTCAATGACTCAGACAGGATTTAAAGACAATAATAAATGATTTCAATGGATTGTGACCTTTTTTTTTTTTTGAGACGGAGTCTCGCTCTGTCGCCCAGGCCGGACTGCGGACTGCAGTGGCGCAATCTCGGCTCACTGCAAGCTCCGCTTCCCGGGTTCACGCCATTCTCCTGCCTCAGCCTCCCGAGTAGCTGGGACTACAGGCGCCCGCCACCGCGCCCGGCTAATTTTTTGTATTTTTAGTAGAGACGGGGTTTCACCTTGTTAGCCAGGATGGTCTCGATCTCCTGACCTCATGATCCACCCGCCTCGGCCTCCCAAAGTGCTGGGATTACAGGCGTGAGCCACCGCGCCCGGCCGGATTGTGACCTTTTTGTTAAGCTAAGGAAAGTTAAGTTAAACATGCAGGATGGCCAACTATCCAGGTTTGCCTGGAACTGTCCTGGTTTTAGCACTAAACATCTCCTATCCTAGGAAACCACTCAGTCTCAGGCAAACCAGGATAGTTGCTCCTCCTACGCCACCAACAGCCATTTCCCATTCCAGGGTCTATGTGAAACTGGGCAACATTCAAATTCTACACAGCACCTTCCTTTTCTTCCAGGGCCGCTCCTGCCACACAAACTCTCCTCAACCCTAACACTCTTCAGTCTAACAGACGAGAGCATGAAAAGGCCATTCTGTGCTTGACTCTCAGCAGAAAGGCAACTGTGTCATTCTGAGTTCTCCCAGCTTGTCTTCTGGAGTCCCTGTCAGAAGCACAAGCCATCTAGCCCAATAGAACTGAATCAAAATGATGATGGCAGAAATGTCTTACTGCCTAGAGAAACAGTGCATCCCTCAATAACTTTAAAATGCTGAACTCTGAAAAGGAAGCCAAAGAAAACTCAGTTACACAGGGGCTGATAATTCAGTATGTGCATTACTCAGGCTCTCCCTTCCCTCTGGCCCGTCATTAGGCCATTTCACTGCTCATTAGCAGGGAAAAGGAGGAAGGAAAGGTGGGGGAAAGTTGAACCAGCCAATTTTTCTATTTATGAGCAGGTTTCCTAGGAAAGGTGTTCAAACTATCGGCTCAAGAGGTTCTTTGGTGGGGATAGAAGGTTAAGCTTTGGGGGTTGTGGCACGACTTGTTGATTTTCATCACTTGATCTCTCCTAATTCTCAAACAGAATGAACTGTTGGACCTCTGTTTTCATTGAAAGGCTAGCAAAATTACAAATGTTAGACAAAAAAAAAAAAAGTACTAGTTAAACTATACAAGATCCTATCTTTTTAAAAAGTCATTTGACAAACACTAGAAAGAACTGGTAATGCTAACAATTTACAAGACAAATATAATTGGATAATTATATACTGTGCTTTAACGTTTTTACAGCTTAAATTAAAGAAGTCCCCCAATCCAGATTAAGTGTGAAATACTAATTTGGGAAAGATACCAGAAAGAGCAATTTGGTTTTGGTTTATTCACTTAACTTCTCAATTTCCTCATCTGTAAAGGGGAAAATAACAGTACCTAACTTTGTGGGATTAAATAATACATGTGTTAAGTGGTAAGCACTTTACCAAGAACATACTAAGTGCTCAATAAATGGTACCTAGCATATAGTAGGTACTCAAAAATGTTAAATAAATAGATCATAATTTATTTAGCATTTTTATTGCACAACTACTATATGCTGAGCACTTTTAGGCACTAGATATGAAAAAATATATGAACAAGTCAATCTCTAAAAAAGGTCCCCTCTTTTAATGCAGACAGGAAATTACAATACATATTAGTACATTCTGTTATATAAATTCCACACAAATAGCATGATAGCACATAGGAATGGTACATAATCCAGACACAGACAACCAGGAAAGGCTTCCCAGATGTGACTGCTAAGTATTGAAAGATGAGTGGGGGTTGTGGGGGATGCCAGGAAAAAATGTATGGGGAAGGAAAATGCAGGCAGAAGAGTAACATGTGCAAAATCTAGGAATATGACCCTAGGACCCTAGGAAGACAGGGGAGCGCAGTAGGACTGGAGTCTACACTCAACTGGGATGGAGAAGTAAAGGCGGAACACAGGGTGTGGCTGTGAGGAGAACAACAGGATGGAACAACAAGATAACGGCTAGAGGGAGACTGTAGAGTCAAAAGAGGGATTTGTTTTGTTTATTAGTAGGTAAAATTGATTTTAGCAAGTTTAAATGCTGCAAAGGGAAAGAGCCAAGAGCAAAGAGATGAAGGTTGCTGCTTCCAATCAGTGTAAGGGAGGACCAGGATCTGACCTAATGGCATCCCTTTCCAGTTTTAATGAGGGTCTCCTTGGGTGCCTCTGTGAATCTGTTCAAGCATTGAGGGGTCTGGATCAGTGTTTCTTGACCCTGGTTGTGTATCAGAATCACCTGGGGGACTTCGGAAATATATGGATGCTACCCTTAGAGACTGTCATTTAACTGAAATGGGGCAGAGAGTCTAATATGTAGCTAGGGGGTGGGGACTATATTAGTCTGAATCATAATAAATACCCATAGTCAGACATAAATAAAAACACGTATTTCAGTTGAGAGCAGTGGCTCATGACTGTAATCCCAGCACTTTGGGAGGCTGAAGCGGGAGGACTGCTTGAGGCTGGGAGTTTAAGACCAGCCTGGGTAACATAGCAAGACCCTGTCTTTACAAAAACAGGAATTTCAAAATTAGCTAGGAGTGGTGGCACATGGCTATAGTCCTAGCTACTGGAGGGATGGGAGGATCACTTGAGCCCAAGAGTTGGAGGCTGCAGAGAGCTGTGATCATGCCACGGCGCTCCAGCCTGGGTAACAGAACGAGACCCTGTCTCTTAAAAAACAAACAACAGCTGGGCATAGTGGCTCATGCCTGTAATCCCAGCACTTTGGGAGGCTGAGGCAGGTAGATCACCTGAGGTCAGGAGTTCGAGACCAGCCTGGCCAACATGGAGACACCCCGTTTCTACTAAAAATACAAAATTAGGCAGGCGTGGTGGTGCAGGCCTGTAATCCCAGCTACCCAAGAGGCTGAGGCAAGAGAATTGCTTGAACCCAGGAGGCAGAATTTGCAGTGAGCCAAGATTGTGCCATTGCACTCCAGCCTGGGCAACAAGAGTGAAACTCTGTCTCAAAGAAAAACAAAAAACAACACCACAGGAAAAAAAAAAAACAAAAACAACTCCACAAGTATTTCAAAAGCAAAGATTAATTACTTTGAGGTTAAAGGTCCTTTGGATTAACAGACTGCTGGTCTACTTTTTCAATGTAGAGGACCCAACACACCTCCACTTGCTTTTCTGGCTCTATTACTAGCTACTTCTATCATATGCTCTATGTTTGAAACATGGGTAATTCCCCAAAAGTACTTCAGGTGTCTTGGCTTACTCACATGGATTCTGTTCCTAGGTATGCCTTTCTCTCCTTACTCCCATAGTGAACTATAACTTTCGCCCAGCTCAAATGTCACATATTTTATGTAATTTCTCTTGAGTACTGATTCACCCCAAGAAGCATTAATTTCTCCCTCATCAGTGCTCATATAACTTCTATTATGGTGTGTCTCACGTTGTATCAAAGTTAAGTGTCTACTTTTCAGCTTCTTCTACTGGACCTGATCTTTCTGAAAGCAGAGACCATTCCTTGTTCATTTTCCTTTTCAAAGTACCCATACAGTGTCCAGTACAGTACACGGAATGCACTAAAATGTTTACTAAATGAATGAATCAATGTGGGTAAACAAATGGTAATCATTGTAAGAACTGAAGAATAATTTTAAAAGATTGCTAAGATTCACCACAGCAAATAATATTTATGTGAAATTATTTCTTAGAAGAATATAAATTACTCCCAAAGAACAAATAATTTTCCCAGTGGTATAGAGTATGAAACGTGATGCTTAAGGCTTGGTACATATAAATCTCAATTAGACAGTGTTTCTTTCTTCAAAAATCCTTTTTATAAGGTAGCCATATACTGGTGGGATAACATTACGATGTACAGTGGCAGCAGGATTTGATGAGTATAGCAGAAGAAAGGAAAACCACCAGTAAGGTTTCTAAGTGACAACTGTCAGCAGGCTGGAGAACTGCTTGTAAATACAACAGAATTAAATAACCATGATATGATGGCAGAGTTGCTCAAACATAATCACCAAAGAGATAAAAATTCCTCTCTAGAAGGATAATATTATTGCAATCTGGCTTTCACTCATGGGAATCTCAGTAATAGGAGAGAGTGGCCTGGAAATGACAGAACCACATGACAGGAGAAAACGGGAAAAAAAGAAGCTGAAAATAAAAATTATCCCAATTGTTGCTAAGAGAAGGTGTATATTGCCTGCTTTCATGGAATTCATCAGCATCAACTTTTTATTTTATTTATTTTATTTTATTTTTAGAGACAGCATCTTGCTCTGTTGCCCAGGCTGGAGTACAGTGGTGTGATCATAGCTCAGCGCCACCTCCAACTCCTGGGCTCAACGATTCCACCTGTTTCAGCCTCCAGCATAGCTGGGACTACAGGTATGCACCACTGCACTGGCCAACATCAACTTTTTACAACATTTCTCTAGGCTGGGAGTAATGGTTCATGCCTGTAAGCCTTTGGGGAGGCCAAGGCAGGAGGACTGCTTGAGGCCAGGAGTTCAAGAACAGCCCTGGCAACATAGTGAGACCCCTGTCTCTACAAAAACAAAAACAAACTAACAAAAACCTAAACAATTAGTTGAGCATGGTGGTGCACACCTGTAGTCTCAGATACTCTGGAGGCTGGGGCAGAAGGATGGCTTGAGCCTAGGAGCTGGAGGCTGCAGTGAGCTATGATTGATTGCACCACTGCAATATAGCTTGGGTGACAAAGACCCTGTCTCAAGAAAAAGTTACTCTAACTCTGAAGAGCTTGCATGTAATACACTCCAATTCTATTGGCAGGATTGTATTTATCATAACTACTTTGGGAAAAATAGAAAGGGAAGAGATAAAAATATTTATGTAATCAGAGAAGTACAAAGAGAAGAAAATAAAATGGTTTGAGAGGCATATTACTGGGAGTAATGGGAAGAAATTAAGAAAATGGTGAAATTAGGTTACATATCACAATTCTCTCAGCATGATTTTTCCTGTGGTATGAAAGCATCTTCTGGAATAATAATGCTAATTTTAAATGCCCTCTTAATAAAATGTTCAGATTGCTACAGCCTATTAGACAGCAATTTAAACCTTGTGGGCTCCACTTCTCCTGTCTTAGGTCTGCTGCAGTATGGCTGTCACAGAGAATGAGGCCTTGAGAATCCTGGTCACTTGGGGGTTACACTAGCCAGGTAAAAGATGGAAGGCCCATCATTCAAGTCACTTAAAATTGGACACAACATTAGAGAAAATGCAATGGAGCTGAGTGGGATGAACTAGAGAACCTAATGTAGCATTAAAAAAAAATCACATTCATTGGTGCCAAGGGACATTTGGAGGACACTGTGTTTAAATTTGGGGATCATTTTATAGGAATGAGCGTCAACTGTCCTTGATCTTGCAGCTGACTCTACACACAGGAACTCCCTCGTAAAAATATTAAGAAAAGCGCTGTCATGCTGACAGGGAATAGTTTAAATCCCTAGCTCCCAAAATGATTTCCATTGCTTCCTCCTTTGGTTCAGTGATGATGATGTCATCATGCATCTGCAGTTTGTTATTTTTATATGAACACAAAAACAGACAGAAAATACATTAAAGTGATATGTAATTTTCTATGCAAATGCTTTCAGACTAACAAGAGTTGTGTTTTATGATTAAGTGGAAATTGGTTATTTGCTTTAAATATTTATGATAAAGTATTTAGAATTAACACTTAAGCAATTCAATCCAGGAGATTTAAAAAACTGCAATACTCCTTGCCTGACCTTGGCAGCTAAGGTGATATAGCCCATGTTACCTTAGCTGTGGAGGGACTTTATATAATAAATCACAACAAATAGTAGTCAAAATGGTTTTCTGCGTAGTTCTGCTACCAAACCCAGGTAACCTAAAGCAAATCCTTTAATCTTACTTTTTAGTGTGTCTAACAGGATAAAATGGAAAATACTAACATATCATACACTGGAAAAAAACTAAACCAACTAGATTGACGAACAAGACAAGGCCCTGTAGATCTTGAGAAAGAGAGATCTTCTCTGTTCTGAGACTTCTGGAGATCCTCAAAATCATTCAGCCAGGTATTAGTTTTGTGTAAATGAATCACATCCTAGGACATGGGAGTCCTATGATAGCAGATGTTCCAAAGTGCTTGGGGGAGACTGTGAGTAATCCAGTCTCCAAAGGTATTTTTAGGACTAGGCTAAATAGTAACACTTATAACATTGAGGCAATGTTGAATGGTTTGTAATAATATATTATAATATTTATGACAAGTTTTAAAAAAGTAATTAACATTTATTAAATACTTAGTCTATGCCAGGCACTACGCTAAGCACCTTACCTGTTTTCACTCATTAAATTCTCTTAACTTATGAGGTAGGCATTATTACTATCCACATTCTGCAGATGAGTAAAGTGAGGCATAACCAGAGTGTTTAACTAACTCATTCAAGCTCACAAGCTGGGAAGTGATGAGCTATGTTTTGGGCCTGGCTGAACAGCAAGGCTGTATTTCAGAACATTATAACTGAAGTAAAAATAACCGGAGGAAAAAAATCTGACATTGCTGGTACCATCCATACCAGCAAGAGTAACAGGCTACTCAAGATACTGAAGGTACAGGCTGGATGTGGTGGCTCACACCTGTAATCTCAACACTTTGGGAGGCCAAGGAGGGAGGACTGCTTGAGTCCAGGAGTTCAAGGACCAGCTTAGGCAACACAGGGAGACAAAATTTTTGTTTCTACCAAAAATTTTAAAAATAAGAAAATTTGCAGGGCGTGGTGGCACACGCCTATAATCCCAGCTTCTCAGAAGACTGAGGTGGGAGGATTGCTTGAGTCCAGGAGGTTGAGGTTGTGGTGAACCAAGCTCATGACACTCTACCTTCAGCCTGGGCAACAGAGCAAGATCCTGACTCAAAAAAAAAAAAAAAAACATACTGAAGGTACAATCTCCCAAGGCCAAATGCTACCGATAAGTAACATTTCTGCATGGTCCACAATAAATAATTTGAAAATAATTATGGAAAAATAATTTCTGTATTTAAAAACTGGAAGGAGAGACTGCTCACAAAGTAGACAACTGCTGGTTCTCAAAAACAAGGTTCAGAAGAAAGAACAGAAAACAGAGATTTTCATTTCCATGTTAACTGGATGCTTCTCACTCAAAAGGATGAAATTATATTGAACTCTGGTTCTCATCTTTGCTTCCTAAAGGTATCTAGTTCTCCAGTGCTTCAGGGTGAGAAATACCAGCTTTACTAACTCAGAATTAAAAGAAGAGTATGACCTGCTTCATAAGTATATAGGTTTGATTTATCAAAATGTAAAGAACTTACAAGTTAAATATTTTTAAAAATCCACTGAATCTGATTTTCACTTGTCTAGATAAGAGGGTGACAATTTTAATTTGCAAAATAAGTACCCCCTTCCTTGCTTCCATCATAGCCTAAGTGTCCCCTTAGAATGACATACACAGGCATTGCTCTGCCTCTAGCTTCCTTTCAAGGAAAATCTTTTCTTGTCTATAGATTAATTCTGACAGCTATCTGGAGTCACCAAGAAACCACTCCATTTCCCCAGCACTGCGGGTCCCAGTCAGCTGACACAAGAAGCAGGTTTCGAAAAGGAAAGCTGTCCCCTAAGCATGTCATACAAAGCATGTATATACTGTATACTTTATAACAGGGCAGAACCCAAGAGTAAAATGAGGCCTGGCCTTTCCTTAACAAAAAAGAATTGTTGGTTTATGAATTAAGGCCAAAAGACACATATTTAAAACGAAATATTTTGGAAGCTGCTAAACATTGAAATGCTCCTAAACAGTATCAAGCACACAACTGTGATTGGTCCCATGAAGGAAGTGGAAAAGAATGATGAATGTAATGGTGATCGATCTTATAGGGACTTTTTGGAAGAATAAGAAAGGGAAGCCTTTCAGCTTTATGGCCATTCACTAGGAATAGAAAGAAGAATGATCTTTTCTTCACGTGATATATGCTCAGTTTCTTCTAGCATCCCTGTATTGTTGCTATTGCAATTTCGCTGCATCGGTCTTTGGTTAGGTAAGGTAAGCACACAAAGTGTGCTCTCAATGTCCTGACTATAGAGACCTGATCAAGGCTCCAGTTTTAGTAATAAGACTTCAAGGTGAATACAGATTCAAAGGGCCGAGTTGTTTTTCTTGAAGTGCACAAAGCAGACACCCTATGAAAACCCTCGCCCAAAAATGTGAACACTTTAGAACAAGAACTAATACAGATAAACGATTTCTGACTTAATGAACCACAGTGGCCAGAAACCTGCTGATCCTGCTTTCCCCTTCCAAAACTTGCTGCTCTCAGCTCTGGCCCCGAGGGTGGCCTATAATTTACATTAAAATAAAATATTGGAAAGATTAGTAAAATTTGGTTAATTTGTCCATCTTTTTTCATAAGCAACACATAAAAGAATTAAGATTAGAAATATACATAATACATTACACAGTTGAGTGGTAGCCTCTTGCTACTTTATAGTGACTTAGATTTTCTTGAGAAGGAGGACTCAGAGCATGATTTCTGACAGTTACACCATAGCAGCTGCATGCCTCTGAAAAGAACTGCTGTTTCAACTTTTAGGGGAAGAGAAGCTTCTCAAGGACTGGACTGAGTCCTCTTTGAACTCTGTGAAATGACTAATATTTAGATCTGGTGTCATGTTTGCAGTGAGGGCTCAATAATTATTCAGTGGAGGAAATTATTAGCTATAGAAGAAGAGACAGAGAAAAAACCCTGGAGAGTACAATCCTTGGAAGTTTCAAGCCCTCTCAGACCACAAATGGTGCTTTCTTTATCAATGGGCAGATAGGGTAACTAAACATATCTATTGTGCAAGACTGATTTTAAAATGTGCTCCTACCTGTAGATATTTATAAAAGCAATTATGTATATCATCTTGCAAGAGTGTTGCACCAGAAATGGCAAAAAAAAAAAAAAAAAAAAAAAAAAAAAAAACCATCCCTGCCTGAAAAGCTCCATGTTTTCCCCTTATTCTGTGTATCCATAGTAAACTCAATTCACTGTAATAAACTTTTCAGAGAGTATATGTGTGTAGTGGTGGTGGTAGTGATGGTGATGCGATAATAGAAAGGAGGAAAGGTGTGCTATAGCAATAGTGCCGTCAGCAATAAAAACTACAGATTCTTTTTGTTCTTAGCTTTTAGACACTAACAGTAAAACAGAAGAGAACCCAGTGCACCTCTTACTCCACACCAATGTTTTGCACCTCTTTCTTTATTATTACTGCCTTAAGGAAGCTTTTAAGACATTTTTAATCACTCCCCACTTTGAAATTTTAATACCACAGATATACTGTATATCTGCTTATGTACCACATGTATATCTGCACTTTATACATAAAAAAGAGGGAGACTTTTTTCCCCCAAAACCAATTTCCATCCCTTTGGGGGAATACATTGCCCCTTTTGATGCATGCGCTATACTAGAGCTCCTTTACCCTTTTTTTAGGGGGCGGGGGAATGGAGTCTTGCTCTGTTGCCCAGGCTAGAGTGCAGTGGCGTGATCTCAGCTCACTGCAACCTTTACCTCACGGGTTCAAGCGATTCTCCTGCCTCAGCCTCCTGAGTAGCTGGGATTATAGGTGCCTGCCACTGTGCCTGGCTAATTTTTGTATTATTAATAGAGATGGGGTTTCACCACATTGGCCGGGGTGGTCTCAAACTCCTGACCTCATGATCCGCCCACCTCAGCCTCCCAAAGTGCTAGGATTACAGGTGTGAGCCACCATGCCCGGCCTTTACCTTTTTTTGACTCATGTATTCCTTTGAGAATCTGACAGAAGTTATGAACCCCCTTCTTGCCCCCTGTCCAAAATATGTACAAAATTTTATACACAATCAGAGCATTCACTGGATCCCCTGGAGCCTACCCATGGCCCTCAGGCTAAGGGTCCCTGCTCTGCATGCTCTCCTTAGGTGACTGCACACATTTTCACACCTCTAACTTCAGGGTATTCTTCAATCACAATTCACAGCTCGATCACTAACCTCTGTTTCAGGCTCAGATGTGTAGGCTGAAGACATAGCCATTTAGATGTCCCATAGACACTTCAATTTCAATTGTCCAATTCTGAATTCATCGTCTTCTACTCAAACCTGCTTCCAGATTCCAGTTTAATTCATGCCGCCATACCTTCCTAGTTTCTCAGGGAGAATTCTGAGTTATCTTTGATTCCTTTCTCCTCACTTCATAGCCAATCAACAAGTCCTTCCCACTGTCTTAACTTAATATTTCTCAAATCTGTGCCTCTTTTTCAGCACTCTGCCCTAGTTCAGGGCTTGTCATCTCCCACCTGAAACACTCAAATGATACCTCTGCCTCTACTCTTGCCATCCTCCATCAAATCCATTCTTCAAACTTCTCCCTAAGGAAGCTTCTGAGAATACAAAATCTGACCATTTCTGCTTAAAATACTTCAATGACCAAGCCCCTGAAGAAACACAAATATACAAATGGGCTTCCAGGTAAAATTGCCTTCCTAGATTCCTAATAGAATCTCTGAATCACCTGCCCCTCAAGTCTTCTTTTCATGCCATCCCCCTCCCTACCTGATGCTCTCCTAATATCCATCTGAGGACAGTTCACTCTAGACGTTGTGCAGCTTCACACTCCCACCACTTCCTCTGCCTAAAACAACTTCAGCACCTTTTCTTCCCTTCCGCACCTTGTGAAGTGATTGCTCTCGTGAACAAAACTTCTCTGAAAAGTAATTTCAAGGAAAGATGTTTGTAATACTCACAGAAGAAGAGAGATAGGTAAGGAGGGGAAGAGAGAAGGAATACAAGAAATATCTTGGGCAAAATTGGAGCTTTAGCTCTGCTGCCCTTCTGGTGCCGCGCTACCTGTTCTCTTGGCCAGGGCTCTTCAGGTACCTGACTAAGCTGGGCCAATCAGGTTCTATTTCCAGGAGTTTGGAATTAGCAATTAGGATTCTAGCTAGTTGGTTGGTGTTTCTTGAATTGGGAAGTAATATAAATCTGAAATGAAGGCAACTATCATTGGCTATGTATTCTCACTGAAGAAGAGGATGTCTGTGGATAAAACAGTAATGACAGAGAGGAGACTACACAGGCCTGGAAGGACAACAAAAATAACATCAGCTCGTGAGCGCTTTCCAGTCCCTATTCTGGTCTCTAATAAGGCCTGACCATCTTTCCTTCCTTGGTTCCACCAACAATCTCTGTATCCTGATTGTAAATTCCAGTTTGTTTCAGCCAGTCTGAGCAGATTTCTGCTCCTTGTAATATAAGGGACTTCATTATGTCAGCATTAGTAAAGAAGTGATATCCAGTATGGAATCCCGATCACCTTCTTTTGTTTCATAGCCAGTATTACTCACTCAGCCTGCCTCTTTGAATATATTATTTTTGTGTAAATGGTAGGGCAATCATATTAAAAGTCATAAATGTACCTCATTTAAATAAACTATCCAAGCTTCAATGCTCCAAAAAACATAAAACAGAATTGAAAACAAATGAATCTTTGCTTTGGGCTTTAAGGCTTATGAATTAAATGAGCTATTAATCAGACTTGGAAAGATACTGGCTTCTTTCCCATGGTCATTACTATAGAATTATTTTAAAGAATCAATAGAACTCACTAACCTACATGACTTTCTAGTACTTTCACTCTCCAGTTTACTCCAGAACTTATTGGTAATTACTGTAGGTCTAAGAGAATCCACACACAAGTGACAAAAGACATAAATTATTTACACAGCTATTCATCTGCAATGGACATCCCATCAGATTCAACCTTGTAAGTGTCATAGGACCAGTTATTTTTAAATCAGATTGTATTTTATAGGAAATAATAAAGATGCTACAGCAGCACAATAAATTCACACTAACAGCAGATCTGCATTTCACTGCAACAAATGTCTCTACTCTATTAAGCAAGTACTGAAATTTGCCCTTAACATGTCACGGAGTCATGGGTTTCCCTGGAGATGTCTGCAAACCTGCAGTTATCTGAGGGTGAGGGCCTGGTGTGGGACATTTTTTAAAACTTTTTTTCCACATTTCCCAGTTTCCACATGGGAAATGAGACTGCCTTAGATTTCAAAGAACTTGCTCTCACCTAAAAGGACCTTGCTCCTGGCATGTGTTTTTCTCATCTGAGAATTTTTTTCTTCTCTGCTGTGATCCATTTTGTCTCTGCAACAGAACCATGTTTATCATCCAGGACTTATCACATTGCTCTTGCTGACTGACTGAGTGGTCAGCAAAAAAACAAGTTGATGAGTCTGGGATGTGAGTACTTGGCAGCCCCCCATTGCTTTAATGGGTCTCAGCAGTATTAGTTTACTGAAAGACGATCCAGTCTGCCTGGGACAATTTACCACTCTGTGTATTGTGCACAGATGAGACCTTTTATTTTGTTAGAGTTTAACTTTGGCCCTCTCTCCAAAAGACAGAGAAATTTAAACTCTGAAAGTGTTCCAACAATCAGGCAGCAATAAATAAAATCAGCCCCATGTGATTGTGATGGATGCTAAGAACACTTAGGATTACCAGACGATCACTGGCTGGGAGGACTAGGGTAGACCGTGAGCCTTCCTTCCCAGGATCTCATCCAGCACATGACAGACAGGCCCATTCTGCCCAGTGGTGTTTGCGAGACACAGCCCTGTGCAGAGGCACAGGGTGAACGAGATGGATGACTTCTCAAGGTCACTGCCATCGCCATGATTCATTAATGTCGGCCAGGCTGCTGCTCTGAGCTGTGTTTTCCTAAAGCAATAGACTCTACTGTCCACCTTCTGTAAATAATAAATCTCTCAGCTTCCCAATCTTTCTGTAATCTGCACACCAGCACATTGAAAATAATGTAAACAAGGTCAGCTCACAAAATAAGGCATGGACCCATAGTGAGTCCAATAAGTATGGTGTGACTGTTTTTCGTTAATGTCCCCAAACCATTTATATCAATATCTAACCTATAATTACAATTGGGGACATTAATAAAATTTTTAAATTCTTGTACCTTTTATGGCCTCGGTGTCAATTTCTAATTTTTATAAAACTGAAGGGAAGATTTGTACATACTAGTTTTAGACAAACCAAATAAAACAGTGGAAGGCAATTTTACCCACAGAGTAACAACTATAACAAATCACACCTCAGTGTAAAAGAAGTAGGTTCAATTAGATGTCCTCCTCCCACCACTCCTCCCAGGTCCCATGGGAATCACAAAATGCACATAATTCACCATCTCCTGGGCCATCAGTGCCACATGTGCCAACAATGAAACCAATGTCTTTGGGCCTTGAATGAGAGAATTTTTAGATGCACCTCAGCTCACTCATAAACCAAAATCTAAAGTGATTAAAATTTAAGTATCACCCCAATTCCTGGAAGATAATATCTTTGTACAAACTGCTAGTTTATTCTCTTGCCATGTGGAGTCACATTCATTATTAAAAGATGTTAAGCCTAATCGCAGTATGATGAGGAACACTAATTTGTCACATCCTCAGGCTATTTCTGCAGCTGTGAGTTGGGGTTTTAGTGGGTTGGTATGGACTGACATAACACATTTTCTAAAAATCAAACAGTGCTACAGCAACTAAAAGAAAATCCCGCTCCACCAATCTACACATCCTTCAAGAAAAAAATAACACTTTTAAGTATGAAGCAGGGCAGGATAAAACTCTTTTCATCCATATTTGCAGGAACAACAAATTAATACTTTTCTGTGTTTACTTTCCCTTTTTAGGGGCTATGTTCTTGTCGTTTTCAGCACTGAGACCGTGGCCTACCCATCTGGTGCTAGAAGGTCCTAGAATGGCTGTTCAGACCTCCTGACTTTTCCCTCTGTACCCTCCATTCAGACGACATAAGCCTCTCTCCAGTCTTCCTTCCAACAATTTTCCCAAATCTGACACAATTTCTACCTCTGACACATCCAAATGCCTTCCATTCCAACCATAAGGATCTTATATGTGCCATGAACATGTATAGCAAAGGTCTGTCAAATTCTATACAAACTCTTGGCTGGACTTATTTTTGCCCTGTTTGCTTCTCCATGTTTTTCTCCCTGATGCTAGGTTTCTCTGTATGTCCTGCAAGCATGCATTTCCTTTTTTATGGGGGAGGAAGAGAGTGAGGTCCTTTTATTGGTTTTTCTGCAGTTTGAGGGCTGCTGGCTGTGTGTGTGGTGACCAGCAGCAAGCACTTAGAGACCACTATTTGACAAGGACCATGGTCCTTGGTAGATACATATTCACAAGAGATCAAAAGAGTAAAATGTGTCATTTGCTCTTTCCAGTGATTCCCTGAACAGCACCGAAAATAATCTAGGATTCAAAATAATCCCTGATGAAGGTGATTAGTAGACTGACTGTACATTTCAAGTAGTATTATAAATAATTAGTCATAGACTATTCATGCCAGTCTGCTGCTTTTGGGACATATTATTCTGTGCACGATCTATTTTTCTCTATTGAACCTCATTTTAAGTGAACTGAATATAAGAATTATGATTAAATCATCTCTGTATTTCCCACGTTCTTAGTATATTACTTAAAGCCCCATTATATATTGAAAGAAACTTAATGTGACAGTTTCCTTTGTAATAAAACCATAAAACATGCACTTCAGAAGGCATTCTGCTATACCTAGTGTTGGGAGGTGCATATAAACTTGTTTTCTGAAGACAAGGTCTCACTCTGTCACCCAGGCTGGAGTGTAGTAGCATGATCACAGCTCACTGCAGCCTCGACCTGCCAGGCTCAAGCGATCCTCCCAGCTCAGCTTCCAGAGGAGCTGGCACTACAGGTGTGCACCACCACATCCAGCTTTTTTATTTTTTGTAGAGACAGGGTCTCACTATGTTGCCCTGGCTGGTCTCAAACTCCTTGCCTCAAGCGAACCTCCTGCCTCAGCCTCCCAAAGTGCCAAGATTATAGGTGTGAGCCACCACCTCACCCAGCAAAACTTGTTAACATTGGTTTAAAATTCAAGTTTAAAAGTTTATATCATTAAAAATCAAAACTGAAAAAGGATATACAGATATTAAGGCAAGCAACATTTTACTCTGCTTCCATGCCTAGCATCTTTCTGAAAAATCAGCTTTTTAAATATCTACACTCAGCTAGGTGCAGTGGCTCAGGCCTATAATCCCAGCACTTTGGGAGGCCAAGGCAGGCAGATCACTTGAGGTCAGGAGTTCAAGACCAGCCTGGCCAACATGGTGAAACCCATCTCTACTAAAAATACAAAATTAGCCAGGTGTGGTGGCACACGCTTGTAATCCCAGTTACTTGGGAGGCTGAGGCAGGAGAATCGCTTGAAACTGGGAGGTAAAGGTCGCAGTGAGCCGAGACTGTGCCACCGTACTCCAGCCTGGGCGACAGAGTGAGGCCTTGTGTCGAAAAAAAAAAAAAGTATATATATATATGTATATATATGTATATATATATATATATATGTATATAAAATCTGTACTCAAACTATATAAGAGTAAGGAGAGACAGCACCGAAAAGTTACATTCTGTAAACTTCAGAGGTACATTAATATTCAGAAATTTCTAAAGAATCACATTATTTTTAAATCAAATATTTTAACTTATTGTATCCTAATAAAACAACTGTCTCTCTGACACTTCAGCCTCCCACAGTTCTGGGATTAAGGGTGTGAGCCACTGCCCCCAGTTGAGACATCTCTTTTTTAGCATAATCAATAAAATGAACAAACCATTTAATGAAGTGTTTTCAATTTAAAACAAATTATTTGGGGAAAAAAAGTTCTGCATACATTCAGACATTACCCACCTCCCCCAGCTCTTGCACACACACAACAGACACCTTCAGAGACAACTAACCCTGCATAGAAATCAGCACGAAATCAATACCTTTTATGTGGCCCTGAAAGCACTGATAGACCTATGGATACCCCCACTGCATCTTAGAGAAGTATCATTGGCTTTTTTCCTCTGACTATAGTGGCAAGGAATTGGAGTCAGAGTTGGCAGCGACATTTTAGTGATCTTTGGAACACAATGTCCAAAAACAGAAGGCAGTCACTAGGCGTAGCTGAGATGTGATAGCCATCACTCTGGAGATTTGAGGGAGGAAAAAGAAGCTTGCAGTTGTCTTTCATATGTTTCTGTCTTTAAGGCAGGAGTATATACTGAATCATTCTCAATATTCCTTCCATCTATGGAATTCTAAGTCCCTTGATAAAACCAGCGTTGAAGAAGTCAGGAGGCAAGATGTGCCAGGACTAGATAAGTGCCAGGAAAGTTAATGCAAGAAATGCTATTGAGTTGTCCACATGATCTTTTCCTCAGAATGTAAAGTACTGACAATCAATGTAATAATAAAACACAGACTTGGTCAAAGTCATGCTCAAGGTTTATTTGGACAACTAAATTGCTTGTATCTTGCTTTTTATTAGCATCAAATATTTTTTTCTTCTGTCCCTGCCCCCAGCGTCAAATATTTACTAAGCAATCATAAAATGCATGCTATTGTGTGAGGGGCTTGGCATTAAGAAGTCTTAGTGTGAGTTAGAAAGTCTGCACCCTGAAGATGCTTACAGTTTTCAGGACCAAATTCTAGTCATTGCATCCATTAACTACAGAGGATGAAAAGTCAGCAAGTATTAAAGTCAGACAGCTGAGTCTGGGAACATCTTCCACATTTTTGTCTATCACTTGCTAACCACAGTATGAAGGGTTACCAGATATTTGAACTCTGACAACAATATCAGATCTTTTCTTGCTCAGAGGAATTTAACTATCTGAATTATTGAATAGATTTCTTCAAAGAAGACAAGGTCTGTGGAAAAGGGCAAGTTGGAAAATCCAGCTATGGTTTGGTTGCGAAGGATAAACACACAAACACTGCATACTGTGCAACATTAATTCTTTTAAAATAGAAGTAGTAGGTTTTGGACATCAGTTTATTACTAAAATAAAAATGTAAATTTGGACTTAACTAAAACTTTCCCAAAGCAATTAACCTTGAGTCTACAAACAAAAGAAAGAAAGAAAAGAAAGAAAGAAAGAAAGAAAGAAAGAAAGAAAGAAAGAAAGAAAGAAGGAAAGAAGGAAAGAAAGAAAGAAAAAACGTGTAGGCATAACTATGACAAGAAAATAAAACTAAGTCTGCTGTCTTATATGTCATGTTCAATATAACCAGAAAGCATACCCAAAATTTAGGAGCAAAAAGCTAACTCCAAATTATCCCTTGCTGCTTAATGAGTACAGGAAGCCACAAAAGAAAAATTGCCCATGTGGCATTTTTTTCCCCCACAAAAGACAGATGTTATACAAAGTAAAGAAAATTTAGGGTAAAAATGTGTGTGAAGAAAGGCTCACAGGGAATGATTTAAGCTCAAATATTGTAAGAGTTCAACACAGACAAGTGGACTAAGGGCCAGCTAAATATGGACCTGCTCGCTACAAATAATGCTGAAGAGTATTCCAAGGATGAAAATTAATTTTAGGGGTAATATATATTAATGTGGTAGGAAACAGGGAATTGAGAAAAAAATACAAATAAAATTAAAAGAAGGAAAATTTATCCTAAATGCTAGAACTTTCTCACAATCTATGTGATCTCAATACCACCTAAGGAGGTTAATGTATAAAATACACACATCTCAAGTGATAAAGGCTTGCATGCAGATAAACATTCAAGTTAAACAAAATGAAAACTGTAATAAAATTATTCTAAATCCAGAAACAAAAGCTGTGTTAACTTTCTGATAAAAGAGAAATCATTATATAAATCATTAACCCCTAAAAAACCTCCTAACACCCTGCAATGCACATCAAATTTTATTGCAATTATGTACAAAGAAAACTGGAGACAAGCTGATGTATTCTGATATCATTCATTTTAGCTAGTCTAAATACTCTGGGTACTCAAGAACTCTGTGTGCTTATTATGTTATATTTGTCCTTCTTGGAGTGGTTATACTTGTAAAAAGCTATCCAGTACCTTCAACAGACTGGATAATTAGAATTACAATGACTGCCATTTGAATATACTATGCCATAATTTCCTCTAAGTGCATTATCCTACTTGATGATATACTTGCCCTCTCCCTGGCCGGTTATTAAAGACTGCTTTCCAAGGCAGACATAGGTTCCTTGAGCAAAGTTAGGCTTATCTAAACCAATTGTTTTAGTTGACAGATGAGGTCTCCAGTATTTCATCAGGTTCACTTACCTGAACCTACTGTATTTCATTTATAACCATCTTATTCTGTTCAGAAAGTACATGTTTCTCATTCAAAGTGCTACCAGTCGATTTTGATTTCTAGATAAATAAAAAGTAAACATTTTACATAATGCTTTCATACTCCTTTGTAGAAGCTGAAGTTTATTATATAACTATATACTGCTACCTAATACATTCTTTTTGGAAGAAACCATGTCGGTCACAGCAAGGAAGCTACTCTGGGGCTAGGACTAGTGTTTCCATTGGAAACAATTACTTACAACAGAATGAAATCTTCTCTATTCAGGGATGAAAGGACAGACATTATTCATTATGGTACCTTTTAAGAATATCAGAAACCAATGATAGTATGCAACTGTTACAGCTGAGGCCAAAGCAATCTATTACCCAAATAAAAGGAACAAGATATAATGTCTACTTTGGTATTTCTCAATTTACTGTGCGTTTCACTCTTGGGTTCTTACAAACTAAGAACATGCACAGGTGCATACAGGCATGCACACACACACGGACACCCACACATACCTTCATCAGACCTACCCAGAACTATACCTCACTCACTTTAATAACTCTGGACTCTCCTTGGAATTCCCAGTTGCAATATTTGAGAAGGTTATTTTTTAACCATCTATCAAAGAAGATTGATGTTCCTATCTTCTTTTTCATAATCATATTTACCCAAAACATTAATTTTCCACATAGTATTTTTTTTCTTGTTAATAGAATTACTACTTTTTCTAATACAGGAATTGTTATATAATCAATAGGGTGGTATAAGAAATCAATGTACCAACTTCTTCCTTAAAAAGAAATCTTTAGATTCCTTCTTGAAAAAGATATTTTAAAAGATACAGGTGCTGCAGAATTTTGCTCCTTAGTTCAGCTAAAATCCTGCTCTACTCACCCTTCAATATGTCTGCGTTGTCTAAATTTTCCTGGTCATGTGATTCTTCCCCTGGCAAACAGTGTGAACTTCCGAACTTCCCATGGCTCCGCCCCGTCCTCCCAGTGGAGGACGACTCTCGGGGAACCCTCCCCCTTATCTGCCTCCTGCATCTATCATTGACAGGATTTCCTTATACAGCAATATAGCTAACTTATGTGCAGAGAAACCCCTCCTCATGAAGAACATCTAAAAATCATAGGCAAAACTTTTCTTTTTTTTTTTTTTTTGAGATGGAGTCTTGCTGTGTCGCCCAGGCTGGAGTGCAGTGGTGTGATCTTGGCTCACTGCAACCTCCACCTCCTAGGTTTAAACAACTCTCCTGCCTCAGCCTCCTTAGTAGCTGGGATTGCAGGCACATATCACCATACCTGGGTAATTTTCGTATTTTTAGTAGAGACGGGGTTTCACCATGTTGGCCAGGCTGGTCCTGACCTCAGACGATCTGCCCACTCTGCCTCCTGAAGTGCTGGGATTACAGGCATGAGCCACCGCACCTGGCCCTAAACGAAACACTTAAACTTAAATTCTCTTAAAAGTATGGTTAAGTTGGCAGTAAAGGCCAGGTGCAGTGGCTCATGCCTGTAATCCCAGCACTTTGGGAGGCCAAGTCAGGTAGACCGCTTGAGGTCAGGAGTTCTAGATCGGCCTGACCAACATAGTGAAACCCCATCTCTACTAAAAATACAAAAATTAGCTGGGCGTGGTGGTGGGTACCTGTAATCTCAGCTACTCGGGAGGCTGAGGCAGAAGAATCACTTGAACCCAGGAGGCGGAGGTTGCAGTGAGCCGATATGGCACTACTGCACTCCAGCCTGGGCGACAAAGCAAGACTCCATCTCAAAAAAAAAAAAAAAGAAAAAAAAGGGGAGGCAAGAATCGTTGGAAAGGAACCATTCCCCAGGGATGAGTAAGACTTAGAGCTGGTGTTTGCTCTGATGTAGGGTGACCATATAATTTATCGCCCAAACCCGGACATTTTTAAGTATGAATAACTAGGCTACAGCAAATTAATAATTTTCCAGGCATACCAAGATATATGATCACTCTACCCTGAGGTCATCTGCTGATCCCCGGTAGCAGTTTGGATTTTAACAGGCCACATGTAGGCTTGGGGAAAGGAGATAAAGCTTGGGGTCTGAACAGGGAGAGATGCTGAAGCAGAGGCTCCTGAACAAAGTCCAGACTCCCAAAAGGCAACATTTTTAGTGGCTGACTTTCAAAAAAGAAAGAAATCTATCTTGCAAAAGGAGATAGGGCTGAAATACAGGTAAGAATGGGGTGAAAGCTTAGAGGGCAGCCAGTTCAGACTGAAGCAACTTAATTCAAAAGACTTGAATATTAAAGGCTCTCATCACCACTGTAATCTCTGTAATCTGACAAATCTTCTAGCGGGTTTGCTCTACTAAAATAAGGGATTAATCCAAGAAATGGAAGAGAAGAAATCAAAGAAGTATGAAATTCAATTTGGGAGACAGGCAAAGAGAATTCCAAGGATAGCAACAAAGGAGAGGCTCAGATTGACAGCTGTGCATAAGGCTGAGAAAGCAAGAAGGTAAAGAAGGTTCTAGAAAGGATATCTCTTAAGAAAAAAAGGAAACAGAGTGCTGGGAGAAAACTGTATTTAGATGCTACTAGAAGGTGTAAAAAAGATTATCAATAAGTATTAAAAACTAACTTCAGGAAAAACAATCAAACAAGAAGGGAAACAATCATACCACATATGCTCGGATATTAATTATATTTGCATGACCACAGTGAAAATTACTTTTACTACAAATTGTAACATAACTATATTGGGAGGATAGGGAAGGAATGCACAGGAGACGGCAGTGTAAAAGAGCCAAACAGTCATCTATTGTCATATTAGGAAATTAATAGAAGGTGACTACAATTGATTAATCAAAAGAAAGATGTCCCACATAGAAAATATAGGTATGTATAAATGCCCAAAGAAAGAGCTAAAAGAGTGGTAAGTCATTGCCTTTGGAGATGGAGACTGGAGTAAATGAAGAAAGGTGGGTGTGGGAATTGCTGTATTTGTTATATACTATATGCTCTTTAGTACTATTTGACTTTTTAAAGTATATGCCTGTATTACTTTAATAAAAATAAAAAAATTGTAAACATATATGAAATGAAATTATTTTCAAGAATATGGGTGAAATAAAGATAGAACTTTCATAATTTCAAAATAAGGAATTTCCAGACAAAGAAAAATAAAAGAATTCATCATCAACAGATTCTTACTAAAGGAAATTCTGAAAGATATACTTCAGGAAGAAGAAAAATGATCCCAGAAGGAAAATCTGAGATGCAAGAAGGAATGGTGAGCCAAGAATAGGAAATATTTATGGATAATGCTAAACACACATTGACTAGATAAAACAATAATATTGTCCCACTTGTGGGTTAAAAATCAAATAAAATTCTAGGAAAGAACAGCATATAGGTCAGATCAAGGGTGATGGGAAATAACTCTCTTCTAACATCCTTATTGAGTCTAGAAGAGGGTAGGCTGGGTGAGGTGGCTCATGCCTATAATCCCAGCATTTTGGGAGGCTGAGGCAGGAGGTATACTTGAGGCCAAGAGTTTGAGATCAATCTGGGAAACACAGCAAGACCCTGTCTCTAAAAAGGAAAAGGAAAGAGTTTTTTTAAAATACAGCTGGGAGTGGTAATGTGCGCCTGTAGTCCCAGCTATTCAGAAGGCTGAGGTGGGAGGATCCCTTGAGCATAGGAGCTCTAGGCTGCAGTGAGCTATGATCATGACACTGCACTTCAGCCTGGGCAACAGAGCGAGACCCTGTCTCTACAAAGGAAAAGGAAAAAGGGTAAAGAAATGGTTTAACTTTAGAATAGCAAATTAAAAATGCATGTTAGAATAGCAAATTAAAAATGCATGTTAAAATTTCTGAAATCTAGTATAACCACTAAAATAGGATGTATAACTTCCAGTATAGTAAGAGGGGGTCAGAAACCAGAAAGAAGAAAAGCAACAATACAAAAGTAAACATAAAAGGAGGAAAGAATAAAAGAAGTAAAATTTAAAAAAATTCAACAAATAGCAAAAAATGATAGGGGAGAAATAGATCAAATGTATTAGGAAACATAATTAATGTACATGGACTAAATTCTATAGTTTAAAAGACAGATAACCAAACTGAAGAAAAGTAAAATCCTATGACACGCTATTTACAAGAAACAATAAAATATAAGGGCAAAGGAAGCCTGAAACTAAAGGTATGGAAAAAGACATAACAAGTGTAGATGCAAAAGTTACAATAATGTCAGAAAAAACAGACATTAAAGCAAAAAGCATTACTCAAGAAAGAGGGTAACTATATACTGATAAAAGGTTCACTTAATTATAAATATATAACAATTCTAAGTGCATATGCAGCTAATATAGTTTCAAAATATACTAAGCAAAAAGTAGCAAACTGAGAAACTGAGAAATCCACTATCAATGGCAGATTTTAACTGCTTTCTCTCAGCAACTGATAGATCAACCAGACAAAGTCAGAAAAAATATAGAATATTTGAGCAACATAATTAAAATAACATGAACATAAAGAGAATAATGTTCTCAATAACTGAAAAATATACATTCTTTTCAAGTACACAAAGGATTTTATTTTTAAAGACTACGTTCTAGGTAAGCGTCAACAAATTTTAAAGGATCAGTATCACACAGATCACTTTCTCTAATCACAATCAATCAACTGGAAAACAATAACAACTCTACATACACACATACATACACACCTTAAAAATAACATCAAAAACACACGTACGACTGCAATCTAAATACATTTCCAAAGAATCCACGGGTCAAAGAAAAAATAAGTAATGGAAATTAGAAAATACTTAGATAATATAAGAATAATAATGAAAATAACAATTAATGAAAATAACAATTACTAAAACTTGTGGGATGACATCACTAAAAATAGTGTAGTAAGAGACTCCAGGGTTCCATCTCTTAATGAAAATCAACTAAAGTACTGGCAAAAACTGTCCGAATCAACTTTTGCAGAATTATGGAACCTAATTAAAACCCTTCAACAATTAGGGGAAGGCTTGGTGAAGAAGGAAGCTGCTGCAGTAAGAGAGCACTGTGGTGTTTTAAATTGCCCACCTACTATCTCCCACAACACCTTAGATTTGTGGTGGCTGTGAGGACAGCAGCCCACACTGCTGGTGAAGGTGTCCAGTGCCAGAGGGAACAATAAGAACCTTAATCTCAACTAATTGTGGTTGTGGATTTTGACCTACCTGGTAGCTCCCTTAAGGACCAGCTCAAGAGTTTGCCTTTGTTCTGCCAGCCTCAGATCCTTCCCAGGAGTGAGGTGGCTTCCCAAGTAGCTTTTACAGAACACATTTAAAGGCACAATTATTGGTCACAGCAGCCTGGGGAGGCTGCAGTGAGCTGAGATTGTGCCATTGCACTCCAGCCTGGACAACACAGCCAGACCTTGTCTCAAAAAAAAAAAAAAAGAAAAGAAAAAAAAACAACAGCAGTAGAAAAAGGAAATAATAATGATCAGAGCAAAAAATAATGAAACAAGAAACAATGACACAGTACAGATAATTTTAAATCCAAAGAAGGTTCTTTGAAAAGGGTGACAAAATTTAAGAAAGATGGATTGATAAAAGAGAGAAAGGACAAACAATTTTAGGCATGAGGAAAACAAAATACTTAAGATGCTAAAGAGATTAAAAAGATAAGAAATTATAAATAACTTTAAGTCAATAAATTCGAAACCTTAGTTGAAATGGACAAATTTCTAGGAAAATCTGAATTATCAAAACCAACTCAATGAGAAATAGAAAACCAGTGTGGTGCTATAAACATTAAGATATTTAATCAACAGTTAATAGTCTTCCCACAAGGCCCAGAAAGTTTTATAGGTGAATTCTACCAAACATTCAAGAAACAGACAATTTTAATATATACAAATTCCTCCAGGGAAAGAAAAAGAATACTCTTCAACGCATTTTATGAGGCTGATACAACCTGAAAACAAAATTAGACAAGCACAAGAAAATTCTAGTTGACCTCATAAACACAAATGCAAAATCCTAG
Organism: Homo sapiens; assembly: GCF_000001405.40. Lineage (NCBI taxonomy): Eukaryota > Metazoa > Chordata > Mammalia > Primates > Hominidae > Homo > Homo sapiens. The sequence continues at coordinate 38,383,121 of NC_000006.12, forward strand.
AAAAATTTCAGCCAAACAAATTCAATGATACATAAATAATCATCATGACCAAATTAGGTTTATTCCAGGAGTGCTAGGTATATTCAACATTAGAAAATCTTACAATATAATTCACACATTAACTTTAAATGAGAAAAACCCTGTGATTGTCACAATATTTCCAGTAAAAACATTTGATAAATCCAACCACTATTTAAAAATTTAACAAACACTCAGCAAACCAGGAATATAAGGCAATTTTCTTAACTTGTTAAAAGGCATCTATCAGAATCCTATAACAAATGTCTTTCTCAGTGGTAAAATGATAGAAGCATTCCCTTTAAAATTAACAAATAAACTTCAGAAGGATGATCACCATTGTTCCTTCTATTCAACTGCATTTCTATACATTCTGCAGCAAGCAAGCAGAATACATTGAATTAAAAGACACTGTACAAAATGGCAACAAAAATAGATGTTACATCTAGAAATAAACCTAACAAAAGATGTAGCAGATATGGAGAAAGTTATAAAATTTTGTTGAATGACGGTAAAGAAGACCAAAGTAAATGGAGGAACACACCATGTTCACGTATACAAGGATCGAACCTTATAAAGTTGCCAGAAGAACTGGTAACGTTCCATCTGTTACACTAAACGGTGAGTAATGGGTCTTCATTTTATTGAAACTCATTGCTATAGATTGAATGTTTGCGTCCACCCCTCCTCCAAATTCATATGTCGACATCTTAACCCCTTGAAGCTGATGGTATTTAGGAACTGGGGAGGTGATTTTGGATAGAATTTTGCCCAAGTCCAGGGATGACTGAGTGGGCTGTGGCAGACAGTGCCTTTTGTATTGGATAGCTGACAAGCTGCATGGGAATACGCACTCCTCCTCAGTCATACATTATCTTCCTTTGGCAGGCTGGCAGCATAGGGCTCGGTGGGAAAACCTTAAGCCTCACTTTAATAATGGTAGCACATAAGGCACAGTGATTCTGACTCAGTTGCAAGCTGAGTGCAAAATTGGAGTATATTCTACCCTTAAATCTCACCTTTAAAAATTTCCTTTTTCTTTTAAGCTTGCAATTGATTCTTTCTGCGAAGTATCTTGTGATACTGTGAATTAGGCTATATAAATATAAAACACACTGCATTATATAAAGTTTTACTGCTTCTCTGCTATAACATCAAATATGCTTGATTCTCTAGGCCTAATTTGTGTATCTTTAGACTCACTGAGTAGGTTTTACCTGATGAAGAATTCAATAAAATGGTATTAAAAGAGACAAAGATTGCTATCAGATATAAATCCCTTTTTATCTTTCCTCTGAGCTTAGGCCTTTGGCAAATGGTTCTTTTGGATATGCAAAATGTATCCCACAAACAAAAGCCTGCTTAGTTCATACAGAAGTTAGACTAGTCAGCACTTATAAACTGCAATAACCCATCACTGTGAAATATATATTAGAAGGTCTTCACAACTAGTATTTCCTAAGAGTCACATAATAAGGAAAACCACAGTGCTTTCAGGCCTCAGAAGACTAGAAAACAATTTGATTGGGGTAATATGTGATAACTCCTAAATAACCTAACATTTCACAAGAAGACAATGCTTAAATATGGTGGCCTAGAAAAACATTCCCAGGGTAAAAGGCCTCTAGGGTGCACAGGGAATTTTGTCTCATCCTGTATGTCATAAACTGACAAAAATATACTTGCTCTGTATCAGAAATGTTCAGGATTCTTTTAGCATAAATAACAACATGGGGAAAGCAAGTTCTGTCCAGTGTTAGTGTAGGAATATAATCAAGTTCAGCTTTAACTGTAGCTATCTGTCATTTGGCTTCAGCCTCAGCCTTTGAAGGGGCGCTGAGAGCCTAAGGTCTGCTTCAGTGTCAATTCCGGTATCCCTGAATGTATTCAGGATCAGTGACCATGTGGTCACACAGGTTCCTAAGATATCTAACTAGCATAATAACTACAGAAATATGAACAAGGTATGCCATTTGGATCTAGGGTTAATATCTGTTTATTTCACTTACTTTTGTAAGCATACTAGATACAACTTGGTGTGAAAATCTTACGTACTTTTTTTTTTTCTTTTGAGACAAAGTCTTGCTCTGTCGCCCAGGCTGGGGTGCAGTGGCTCAATCTCAGCTCACTGCAACCTCCGCCTCTGGCTCAAGCAATTCTCCCACCTCAGCCTCCCAAGTAGCTGGGATTACAGGTGCCTGGCACCACACCTGGCTAATTTTTGTATTTTTAGTAGAGACGGGGTTTCACCATGTTAGCCAGCCTGGTCTCGAACTTCTGACCTCATGTGATCCACCTGCCTCAGCCTCCTAAAGTGCTAGGATTATAGGCGTGAGCCACCACACCCGGCCCTTTATGTACTTTTGATATTAAAATCTTAACAGTCAGCTGAAGTCTGAATGTATATTTATTATTGCAAGAGTAAAATGTTACAATAACCATGGTGACTATATAAAAATTATTGACTTTTGTACAAAGTTAATTATTAAACCTAGAGTGCTCAAATAAATGGGGAGACAGGTTAATAGAACAAATATTAAGAAATAGTAGATTGGCTAGATATCTTTAAGAAGAACATTATATGTTTTTTGAATCAACATGCCTACAAAAATTTTTTAAAAACAAGCAAACTATTAGAGATTAAATAATATCATACTTTTTTTTTTTTTTTTTTGAGACAGAGTCTCACTCTGTCACCCAGGCTGGAGTGCAGTGGTGCAATCTCAGATCACTGCAACCTCCACCTCTCGAGTCCAAGCAATTCTCATGCCTTAGCCTCCTGAGTAGCTGGGACTACAGGTGCATGCCACCATGCCTAATTTTTGTATTTTTAGTACAGATGGGGTTTCGCTATGTTGGCCAGGCTGGTCTCAAAAAACTCCTGGCCTCAAGTGATCCACCCAACTCGGCCTCCCAAAGTGCTGAGATTGCAGGCGTGAGCCACCACGCCCAACAATAATATCCTACTTCTAATCTTTATAATATTATTCGGTGAGAATATTGTTATTTGTAACCCTAAACGAAAATCCTTTATTTAATTTTTGTTATTTCATTCCACTTAGGCTACAAGTTTCAAGAAACAATTCTGTTTCAGAAATCTTCATGTCAGAATAAATTTAAGGTAGGATATCAATTTTGCCACCTCAAAATTTCATAAGGAAAAACTCCAAAGTAATATATAACAGCATCCATGATAAATTATCTTCAATTTAAACGGAATAAATATAAGAAGAATGAAGAAAATAACATAAGATTAAAGAAATGTGAGATGCTCCAAAATATAATATATTGCTCCTCCCACAGACTTCAGTTGAAAGTGAATGTCTACTGTCACAAATGTGCAATATAGCGCTCACAGGCTCATTTAGCAGGTGCTGAGTGCTCAGAATTCTGGTTCCTGCAATGTAAGGTCAAATTTTAAAATTCTGATCAATATAAATGTAGTAAAATTATAGTGATATTTATATTTGGGATACATTTTCCAGTTTACTCTTTTTTTTTTTTTTTTTTTTTTGGAGTGGGGGGCCAGGGTCTTGTTCTGTCACCCAGGCTGAAGTGCAGTAGTATGATCTTGGTGTTCTGCAACCTCTGCCTCCCAGGCTCAAGCAATCCTCCCACCTCCGCCTCCCAAGTAGCTGGGACTACAGGTGTATGCACAACATCCAGCCAATTTTTATACACTTTTGTAAAGACAGGGTTTCACCATGCTGCCCAGGCTGCTCTTGAACTCCTGAGTTCAATCCATCTGCCCACCCTGGGCTCCCAAAGTGCTGGGATTACAGGCATCAGCCAACGCGTCTGGCCCAATTCACTCTTGTTACCCAAAAGTCCCCTCTGTGTTGGTAATATTACTGGTCCCAATTCCCCATTTGGCCAAAATGTTTATTTGATGCATCTCTAAAGTGACATTCTATATTGTGTAGTAAGAAAGGATGCTTGCAGGTAGAACAAGGAAGCACTTAAGAATTTACTCTTGGACATTCACCTTCCTACAAACTTCAAATTAAACAATCAAATCATGTTTCTTTTTCAACTATGTTTCTGAATATAAATCTGTACATATTTGTTTGTTACAGGGAGAGACTATAGTAAGTCTAGGATAATAAGACAAAAGTTGGCCGGGCACAGTGGCTCACGCCTGTAATCCCAACACTTTGGGAGGCTGAGGCGGGAGGATCACCTGAGGTCAGGAGTTTGGGACCAGCCTGGCCAACATGGTGAAACCCCGTCTCTACTAAAAATACAAAAATTAGCCGGGTGTAGTGGCACATGCCTGTAATCCCAGCTACTCGGGAGGCTGGGGCAGGAGAATTGCTTGAGCCTGGGAGGCAGAGGTTGCGGTGAGCTGAGATCACGCCACTGCACTCCAGCCTGGGCAAGAAGAGCAAAACTCCACCTCAAAAAAACCCAAAACAACAATAACAATAATAATAATAAATAAATAAGACCAAAGCCATATGAAGGCATCATGTATCTAATATGCATGATTCAGCAGTTGGTATCTAGTCAGTATGACAGACACTGTGAGTAATGGCCACAAAATATAACATATGGATCTGCAAGAAACCTTCTAAAAGTATATAATTCATTTTGTTCCATTTATGCCCAGAGGAGAAATCTGCCAATAGATAAATTCTTGGGAAAAGGACTTGCCCAGATGCCAAATACATCCATGCAGAATCATAAAGGAGAAGAGCTAATTCACAGGGTGTCAGACATTTGTGGCAAAGAGGCCTGAAAACCAAGAGAGAAAAATAACGGCCCGCTTCATTAGCATTCTATGTTCTCAGAACTAGGTAGCATCAATTTGAAATGCATGTACTCACTTCACACTGATAGGATATACCAATTCTACCTTCTCAGATACCCTTTCTAATCACAGTCCCTGGGACTGTAGTCTAGAGTGAAATGTAATCTCCAAGTGAAAAATAAAAAATGATGGAATAAGTAATTTCCTCACTCAAGTGAAATCTGGTTTTATGATGCTCTTGCTCAAGAGACATCTGTTAGCACATCTGGATTTAATTGTTCAGATATGCACTTTGTTCCAAGAAAATGCTTCTGGTGTAACTGCCCCTGACAAAAAAAAAAAAAAAAAGTCTACTTTATTACAACAGCTTTGAGGTTCACAGTTTAACTGGCTGGAGCCAGACCATGTTGTTGGTAACTATGGCCCCTCTCCTATTTGACTTGTACAGTAACAGCAGCATTAGCTCTCTAACATTAGGGGCTGTTTTGTTCTGTTTTTAAAAGAAAGTTTGGTATAACTTAGTGCCTGTATTAGCTGTTAGGATTACAGTCTACTTAGACTTTTATAATGATTTGTTTTCAGCTTTATGTGTTCCACTGAAGAGAAGGGAACTAAAATGCTTTGGAATAGGGAGCTATTTGTGTATTTTCTGCACATGGTATATTAGATTTTCCTATCTCCTCACTGTATTACCAGAGTTCATATTGACTGAAAGAAAATATATCAACTGAATTTAGTGTGTTTATAGATTCAATATGGCCATTTTCAAATGAACTGTGTTGAAAATGACAGTGTCCATCAATCCTTTGGCCAGTAGTTTTTTGTATATGTATAAAAACACCTATTCTGTTTCTAAACTTTAACCTTGAAATACTAATACCAAGAACCTGAGGGTCATTTAAACTGAAAACTAAAGTTAAACCTTCAGGACTTCTGAAATATTAAAGTGTCATTACAAAAGCTACATTTAAAAAGAGGTTAACAAATTGTGCTTTATGATCCACTGTCTTACCCTTTCTCAAGAAAGAAATCTGAGTATTGTTATACCACAGGTTTTATACTAGCAAGAGAGCATTTTAAACAAAGGGGGAAAATGACAACAGGACAATAATAATTTATTTTTAGCTCTATGTAATGTACCAAACTCTCTACTAGATCTTCTAACTGTCTTTAACTGGCAGGAAATCTGTGATAATTTATAGTATAGTGATTAATTAATAGAGGTGAGGATTTAACAAAGAATCTTTTAAACTTATTTTCACCACATTTTAAAGACATATATTATATCTATGGCCAAATTTCTTTCTACTTACCCTTGCTGGGAAAGTTTCATTTCCTTTAACTCAATACATAAAATCTGCACCTTTGTCTGTCAGAGAAATATGCTCAGATGTGTTCTGTTTCATGGCTTGATACACCACAATAAATTGTTAATGATACATTACTGCATCAAAAAAACAGGCAAATGCAATACTTTCTTCTTTGTACATTCCAAAAAGACCCAGGAAATTTCAAAATACTCTCTCTTTAACCCTTCAGCATCAAAGATGCCACCAGTAAACACGTATGAAGCACCTGCACTACACATACAGCCCCATGCTGGATGGCGTTGGGTGTTCACTTTCATTCACAACTGACTATGCTTTACAGTCACTTCATGGTATGCAAATATTTTTACAACAAATGTGCTGTAATTTTTTACCACCTTTTTTCAAGAATGAATTACTCAAATGCATAGATATCCAAATTGATTATTGTCAGCTGACATGACACAGAAATGGCACAAAGGATCAAGAAGACTAGCTTACGTGAAAAAAGAAAATATTGAATAAAAAAATCAGCTGTCTTAATTTGGTATGAAATTGCTTTAAAATCCTGGGAACTGTGAATATTAAACTATACCAGTATTGTACATTTTACAGGTTATATTTTCTCTCTGGCTTCTGGTGTCTTAAGCTTTATGTTGGTGATTTATGATTTATATTGTCAGTCAAAGCTCTTAATAAAAATACAGCTTTATGTTATGCAGCTGGGAATAGAATTTCTTCCTTTCTCTCTCCGTAGAGTCCCACATACATATTGAATATATTCTAGTGGTAATTATAAAATACGAGGTTATAGGGCTATCACTGATTGTCATCATATGCCACTCAAACTTCTTCCTGATGGTACAATGAAGTGACTGAAAATACCTCTCTGCTGGTGCCGTCACATATCTCAGAGTGTGCTGCGCTACAACACAGAAGGCTTTCATTCTCCTCGGGATGTAGAGATACTTCCAAAGATTTTCTTTCTTTTTTTTGAGACTTCCTCAGCCCCCTGAGTAGCTGGGATCACAGGCACCTGCCACCATGTCCAGCTAATTTTTGTATTTGTAGTAGAGATGAGGTTTCACCATGTTGGCCAGGCTGGTCTCGAACTCCTGACCTCAAGTGATCCACCCACCTTGGCCTCCCAAAGTGCTGGGATTATAGGCATGAGCTACCTCACCTAGCCCATGTGTAAATTTTTTTACTAATGGGTACATGATCCAAAAAAGTTGTGAGACCCCTGGCATAAAGTTCTCTAGCAATTTCAGGAGCAGTTATCCAATATAAACCCCAGAGAGCATTCTGAAGAAACAATAACAGCTAATGTTCAAGATACTGAAATCTTCATGAACAACAAAAATGAACATTAATAGGTGAAATCAAGACAAAAAGCATGGGAAATCAAAGATCAACCAGACATGGATGCCTAGACAATACCCCCAAATTCAGGACATTACACAACTCTAAGGAACATGCACAGTATCACCTACATTGTCACCACTGCTTAAACTGATACATGGCTCCACTCTCATTACAAAGAGGTAGATGGTGATGCTTTAGTCACTTCTTTAATACAATCGTAAGCAATTTAAAGAACTGTACTTTTTTGCAAAAATTATATCCACTCTACATTTTGGTGTTATAGAACAACAGTGACAGTCAACATCTTTACTTAGCAAAATTCCTTTTGGAAATTGCACTGGTCTGTGAAATCCAAAAGTCTGGGAACTCCTGCTTTAGTACATACCTTCCACTCTAGAAAAGACCTTAGGTCTCCCTAATTTACTCTATCATTCCTGCTTTTATATGCTTATACTTATTGTCTCCGTAATCCTGGAATATCAAAGCTTCAAATCTTACCCATTTTTAAAGACTTCACGTCTTACTCATTCATTCAGTCAGTTTACTCAAATATTTACTGAATATCTAAGTGGAAGGCATCAGGCTGAGGGGAACAGAATTTGGGTGAGGAATGTGTGCCAAGATGATTAGCTCATGAACCTTACTCTCAAAGGTTTTACATACTATCCTTTTTATCAAGTCTTAAGTTACAAATTTGGTTAACAATTTCCTAATCACATCATCTGTTAATAGAATGATGAAGGGCCACACTATTTTAAATCAGAGCTGCTCTGGAAAATCTAGCACATATAGGTCACAGTACCCATTACATGATACACAGTCTCTTGGAGAAGGCTTTTTGGATGAGTCACAGCTTTAAATAGGAAAGAAGGCAATAATGAAGGTCATACCTGAAGTCAGATCAGTGAAGCAGAGCTTCCTATCTTCTTACATCTAAGAACTAATGTCAACAAATCTTCTGATTATTTTACCAAGAAAGAAAATGCTGTAATGATTAATTCTCTTTTAACTAATCTTTTTGATACCTCAAACACCAGAGTGGTTGTTTCTGAATAAAAACTTGCTTGTTTTTCTTTTTTTTTTTTTTTTATAGCCATTCTCTCTCTAATCCTTACCCTGCTGAATTTAATTGCCTTGGCAATGCCAAAACAATGTCTGATCCTAATAGGTCAGCATTGATCACTCTAAACCAATTGGTTCCTTCATTAGCAAGAAAATGAAGTAAAGCGAAAAGGCAGGTGGCTCCCGAACAGGCAGCTGGGTTTTTGCTCCTCTTACAGCGCCTCTCTCTCATTAAACAGTAGCTGATCGATCGGCAACTTGCTCAAAATCCACAAGAACTATTCATCACTTGTGACACAGACCTGTTTTAACAGGCCACACAACTCAAGATTTGGATACCCCAGGCAGTCTATTTGTGGGGCCCATCACATTCTTCCCAGACAGATGTCTCTTTGGATCACATGGAGGAAAAAATGTGGACACATCATGCAATAGACCACTTTCTGGCAAGACACCAAACAAAGTCCAGAATGGCAAATCCCAGCTCTGAGTTTCTGGAGCAAAGTCTTCCAAGAGGAGAGTCCTCCTCCCAGAGTCTAGATTCTATGGCACAGACCAGCAAGAGGAAGCAAGGAGGGTTAAAAATATCAATCATCATCAGACAGAAAGAGAGAAAAACGGAGTCAAAGAAGAAAAGGGAATGCTTTAAAAAAAGAAAAAAAAAATCACAGGAAAAACAGACTGCGTTACCTTGGTTAGTTGGGAAATGATCCAAGAAAGAGAATGGACTAGGAGTTTTGTCAGATGGCTTAGGGAACTGCCTCTCTGCTAGAATGAGTGAGTCCCTCATTCCTGGGGCAACAATCACACGACCAGAGACACAGCAACTCCTTTTTAAGCTGGGGAATACAGCCTAAGAAAAGGGGGTGCTACCCAATCTTGACTAAGCGTCTACTATACCAAAGACCTTGTTAGGCAGTTTACATAAGCTATCCCACTGAACCTGATGACAGTCTTATGAAGGAGCTAATTTTATCCTCATTTGCCATACTAAAAAGAAAAAGTTTCAGAGATATAAAGTAACCTGTCCAACAACACGTAGCAAGAAAGAAATGGCAGTCAGAATCTGAATGTAGTTCTGATTAATTCCAAAGACCGTGCCCTTTTAATGAACCTCTAAGAGGGAAACTGAAAACAAAACAAAACACCAAAAAATATAGAGTTAATTTATAAAGCACAAAAATAAAGAAAAATATAACATAAGGCAATGATTTTTAAAATTTTATTTATTTTGCTCATCCTTAAGACAATGATTTTTTTTTTTTTTTTTGAGATGGAGTCTTGTTCTATCGCTCAGGCTAGAGTGCAGTGGCATGATCTTGGCTTACTGCAACCTCCACCTCTCAGGTTCAAACAATTCTCCTGCCTCAGGCTCCTGAGTAGCTGGGATTACAGGCGCGTGCCACCATGCACAGCTAATTTTTGTATTTTTTAGTAGAGACAGGGTTTCGCCATGTTGGCTAGGCTGGTCTTGAACTCCTAACCTCAGGTGATCCGTCCACCTCAGGTGATCCGTCCGCCTTAGCCTCCCAAAGTGCTGGGATTACAGGCGTGAGCCACTATGACCAGCCAAGACAATGATTTTTAATGGGAATAAAAAGAATAAGAGGAACATGTAGCCATATTTAAGGCTATTGCTTTCATTCTGGAGGTTCTTGCAAATTGACTCTGGGTTCTGCATATTCTGAGGGGAGGAGGCAGGGCCAACATTGTCGACAAGTCTCCCTTTTGCTTGCTGCCTTTCCACAAAGCTAGCAGAGCCAGAAGAGAACTGGCCATAGAAACAACTGAAACCACAATAGTAGGTCAATTTTCTCTTAAATTTCAAATCCAGAAACAGAAAGAACTTATTCAACTTCTATGCCAGTAAGTAATTCCTTGGTCTAATAAAAAAAAAAAAATCTACGAAAAACTTCTCACTTCCTATACTAGCCACAACACAGTTACTCAATAAAAAGCACTTAGCAATATGTTGAATTTATTCACCAATCATTCACAAAACACCTTTCATGGTCAAGGTACTTGCTAAAGCCTGAATGAACACTGCTAGGGCTGTTATACCCTCTCATTACAAATACAAATTATCTGAAATTGTATTACAATGTTGACTTACAGGGGAATGTCTGCAATATTTGACAATAAAAATAACCAAAAGGTGAATTTTTGACATAATCAGATTTATCACTTATGACAGACAGATGGAGATGTGGAGCATCTCAAAATCTTCATTCTATTAAGAAGAACTGGGAGAAAGAGAAGAAAGGAGAAAGGGATATTTAATAGGGGCCTATTATCTGTTTGGGCACTATGTAATATCCTGGGGATACAAAAACGAAAAGATGAGGGCACAGTTCTCTAGGAGTTCAGAGTCTAGTAGAAAAGACAAGATGTTTGGTCATTCATCCATCCATCCACTCACCCATCTATACCTTCCTTCATTTTTCCAACCAGCAACTATTTACTGAGAACCTATGATGTGTTGTCAAGTACTATGCTGGGTACTGAGGATATAACAATAAACCAGAAGGATGTAGTCCTTGCCCTCATGAACTTAAGAGTCTAGTGGGGAAGTCAGGCCAGGAAACAGGCAACTATAATAAAATGTAGTAAGTACTACGAAAGGAGAAAGACAGGGCATTCTAATGGCATAGAATAAGTAGGCAATTGGTGCTGATGGTGGTGATAGGGTGGGGGCTGTCCTGGTAAAAAGAATGCTTCTCACAGAAAGACATATCTGGATTGGAACTTGAGGGATAAAAAGAAGTTAGAAAGACAAGCAAGGAGAAGAGAAACAGAAGGGAGAAGTTTTTTGTGGCAAGAAAGAACAATATGTAGCAATATCCAGAGACAAGTCAGGGCATGCCAGAGGGGCTAAAAAGAAATTTTACAGATGCATCATACAGTGGTAGCCAGCCTCCAAAATGGCACCCAATGGTTGTGTTCTGTTATTCATATCTTTATGTCGTTCCTTCTCATACTAATATCCTATTGGTTACAAAGGTCAGTCCCAAAATGACAATGTCTGACTTTCAAGTCTAGGGGGGAAAAAAAAAAACATGGCAGCTGCTGCTTTGCTTTCTCTTAGATCACTTTCTCTGGAGGATGGCAGCCACCATGCTGTAGGGACACTCAAGCAGCCCTCTATATAGGAAAATGTGGAAAATCTGCCAACGGCCAGTGTCAACTTTCCAACCATGCAAATGGGCCACCTTGAAAAATGAATCTCTCAATCCTATTCATAACTTCAGATGACTATAGCCTTGGCTGACATCTTGACTTTAATCCTATAAGAGACTGTGTTGTAGGTATGAGCTGACAGATGATATAACCAAAAAAGAGAGGGGAAAAAAAAAAGAAAAAAGAGACTGTGATGATCTGAATATTTATTTCCCACCCCCAAAGTTCATATGTTGAAATTCTAACCCCAATGGACAGAATTAGGAGGTGGGGGCTTTGGGGAGGTGATTAGGTCATGAGTGAGGAGCCCTCATGAATGAGATTAGTTCCCTTATAAAAGAGGCCAGAGAGCCAGGTGTGGTGGTTCACACCCATAATCCTAATACTTTGGGAGGTTGAGGTGGGAGGATTACTTGAGCCCCAAAGTTAGAGACCAGCCTGAACAACATAGTGGGACCCTGCCTCTACAAAAAAAAAATTTTTTTAATTAACAGGGCATGTTGGTTTGCACCTATAGTCCCAGCTACTCAGGAGGCTGAGGTGGGAGGATTGCTTAAACTTGGGAGGTTAAAGGCTGCAATGAGCCATGATCATACCAGCTTGTCTCAAAAAAAGAAAAAAAGGCCAGAGAAAGCTTTTTTGTCCCTTCTGTCATGTGAGGCCACTGCTAGAAAGCGCCACCTATAAATGAGTAAATGGCCCTCACCAGATGCCAAAATTGTTGGCACCTTGATCTTGGACTTCTCAGCCTCCAGAACTGTGAGAAATAAATTTCTGCTGTTTATAAGCTACCCAGTTAATAGTATTTGTTAGTAACATAAGACAGCGACCTCAAGCCAGAACCACTCAGCTAAACTACTCTCAAATTCCTAATCCCTAGAAACTGTGAGATAATAAATGTTTACTGTTTTTTTTTTTTTGTCTTTTTGAGACAGAGTCTCGGTCTGTCGCCCAGGCTGGAGTGCAGCGGTGTGATCTCGGCTCACTGCAACCTCTGCCTCCCGGGTTCAAGCAATTCTCCTGCCTCAGCCTCTCGAGTAGCTGGGATTACAGGCATGTGCCATCAAGCCCAGCTAACTTTTTGTATTTTTAGTAGAGATGGGGTTTCACCATGTTAGCCAGGATGGTCTCGATCTCCTGACCTCGTGATTCGCCCGCCTCGGCCTCCCAAAGTGTTGGGATTATAAGCATGAGCCACCGCACCTGGCCTTGTTTTAAGTCACTATGTTTGGGGTGATCTGTTACACAGCAATATATAACTAATACACACAGCATTTAAGATGAGAGGAAGGTGACTGAGGTAAGAAGTTAAAAAGACAGGGCCAGATCAAGTAAAAATTTTAATGAAATGATATTAGCCTTTATCATGAAAACAATGGAAGTCACTGGAGGTTTTAAAAGAGGGAAATGACAGTCAGAGCTACATTTAGCAAGAATATCTGGCTACATTGTTCTTGTTTGGGAACTGAACAGAAGAAAGATAAAACCAAAACTAAAAAGCTTAGTTAGTGTACTGAATGTGAACCTACTATGTCTCTAAGATTCCCTCAGCCTCCACCAACTTTCTCTTTAACATATACTGAGTCACCCTTCTACCTGTGAACTTGGATAAAATGTCATACTGCTTTCTGAACAGTTGCCAAGCGGTTGGAGGAAGTCAATGGGAAACAAAAAATTAGGGCGAAGCCGTGTCTGAACAACCTGCTGTGTGTCTTGCCATGACCAGCAAGGTAAGGTGCTATATCATACTTTTCCCTCCTTGATTTTCCTTTATCCTTTACCCTTGCCACTTTGGGCTGGAAGTTACTAAAAAAATGTCAGCACTTTAATTCTTCCTTCAGGCTCTACATCCTACAGCTGTTAATGCCTACTGCAGTAGTCACTGCCCACAGTTACCTATTTAGAGGTAGAAATGTGGTTAATCTAAATTAAGATGAGCTGTAAGTGTAAAATACACACTGGATTTTGAAGACTAGTATTTAAAAGAAAATTTTAAACACGCCGCTTTTTATGTTGATTACATGTTGAATTGATACTTTGAATATATTGTTTAAATAAAATACATTATTAATTTCACTTGATTCTTTTTTTCTTTTTCTTTTTTTTTTTTTTTTTTTTTTGAGACAAGGTCTCACTCTGTCGTCCAGCCTGGAGTGTAGTGGCGCAATCTCGGCTCACTGCAACCTCTGCCTCCTGGGTTCAAGTGATTCTCAGGCCTCAGCTTCCCAAGTAGCAGGGATTACAGGTGTGCACCACCCCACCTGGCTAATTTTTGTATTTTTAGTAGAGACGGGGTTTGGCCATGTTGGCCAGGCTGGTCTTGAACTCCTGGCTTCAAGTGATTTGTCTGCCTTGGCCTCCCAAAGTGCTGGGATTACAGGTGTGAGCCACTGCACCGTCTCACTTGCTTCTTTTTATCTTTTTTAACGTAGCTACTAGAAAATTTAAAATAACATAATATTTCTATTGGACAGCACTGTTCCAGAGGACCTAGAATAAGACAGTACACAAGTTAAGCAAGAAAAGGGCAATTAGTTATTGCAATGGAGATGTAGAAAAGAAGACTGGAAAAGAATTTAAGGACAAACCATTGCCAGATAGAAATGACTGGCTGTGGAAGAGGGGAGGAATGAAAGATGACGCCCAGCTTTGTGGATGGGGCAACTCATTGAGATGAGAACTTCAAAAGAAGAACATGTTGGAAGGTAGGATTAATTACCTTGAGGCATTCTGTTGTGAATTTCAGGTGCCTGTGCATCACTCTAGTGAAGCTATGCAGTGGCCATACTTCAGCGTGCTATTTGCAAGCACAGGAGAGAGAACTAGGCAGGAGATGAAGACGTGTTATTAACAGATGCCATGTGAGCCCATGAAATTGCTAAGAAAGAGTGTGCAGAGTGAGAAAAGTGGAAGACACAAACAAACACATTAAGAATATCATTCTAGATTGTGATAGGTGTTATACAGAAAATAAAGCAGAATCACAAGACAGTGATAGATAGGGCTGAGGGGTTAGTTAAGTTTGGGGATAAATGAGATGGGAGTAAGGAAGTATACTGGACAAACAAAGCATTCTTGTGGAGGAAACGTCAAGTGCAAATGCAGAGAGTTATAAATAGCCTGACAGGTTTACCGAAGGAGCAGGAGTGCGGTACTATTGGAATATATAATAGAGTAGAAGGAATGGAGCAGGAGAAACTGCATGGGCACAGAGTGGGCAGATCATGAAAGGCTCTGCATTTTAAGCTGTGGATCTTGGACTTTATGCCATAGGTGAAGAGGAGCCCTGAGAAGTTTTAGTAGAGGAGTGACATGACTTCGTTCGATTTTTACAACTTTCATCAAGATACATGTTCCTAACTACAAGGAGCCCCACCTACTTGGTTCTGACATATCACTGGGTTCTATGAAGCACAATTTTAAAAACACTATATTAAATGACTTCTCTAGGCCTTTAAACCTAAACAGTCTATGGTTAAAAGATCAGTGAGAGAAATATAAAATTGTACTTGTGCCAGGTTCACAAGTCTCTCTTTCTTCTCTGTCCCAATCCTCCCCTCATTCACACTCAGATAACTGTGTGCATGGCAAGCCTGAATGTTAGGAATATAAGGCCATACCAAGGAATCAATGTCACATATTCAGACAAAATACATGGGAAGGAGGAAGTAAATACCCTCTTGAGGGCTGTCATTGAACCATCCAAACTAAAAAGAAACAATACAAGTCACAGCCTGATTATTCTGCAGTGGCCTCATCCAGGCCCTTTCGCCATCCTCTGTCTACCTGCTCACTGGCTATTAATGATTTCATTGCCCACTCACCCTCCCTTCATAGGCACACAGGTCCAGAAAAGAAGGAAACCCCCAAAGAAGTTAGCTATGACAACAAAGGAGAAGAAAATTAGCTAATGGCTGAAATAGAGTTTAACATTATCTGTTTATTTCAACTTTACTTCATCAAAGCACTTACCATTTTTTCCTAATTTATTCTTATACCCATTTAAACATATAATTATTTAATTTAATTTAATTTGTGGCCAGAAGAAGTGACTTGTGGAGATATACACTCCCTGCCCTCAGTTCAGAGCCTTTTGCCATCACACTACTTTCATTCCATCATGGGTTTTCTAAGATGAAATGTTTCATAACACTAAGAGAGAGAAACATTTGTTTTTAGTAGGAAAAGGTTTGTTTTTAAAATAAATGGTGTTCAGGAATAGCTTTCACCAGTGTTCACAGTCCTTATGATATAATAGCAGGTCCTATGGTGAGAAAAATTTGCAAACACTTTGTAAAAACACTGAGAAATGACTGTGTCTCAACAGCCAAATGGGTTTCTGAACAAAAACTAAATTAAATCCATTATAAAAAGCTTTTCAATGGACTACATCTAAATCCCACTGATTTCTTAATCTTTCTAGACTTTAATATAATGCACCCAATACTACCTAGATTTAGAATATTTAGGATATCTGGAAGTAAATCTCTAAATCTTAAAATTGTCTACTAGATTAACTACAAATACTACACACATATAATCACATGAAAGGCAACAGTGCAAGTGAAAGAACGCTGGACTTGGGAGCATAAAGACTTGTTTCTGCTATGTTTTCTACTCATTGTATGAATTGCAGAAGCTTACTTAAACTTTGTGTCAATAAAATGAGTCAATAAAATGTCATTAAAATGAGGTTACCAGTAACTAATAAATAATTTAAATTCCCTATATAGGTTCACCAACCACCCCAGATGCGTTTGGTAATCTATGGCAGAGACTGTGAGTTGCCTATCCAAGAATCCATCTATTCTCTTTTTCCTAAGTAAAACAACCTAGATTTTTTTTTAAGCTGAACCCATAGCTGCCTAGAATAAAGGCTGTATTTCCCAAAGTCCTTTGCAGCTAGGAGTAGCCATCTGACTATGTTCTGATCTTTTCTTTCTTTCTTTGTGGTTTTTATTTTTTTCTTGAGACAGAATTTCACTCTTGTTGCCCAGGCTGGAGTGCAACGGCGCAGTCTCAGCTCACCACAACCTCCGCCTCCCGGGTTCAAGCGATTCTCCAGCCTCAGCCTGCAGAGTAGCTGGGATTATGGGCATGTGCCACCATGCCCAGCTAATTTTTTTTTTTTTTTGTATTTTTAGTAGAGACGGGGTTTCTCTATGTTGGTCATGCTGGTCTTGAACTCCTGACCTCAGGTGATCCGCCCGCCTCGGCCTCCCAAAGTGCTGGGATTACAGGTGTGAGCCACTGTGCCTGGCCTTGTTCTGATCTTTTCACTATTTTTGGCTTTCCTGTCACTCTTCCTTTCCAAGGCATACCTCTGTACCTGTGTTCCTGACCCCATCGGGTCCTGTTTCCTTCACCAGTTCCTTCTTCTACCTGTCCCATCAGCTATTTCTTCTCTGTAGTATCTTTAATTGCTCTCTCGCTGCTAGCCACTTCCTCTCAGCCCAGATCCTTAAGCAACACACCTGTTTTAAGTAATCAGCCCCTCTTATCTCCCCTTTCTTATCAAACTTCTAGAGCCCATAGTTTATATACCCACGTTCCACTTTCTCATAGGCTTAGTGTCTCAATCTATTCCTTTCTCCTTTGCTCTACTGAAACTAATCTGAAAAATCACTCAATGTCCTCTAAGGGCCAAACCCCATGGCCTCTTTTCAGTCTTTACCCCATTTGACAGCCTTACAGGTATCTAGCATGATTAACCACCCTTTCTCCCCAAAAGCCTTCTTTCCTCCGCCTTTTGTAACATCTTCCCTAGGTTCTTCTAATGCCTCTCTGACCAATCCTTCTCAGGTTCTTTTGCACCCTTATCCTTTTTCATTCACTCCAATCATCACTCCCTAGGATACCAGCCCAGATTCCCTCTTGTCTCAGCAAATACACAATCCAAGGTAGTTTAGTCTCTCTCAGAGCATCAACTACTTTTAAACGTTTATTTGGCTTTCTGATTACAAAAGTATTCATGCTCACTGTAACAACTTTAAAATAATTTTTTAAAAGAATTTATTTTGTGCCTGGTCTAGGTTAGGAATTCTCATGTGTACTATTTATTTAAGTTTCATCATAATCCTATGAGATAAACATCTCCTATTCCTTCTGCTACAGTGCTCCTTCCCCCACTTTAAACCAGGCTAATTACTTCAGGCCAGGTCATGGCTCAAGAGTCTTTTCCTTCCCTGACCTTCTTTCCAGATTAGGACATCATATTACTCTCTGTCATAGCACCCTGTTCTTTCCTTCCATAATATGTATCACAATTGGTATTTGATATGGTCTGGCTCTGTGTCCTCACCCAAATCTCATCTCGAATTGTAATCCCCACATGTCAAGGGAGGGACCTGGTGGGAGGTGACTGGGTCATGGGGACTGTTTCCCCATGCTGTTCTCATGATAGTGAGGGAGTTCTCACGAGAGATGATGGTTTAAGTGTGGCACTTCCTTGCTCTTCCTCTTCTTCTCTCTCCTGCCACCATGTAAAATGTGCCTTGCTTCCTCTTTGCCTTCTGCCATAATTGTAAGTTTCCTGAGGCCTCCCCAGCCATGCAGAACTGTGAGTCAATGTTAAACCTCTTTCCTTTATAAATTATCCAGTCTCAGGTAGTATCTTTATATCAGTGTGAAAATGGACTAATACAGTATGTATACACCTTTTGTTTACTATGTTTGCCTCCAGGCTCTATAATGGCTCAAACAGTCTTGCTGAAGGATCCTTTGAAATTAAAATTTCCCAAAGGAGGAACAGAATCATTGTTGTATAAAAGTGAAATGATCAACCCTGGTAAAGAGACAAGAAGTAGAGACCTGGAGAATATTTCCATGTTGCTTAATCTATTGTCTAGGTTCCAGGATAGAGCTATTATGAATTATTCACAAAAAGGCAGTATGTATAGTCAAATGGTTAAGAAAACAGGCTTTGGAGTGAGTGACCTGGGTTCAAGTTCCAGCTCTGCCACTGATTTATCGTAGGACTATGGACAAGGATTCTTCATTGTAAAATGAAGACAAAAGTTAGCATTAAATGAGAATAATTCATTGTAACATACATAGCAGCTTAATGCCTGACACCTAGTAAGTGTTCAACAAATGTTAACTATACATACTCTACTCTTTAAAAGAATCCTAAGGAAGACTACAAGTGGCTTTCTATATTGGTTCCAATATATTTGAAATTATAACCAGAAGATGTTCTTTAAAATTGCTAATATAATCAATACACAAAATCAATTGTATTTCTATAAATGAACAATGAAAAAATGAAAATAAAATTAAGAAAACAATTTCATTTACAATAGCATCAAAAAGAATAAAATATTTAAAATATATTTAGCAAATATGCAAGACTAGTACATTGAAAACTATAAAGTATTGTTGAAAGAAATTTTAAAAGTCCTAAATAAATGGAAAGACATTCTGTGTTCATGGATTAAAAGATTTAATATGTTAAGGTGACGATACTTCTCAAAGCGATCCATAGATTCAATGCAATCCTTTTCAAAATCCCAACACACTTATTTGTAGAAATTGACAACCTGATCCTAAAATTCATATGGAAAGAACCCAGAATAGCCAAAACAATCCCCCATCCCCAAAAGAGTTAGAAGAATCACATTTCCTGATTTTAAAACTTATGACAGACCACAGTAATCAAGATAGTGTAACACTGGCATAAGGGTAGACATATAAACCAACAGAATAAAATTGAGAGCACAGAAATAAACCCATACATCTATGGCCAACTGATTTTTGACAAGGCTGCCAAGACAATTCAAAGGGGAAAATGTGCCTGGGACAACTGGATGTCCAATACAAAAGAATGAATTTAGACTCTTGCCTCACACTGTATATAAAAAGTAACTAAAAATGGATCAAAGACCTAAACATAAGAGTCAAAACTATAATACTTTTAGAAGAAAATAGAGGTGTATGTTATCATAACCTTAGATTAGGCAACAATTTCTTAGCAATGAAACCTAAATCAGCAAGACTTGGTGGCTCATGCCTATAATACCTGCACTTTGGAAGGCCAAGGAGGGAGGATTGCTTGAGCTCAGGAGTTCGAGACCAGAGTGGGCACCATAGTGAGACTCCATCTCCACTAAAATTAGAAAAAAAAATTAGCTGGACTTTGGTGGTGTGCACCTGTCATCCCAGCTACTCAGCTGGTTAAGGTGGGAGAATTGCTTAAGCCTGGGACACAGAGGCTGCAGTGAGCTATCATTGCACTCCAGCCTGGGTGATAGAGTGAAACCCTGTCCAAAGAGAGGAGAGGGGAGGGAAGGGGAGGGGAAGGGAGGGGAGAAGAAGGAAAGAAAAAAGAAAAGAAGAGAAGAGAAGAAAAGGAAAGGAAAACCTAAATCACAAGCAACCAAAGAAAAAATAAATTGGACTTCATCAAAATTTAAAACTTTTGTGCTTCAAAGGACATTATCAAGAAAGCAAAAAGACAACCCACAAAAGGAGAGACAATATTTCCCCACAAAATTAAATCATATATCTGATAGGGTTCTGGTAATTATATACATATGTATATCTTAAAACTCAACAATTTTAAAAAATCCAATTAAACAATGGGCATATAAACAAAAACCAACTCAATTTAAAAAGGCATAAAGAATCTGGATAAGACGTTTTCCAAATAAAACCCTGTAAATCCCCAATAAGCATATGAAAAGACACTCAATGTTATTAGCCATCAGGTAAATGCAAATGAAAACCACAACTGATATACCCACAAGGATGGCTATAATCAAAAATGTCTGATAATGACAATGAGTGTTGATGAGAATGTTGAGAAATTAGAACCATTTCATACTACTAGCCGGAATGTAAAATGGTACAGTTTCTATGGAAAACAGTCTGGCAGATCGTCAAAAAGTTAAAGACAGAATTTCCATATGACCCAGCAATTCTACTCCTAGTTATATACTCAAGGGATCTGAAAACATATGTCCATACAAGAACATGTACATAAATGTGTATAGCAGCATTATTCACAGCAGCCAAAAGACTAAAATGGCCCAAATATCCATCAACTGATGAATGGATAAGTAAAATACTGTATATTCATACAATGGAACATTATTCAGCCATAAATAGAAATGAAGTACTGATATATGCTATAACACA
The DNA here is from genome assembly GCF_000001405.40 of Homo sapiens. Lineage (NCBI taxonomy): Eukaryota > Metazoa > Chordata > Mammalia > Primates > Hominidae > Homo > Homo sapiens. The sequence goes on from NC_000006.12 coordinate 38,403,935, forward strand.
GATGAACCTTGAGAGAATTATATGAAGTAAAAGAAGCCAGACACAAAAGGCCACATATTGTATGATTCCATTTACATGAAATGTCCAGAATACACAAATCCATAAAGACATAAAGCAGATTAGTGGTGGCCAGGGGATGGGGAGAGAAGGGATTGGGAAGTGACTGCTTATGGATACTGAGTTTCTTTTTAGGGTGATAAAAAATGTTAGTGGTGATGGATGCACAACCTTCTGAATACACTAAAGACCACTTAATTGTACACCTTAAAATGGTGAATTTATGGCATATTAACTATATCTCAATTTTTAAAATTCCAAAATAAGCCGCTAATATAAATCCATTCCTTTAGCACACTAGCCCATTTTCTTTCCTCAGCAGACTTAGAGAACAAGTACTCTTCATTTACCATAGCATGATTTTGTGAGTCTTTAATATCTTCAAACAGTAGTAGACCCAGTTAGGTAACCTTACTTGATACAGAAGTAGAATAGACAAATTTGCATCTTATCTGGCACAGTTCCAAAACAGAGGATGCATTCATTACCGACAGCACAGCTAGGACAATAGAAGAATCACACATTTGAAAAGTGAAAGCTTCCGCCCAGAGCAAGTCAATAAAAAAAAACAAAACCCCAAACTACTAACTCTTCATCCCTGAGCCTGCCTGGCATGCATGGGATCTCATTCTGCCAAAAACCAAATTCAAAACAAATATCAAGATTCTAGGGAGGGCAAAGTTCAAACAAGCAAAAGCATTTCTAGTTGTTACTGCAGATAAGGGATAAACTGATGTGTTTCATTCTGGGCTTGTTATTATCAAATTGACCCTGGCCAGCAGAGGATAAAATTAGGATGGTTTCACTCCAGGTAAAAAGGTAGAGCTCAGTTCCAGAGTGGCCCGCACTTGAAATACTTTCTACTTCAATTAATTCTGTCAGAAAAGAGACAAATTCAGAAATCTCTTCAGGTTAGAGCCCTAGCCCTTTTCAGTGTTGTAAAATTCATACTGGGAAGAGGCTGAGGTAGGAAATATTACTGTCATCACTGAGGCTTTCAGTGCTTATTGTCAATCGTTATGAAACGATCTTGTCTGATTCATACCTCTAAACAATCAGAAGAAATCAAAGTAACAATGTAAGAGTTTCAGGAACAAATACAAAACTTGCCTGATGGTTGTAGCTTTGAGTTGTGCAATTCTAGGAATGTACCATGATCTCTGGCTTCTATCCAGAATGCTAAATAGACAATCTATCTGAGGAAGGGCCTGATCCCTCATACCTGGCCTGGGCAGGTCTGTGACTACATGTGTATCACTCGCTTTGAACCTGATACCCTATAAGACAAGGGAAGAAAATCTGGAAACTGGCAAAACAGTTAAAAAAAAAATTGGACAGTCATTGTAGGGCTCCTGCCAACTTCTGGTTTCTTGCCATAGAGAGTAATGATTCCTGCCAGTCACTTAGAAAAAGAATAGCTTCTAGAAAAGCTAAATTGCTATGACCTGAAAGCAGCAACTCTGCATCAGCACATAAAAACTTATAGGAAGTTGGAAGTCTGAAAAATCAGATTCATATTCAGAAATTTAATCTCTCCTCCAATACTGAAGCTATAATGAGAAATAAGCTCCTGCAAAAACACATATTAATCATTTTATTGGTTCTGTTGTTAAAAAAAAAAACAAACAATAACACCCAGCTAGTGTTACATTCTCAGTGCAAATGATATAAGGTTTTGTGATGGCAAAACCTTCAAATTATTTTATCCATATTTGTTCTATAACTTTTTAATACTAAATATTCCCAAATAAATAGAAGTCAATGGACTCAGGAAAGCAGCCATAAAGCCTATTTGAGTTTCCATACTGATCGCAGATCTTCTAGTGTTGGTCTAAATATTCTAGTGATAAACAATTCAGCACCTAGAATAATTCTCCATGTCAGCTGTGCACAACAGTTACAAATGAAATTTTGAAAATGTCTTTGGGGGAATAAAAGCTTTGTGAAGATGCTGGGGGAGGGGCAGTGAAATGTGGGTGCTTCAGAAATCAACAACAGTGGACAGGATGTTAATGAGCTATGACGTCAGCAGAGACATGTATTGGTAAGCTACTATTCAAGTGGGCTCAACTTTAGGCCTCTCAACCCAAAACCTGAGCTTAGATCCAACACACATTCATAGGTCTTTAGGTAAAAGGCAAGGGAAGATAAGGAAAGAAATTCTTCACAACTCTGTAGGACAGGGACCTAGCACCTTCTTATAAATCTTTGGCTCCTACACAAATCTAACATTTTAGAGTCCCAGAAAAGAGTAACCATAAGGAGCATCAGCATAGGCCAAAGGCAAAATTCTTTGCCAAGCTCTAAGTGCTGTTGAGATTTTGATCTAAAGCCCGAGAATTGATTGTGTGTGTGTTTTTTTAATCTCCAAATTCTACTGACTATCAGCAAGTTGAAGCAAGCCCCACATCACACTGTAGAGGAATATACATACATTACCATTCCATTAAATTTCTTGTCAGAATTGGTACTTGGAAAAGACCTCTTAGATTAGGGAATACATTTTCATTTACAGTAAGGAGTTGGCATTCCCAATTCCCAGTGGTAGTACTAGAAGAATTGGAAAAATAATTTTCTGATACTCTTACTCTCAAAAACAATGTTAGAAGATTAAAAGACTAGTCCTGGATATGCAATCTTAATAAGAAGAATCACATTGGGGAAACTAAATTTCTACAGGTATCGTGTCATCTGAAATCAATAATCACCTTGGTGAGGAAGGTAGGACAAAGTACTTTCTTATTATGATATTTTAATGGGGATCACACTTTGCTGCCCAGGCTGGAGTGCAGTGCCTATTCACAGACACGACCACAGTGCACTGCCGCCTCAAACTCCTGGGCTCTAGCAATCCTCCTGCCTCAGCCTCCTGAGTAGCTGGGACTATAAGCGAGTGCCACTATGCCTGGCTATGATTATCACCATGCTCAAGGAAGCTCAATGACCAGTCTGAGCAGGATTCACATGGTAAGTAGCAGAACCAGGTCTGGAAGTGAAGTCAGAGTTCAAATTCCTTGTTCTGTTTCCACTACCTGGCTGTCTTTTGTAAGGAGAATGGGAGGCAGAAATGGGAGTGAACAAGAAGAAAGCAGAATAAAAATGTATGTTGCACCTGAGTATTTCTCAAATAGATTTTAATTTTATTTTCCTACAGGTTTGGAAAAGTATTTGATGACATCTTAACTGTTTAAACTTTTATTTTCCTTTTGAATCCGACTTGCAACACATCTGTTGATCACATATAAAATAAAATTGCCAGAGATTAAGCAATGAGTTGTTTTCAATAAATTCTAACTTTTGTTCCCAGTCCAATTCAAATGGCAACTTTCAGAATGAGGCCAAATTGAAAGATCATTTCAGAGCAATAAAAGAGGAAGTTCTTTCAGTAGGGAATCACTTTTGAGTTCTAGTTCTTTGCAATGTTATATTTAAGACCAATTACTTATCCAGTATGCCTGTGTACCAGCCTGGCTATGCCCGGATCAGGACGAGAAGCAGACCAGCCACAGTTCTTCCTGTGTGCAACCTGCAGCAGCCCCTTGCAGAGTCTAGCTGGGGTTTTGAAGAATTCTAGTCATGCATTTAATAAAAGTCATTTTCCCAATGTGCTAGACTTCAGTTCTAACTTGGAAAAAGGGAGCTAAGTTGGGTAAAGTTAAATGTGGGGAAATATGCAGGACAAAATCAGCTAAGTGACTGCTTTCAACAAAAACCAAAAACTATTTCATTTTCCATGGGTATTTTCACAATGTTTTCCTATGTTCATGACTATAAAGATGATCAATTGTAAATCCTGAAGTAGCAATGGAAATAATTATCAAAACTGGATTCAATTAGAAGACTAACAAAATCCATCATGCTTGCCTTTCCATCCAGATAAATTCAAGAATCCCTGCATTCAAGGTCCTCAATGGAACAACTCTGATGTATAATCAGATCAAAGGAAAGCTGTTTTTGCTTTCTTTTTGGAGATAATTTATTTTTCCTAAAAAAGGAATCCCAATGAAACAGCTGATACATAACCTAAAATTAGGCCACTTTACTTACTAACACTTGAAGGACACGATTTAAAATCATGGCACTGGCAAAGCGTGGTGGCTCATGCCTGTAATCTCAGCACTTTGAGAGGCCGAGGCAAGAGGATCACATGAGGCCAGGAGTTCGAGACCAGCCTGGGCAACACAGTGAGACCCCCATCTCAAAAGAAAATAGAAAAATTAGTTAGGTGTAGTGACATGCACCTGCAGTCCCAGTTTCTTGGGAGGCTGAGGCAGGGGGATCACTTGAGCCCAGGAGTTCAAGTCTGCAGTGAGCTATAATCGTGACACTGCACTCCAGCAACAGAGCAAGACCCTGTCTCTAAACAAAACAAAACAAAACCAAAAAAACAGTTCTCATATTCTCTTACTTCCTTTGCCTACTATTCTAATGCTTAAAGGTTAAATACATTGAAGAGAATCCAAAAAGAATCCAAAGCTTTGTGATCTGGATAGGGGATGAACCCACCAATGTTTGTTTTTCCTTTGCTCGGGTTGAAATAATTCCAAGACTGCCACATTGACACCTTAGCCTTACATCATGAGATATAGTTGTTAAGGTCACTATATTTGCATGTTGGCTTAACAAGAAAAATCCCTGAAAAACCACTGAACATACAAACTATAAATACTCCAAAGTAAACAGTTGCTGTGTAGAATCAACAAAAAAAGAATATATGCAAAGAGGGAACATCTTTTATTATTTCCTAAGTCTTACCAACAACAGGCTTCCAAATTAATTTTGTCTTTACCCCTCTTTGTCCGAAAAACTAAGGCTAAAAGCAGTAGCATTTCTACCATCCCTCCCTCACTCAGTCCATTCTCAGGAAACACAGAGCCCAAAGGAAGTATCCAAAGGAAAATGATACGAAATTCTAATGCTTAGGTACTACTTCAGGTACCAGTGCTATAGAAAAAGACCAAAGAGAAATAATTGGTGGACAGGCGCAGTGACTCATGCCTGTCATCCCAGCACTTTGGGAGGCCGAGGCAGGTGGATCACTTGAGGCCAGGAGTTCGAGCCCAGCCAGGCCAACATGGTGAAACCCTGTCTTCACTAAAAATACAAAAACTAGCCAGGCATGATGGCAGGTGCCTGTGATCCCAGGTACTTGGGAGGCGGAGGCAGGAGAATCGCTTGAACTAGGGAGGTGGAGGTTGCAGTGAGCTGACATCACATCACTGCACTCCAGCCTGGGTGACAGAGACAGACTCCATCTCAAAACAAAACAAAACCCAAGACAAATAATTGGTGGCCTACAACATAATGTGAATTAACTTAATTCCTTAAGCAAGCTTAATCAGCATACTTTTCTGAGATATTCTATAAGGGCTTAATAAGTGTTCATTAGTTTTGAAATGGGAGAAAAGATGTAAGATAGAGTACCCTGTAGTTGTTTTTTAAATACTTATTTTTAATCTATATTTCTAAAATTCAGGAAAACAGATGTTCATAAACTCCTGTTTACTGATTAAGAATTTCTTGAAAAGGCTATCTCTAAAATATGTGATCTGGCTGAGCATGGTGGCTCACGCCTGTAATTCCAGCACTTTGGGAGGCCGAGGTGGGCAGATCACCAGGTCAGGAGATTGAGACCATCCTGGCTAACACAGTGAAACCCTGTCTCTACTAAAAATAAAAAAAATTAGCCAAGTATGGTGGTCCGTGCCTGTAGTTCCAGCTACTTGGGAGGCTAAGGCAGGAGAATCTCTTGAACCCAGGAGGTAAAGGTTGCAGTGAGCCGAGATCATGCCACTGCACTCCAGCCTGGGCAACAGAGCAAGACTCTGTATCAAAAAATAAATAAATAAATAATAATAAAATAAATAAAATATGTGAGCTTATGGGTGGTTGTACAAGTGTGTGATTTCCTGAGTATAAAACCAAAAACAAGGCATAATTCGAACTAATTTATCCAGTCAGTTATCTCCCTAGCATGAACCCAATTCTGTAATCATTTTCTAGAGCTAAACCGTTATATTTTCTGGGCTCTAACACATCAATGAGTTTTTATTTTAAAAAAAGAAATCATTCCACTTGCTCAAAGAAATTAATGACTTAAAGAATATCAAGAGTTTTTATTTGAATATGTTTACATAGTTGATAAAATCCAAAACATCTATCTCTTATATCTTAGAATTAGAAACAAAAATCTAGTTGTCCAGGCATGGTGGCTCACACCTATAATCCCAGCACTTTGGGAGGCTGAGGCGGGAGGATCACTTGAGTCTAGTAATCACTTGAGACCACCCTGGGCAACTGTGTGAGACCCCCACATCTACAAAAAGTTTAAAAATTAGCCAGGCATGGTAGCATGCACCTGTAGTCTCAGCTACCTGGGAGGCTGAGGGGAGGATCACTTGAGCCCAGGAGGCTGGGGCTGCAGTGAGCCGTGACCACACTACTGCACTCAAGCTTGGGTAACCAAGTGAGACCTTATCTCAAAACAAACAAACAAAAAAAAGAATAAAAAATAATGTTAATGGAATAATCTCAAAAACTTAGCATTTTTTATTCCATGAAACTGAAGAACTGTGCTATGGAAGATTTTTTAAATGAACAGCTCTAAAATAACTTTCATTGATAAGAAAACATGAAAATATTACCTGGTCATGTAACACCTATGAATTAAACATCTTCAGTGAGGAAGTTCCTTAGAGAATGATACTGAATGACTAACTTAACAATGCAACAGTGTGCAATGTCATGTCACGAGGGCCGGGTACAGTGGCTCACACCTATAATCCCAACACTTTGGGAGGCTGAGGTGGGAGGATCACTTGAGCCTGGGAGTTCAAGACCAGCCTGGGTAACATAGTGAGACCCTGTCTCTATAAAAAATAATTTAAAAAAACAAGAAAATATCATGTCATGAATTCACATATTATTCATGCAAGTGGTTCCCTGCATGTATCTCCAGTCCAACCTCTCTCTCTTGTGACCTCCTGTCCCACATTCTGATTGCTGACCAGGTAGTTCTACTTGAATATCCTTACCAACTCTCCATACTCAACCTGGCCCAAACTGAGGGGCAACATGCATAAAAAAGAACATGGCATGAAAGTAGACTTGCACGCCGTGTTCTTGGAGAGGAAGACAAGATCAGAGGATGCCACTACTCTCTAATTCTAATTAATAACATCTCAGTAAGAATACCATAACCCATTCCCCATCAAAATTAGATAAGTTGATTATAAGGCTAATTTAGAAGAGCAATCATGCAAGAATAGCCAAGAAAACCCTGAAAAAGAAGAGCAGATATTAAAACATGTTATAAAGCCTCTATAAATAAAATAATGTAGTATTGGCACATGAATCGACTGCTCAGTGGTGTGGAGTAGAAAACCCAAGATATAGAGCCAAACTACATTTGAAATTGTATGTTTATTATTTAACAGAGGCAACAACGCAAATCAGGGATGGGCTTTTTAATAAGTATTGTTGGGTTAACCAGATGGCCATACGGAAAAAGATAAAATCGGATACATTCTTTCTCAATGTGCTTTAGTTCCAAAGCAAACAAACAAAAAATCAGATCCATCTTCATACTGTACATGAGGATAAATTCCAAATGAATCAAAGACTTAAATATAAAAAATGAAAAAATATTAAGCATAAAAAAAATGCCAGGTGTAGTGACTCACACCAGTAATCCCAGCACTTTCGGAGGCCAAGGCGGGCAGATTACTTGAGCTGAGGAGTTTGAGACCAGCCTGGGCAACATGGCAATACCCCGTCTCTATAAAAAACATTAAAAGTCAGCCAGACACGGTGGCGTGCACCTGTAATCCAAGCCACTCAGGAGGCTGAAGTGGGAAGATCGATAGAACCCAGGAGGCAGAGGTTACAATGAGCCAAGATTGTGTCATTTGGGCAACAGGGCAAGACTCTGCCTCTGCCTATATATATATATGTGTACACACATACACACACATATACACACACACATACATATATATGTACACACACATATATATAAAATAAAATAATTTTAAAATGGGTCAATTCCTCTATATTCTGAAAGTAGAGAAACATTTCCTATGTGACTCATCATCCAGATGCAAAAAGGAAAAAGACTGATCAATCTGACTACATAAAAAACAAAATTCTACATACTAAAAACAAAAAAAAGCAACACAAAAGTACAAACAAAAAACTGAGAAAAAATATCTGCGACTTCTATCACAGAGAGATTAATATTCCTAATATATAAAGAATTCCTAAAATAAAGAACTGAAGCCTGTGTTGAAAACTGGAAGACAGAACCAAGCGGAGTTCACAGAAAAGATCGGCAAGCATCCCCAAAACACACGAACATATGCTCAACTTCCTTCTCGATAACAGAAATGAAAAGCTCTCACCAACTAGATCTCTCAAAGTTTGAAAAACATACTCTGTTGTTAAGAGTGTAGGGAAACAGGCCCTCTCATACACTGTGGGTAGGAACTGGGGACATTTGAGGGAGCAGCTGAAGTCTTACGACTATGTAACAGTGTACAAAGGAGCCAGCAGCCATTTGGACTACATTAAAAAAAAAAAAAAAGTCTGACCAGGTGCGGTGGCTCACACCTGTAATACCAGCACTTTGGGAGGCTAAGGTAGGCAGATCAAACGAGGTCAGGAGTTTGAGACCAGCCTGGTGAACAGGGTAAAACCCTAACTCTACTAAAAATACAAAAATTAGCCGGATGTGATGGCGTGTGCCTATAATCCAAGCTATTCAGGAGGCTGAGGCTGGAGAATCACCTGAACCCAGGAGGTGGAGGTTGCAGTGAGCCGAGATCAGACCACTGCACTCCAGCCTGGGTGACAAAGCGAGACTCCATCTCAAAACAACAACAACAACAACAACAACAAAACAGTCGGAAATTTTGTAAACTGCCTTAGAAATTCCCAGTCTAGCCCACTGTGTATAGTTGTATATGATGAGTAGTTGCACATGGACTATATAAAGTGGTACTTAACGGAACTGTTCAATGTGTGGCCCTGCTACCAACCGCCTAACCCTTAGGAAATCATTTCTTCCTACCAAACTCTTCTTTTGATTCAAATTAAGCTTAGTCCTTCCATCTCCATCCTTTCCTTCTTTCCTTCCTTCCTTCTTTTTTCTTAACTATGCCCTTAGGGAGGACAATAACATCCCTCTTTTAAAAAGTATTCTTTCCCAAACTTAGACTCCTCTTCAGTAACGTGGCTTAAACTAGGAAAGACAAACTGAAATGTCCACGTGGGTGGCATGCGAGCTGGATGAGGACAGACTGGAGAACATATGCTTATACTCACTGCAGTGAGGCAGCGGGGGCTGTGGATCTGATGTTGAAAAAGTTTCCTATTTTTCAAGAGCAGCTGGTGATTTGGATATTTTTAAGAGAAATTTCCCAATTTTTAAGAGCTGGCATCCAATTTTTATTTCCTTACACTGTATAGGCCAAACAAAAATGCCACTGTTTAGACCTCTAGTTTGCAAGGCCTGTTTTACATCTTTTCTCAGCAGGCTTATTTTTTAACCAATTAATCATCTAGATTGCTCTTCTCTAGACCAGCCAGTTATTCATCACTTTCAAAATACAGAGATCAAAAAGGGACATCATTTTCTAAGAATGTGATGTGACTGGTACATCTCTGTTTTACATGTCATTTTCCTGTACAAACATTCTAGGACTTCATGCTTTTTTTAAAGAGTAGTGTATCCCATCCTATGCTGGAACTTGCTCATGGTCACACAACTACTATTTTTTTTAAACAATATTCTAATTAGAAACCAATTACTTTGATGCCTGGTTCAGCCCTTCTGTCTCACTGACCTACTGTGTAACCTTCAAGTTTCCCAACCATAAAATGAGAATAATAATAATAATCCATAAAATGGTTGTAATAAGGTGTCTATTGATGGGGTTTTCGTGAAGACTGAATGATTTGTTATGTGTAAAGTGTTCTGCACAATGCCTGGCACCTAGATACACTTTCCAGACAAAGTGACAAGTGCTGTTATTGTAGCTATTATGCAGCTATATGCTCATTTAACATAGTCCAGAGTACCCCCAAAAGTTTCACAGAAGTTTAGGTGTTACATTTATTACCTTATCTTTATGTTTGTGGACTATCACTAAAAGAGACTGAACTGACAAAATTCGCCATTTACAAAAACAAAATCATTGCTATTCAGTACCTTGTGCTTGTGAAGGTGCTTATTTTAAGTGGATTGCTTGATAATATGTTGTAATATTCTCCCTGCTATCTGGAATAGGAAGACATCCATAACTACTGGGGTCATCCAGAAGGTATTCTCTCATTCTTATAGCTGTCTTTTGTGTTCCATGGCATCTCATACATAATAGCTAATAGTGGCTCTCCCAATAAATTTTACTCATTCTCTGAATAATGAAGGATGTAAGTCACAAGGCCCTGATGATTTGAATTCATCATTTTTCCCCCAACCATATATTATTTTTTAAAAACAACCAACAGAAAGACCCTTTTCTCCCTCTGGCTACTGCCCTTTCTCCTTTTTTCTTTTTCCTTCACATCAATCTCCACTTTCTTTCTTCCCACTTATTCCTCAGCATGCTGCCTGCCATTGGTCTTCCACCCCCACTACTCCATGGGATCTGTTCAGATATTTTTCAGCCCTGCTGACTGCTATGCACTCTTAATGTAACTGACTACCCCATTCTTCTGTGATATCACTCTTCCTTTTTTTCTTCCTGCCTCTCCTATGCTGTTCATCAGTATCCTTCTCCTTTATGCATGGCCCTCTCCCTTTATGCTGTCCCATAAACAAGGGTGCTATTTAAGAGTTGTGCCCGGCTTTCTCCTTTTACTTTATATACCTGTCCTAGGCAACTCATGTATATCATGATTTTAGCTACTCTCCTAAAACTACTGACACCCAAATTAAGAATTACTAAGCTCCAGACCCATACTTTCAATTGCCTACTAGACACTTCCCCTAAAAGGTTCTACAGGTACTTTAAACCCTAAACATCTAAAATAAAAGTTATCATCTCAATGTTCCCACTCTAAGTTGCTTTTTTCCCCTTTCTAACGTAGCAAATGGCATCATTATCAATATAGACCTAGCTACCTACAAAGGCATACCTTTCGTAGGTAGCATAATGACCCTCCCCAAACATGTCCATATCCTACTCCCCAAAATCTGTGAGTATATTAGACTATATGGCAAAGAGAATTAAAGTTGCAGATGGAATTAAAGTTGCTAATCAGCTGACTTTAAAATGGGGAGATTATTTACCCTGGATTATCTGGGTGGGAACAATGTAATCACAAAGGCCTTTAAAAGTGGAAGAGGAAGGCAGAGATTGCTAGCTTTGAAGAGGGAAGGGAGCCATGAGTCAAGGAACATGGGTAGCCTCTAGAGTCTGGAAAAGCAAAGAAAATGCTTTCTCCCTTAGAGCCTCTAGAAAGGAATGCAGCCCTGATGACATCTTGATTTTAGCCCAGTGAGACCCATTTTGGAATTCTGACTTCCAGAACTCCAGGATAATTATTTCGTGTTGTTTTAAGCCACGAAGTCTGTGGTAATTTGTTACAACAGCAATAGGAAACTAATACAGCACCCAAGGTAGAAGGTGGAGAGTTATCCTCTACTTCTATTCAATTACTCTCTAAGCATTGCAGCAGTTATTACCTAAATAACTTTCAAATCCAATTCCTCTTCTTCTTCATCCCCGTTATTGCAACGTGATAATATTTCATCTAGACTATCACAGCCTCCTACTGGTTTCTGTCTTGAGTTTGGCACTCTCATCTATCTCCATTCCTATCCACTGATCCTCCATTCTTGCTAGGCTGCCCAGGCTGCAGTCCTTAAAAAAAAAAAAAATTCTGCCTCACTCATATTTCTTCAAATGGCTCCTCACTGACTTCGGGATCAAGTTCAAACACCCTAACAGAGTCTATGAAGTCCTAACAGAGCCAGAGAAGTTGGCCAGAACCAGACAGATTGGCTAGATGTAGCATCAAAACATCGCTAAGGCACTATACATTGCTAGAAATGTAAAGAAAGAGAGGAAAATTACACTTAACAGAATTCCATAGTACCAAGTACTCTATGAGACTGGAGAAAAACACTTCTGATTAGCCACTGGGAGGTGGGTAGGGTAGGGTAGGGTGGAATGAAAGCCCCAAAGAGATTCTTCAGTGGCACAGATAGATGTTGAGTTGTAGATAGTTGGGATAACAGGCGTGAGCTACCCTGCCTACCCTAATCTCTTTATTTGTAAGGGCAGCTTCTAAGAGGTAGTGCTGTAGTCAGCCCTATGGAGGAGTCAGGTGTCCCCCTCTGTACTTTTTTTTTTTTTTTGAGATGGAGTCTTGCTCTGTCACCCCGGCTGGAGTGCAGTGGCGTGATCTCGGCTCACTGCAAGCTCCGTCTCCCGGGTTCACGCCATTCTCCTGCCTCAGCCTCCCGAGTATCTGGGACTACAGGTGCCCGCCACCATGCCCAGCTAATTTTTTTTTTTTTTTTTTTTTTTTAGTACAGACAGGGCTTCACTTTGTTAGCCAGGATGGTCTCTATCTCCTGACCTCGTGATCCGCCTGCCTCAGCCTCCCAAAGTGCTGGGATTACAGGCATGAGCCACCACGCCTGGCCCCCTCTCTGTACTCTTACATTGCCTGGAGCCACTCTCTAATGTCACACTTACCTTATTCACATCTTTCAGTTTCCGCATTTAAATACAAAACATGGCTGAGGAGGCTCTGCAATTTGGGGCACAGTCACCAAAGGGCTCAGCCCTTGTCCTCCTCTCCAGCCCTCAGTACTATTGAACATTTCCAGAAAGGGTGCCAAATTACTGGTCTACCCTAGATCTGGAAGCTACATTGCTCTATGTGTGACATGCAGGTCCCAGCCTTTGCCCAAGGACCTCGTGGTTTTGTTTTGTTTTGTTGTTTGTTTGTTTTGAGACCGAGTCTTGCCCTGTTGCCCAGGCTGGAGTGCAGTGGTGCAATCACAGCTCACCGTAACCTTGTCCTCCTGGGCTCAAACAAGGTGCTCTGCACCTCAGCCTCCCAAGTAGCTAGGACTACAGGCACATGCCACCACACCTGGCTAATTATTCTTTTTAAAATTTTTTTTGTGTGGAGACAGGGTCTCACTATGTTACACAGGCTGGTCTCAAACTTTTGGCCTCAAGGGATCCTTGGCCTCCCAAAGCACCAGGATTATAGGCATGAGCTACCCTGCCCACGCTGACCTCTTCTATTTGTAAAGGCAGCTCCTAAGAAGTAATGCTGTAGTTAGCCCTGTAGACAAGTCAGGTGTCTCCCACTGTACTCTTACATTGCCTGGGACATGCTCTAATATTGCACTTATCTAATTCACATGTAAAAGTTAACTGTTTTTAAATCCATATCCTTGCCTAGAATGTAATCTCCTAAAGGGTAAGGCTTTGTCTTATTCACCTCTGTGCCCTAGCACTTAATAAAGTGTTGACACATAGGTCAGTGCAGTGGCTCACATCTGTAATCCTAGAACTTCGGGAGGCTGAGGCTAGTGGATCACTTGAGTCTGCGACTTTGATACTAGCCTGGGCAGCATAGCAAAACCACGTCTCTACAAAAAATACAAAAATAAGCTGGGCATGGTGGCACGTGCCTATAGTCCCAGCTACTTGGGGGCTGAGGTGGGAGGATCACTGGAGCCTGGGAGGTTGAGGCTGCAGTGAGCCCTGATTGCGCCACTGCATTCCAGCCTAGGTGACAGAGCAACACCCTGTCTCGAGGAGAGAGAGAGAGAGAGAGAGAGAGAAAAAAAATATTGACACATAACTGGTATTTTTCAAATAAATAAGTATATGAATATTAGTTTTAGTTGACTTTCATTTTCCCATAATATGAAGCAGTCTTTGTTTTGGATAGCCAATCATCACAGCTAACTTTTTCCCAAAGGGGAAGATTTTTTAAAAGGCACACCTTTTAAAAGTCATTCATTTATCAGCTTTCTACCATGGGAAAGAAAGCAGCTGAACAATGTACCCTAGAATTCTTGCCTCCTATAATTGAAGAATGCTTTTTTCTATCATCATTTATGTCTTGCTTATGGCCCATAAAAAGTCAGATTTAACCGCATTGGAAATTTAAGGGAAAAATATAAAGGATCTTGATGAAACAAAAGCATTGGTATGAGATGAGCCTTCCAAGAGAAATAAATTACACAAAATCACTCTTTCTGACTCTAAATACAGGAATAAATATGTTTAGGGTTGCACAACTACCGTGTAAATGTGTTAAGGCTCAGATGCAGAAATTGGCCTAATTGTATGTAAGGCTATCCTTTCACAAATCAGACAGTCTGGACTTACCTACTGAAGTGTATGCTGGCCATTTCTCCTCTTTATCTCTACCACTTCCACTCTGCTCCTCCCCCACCAAAGAGAAAAAAAGGATGCAGAGAGAAGAGAATGTATGTGTGTACCAAGATGAGTGAGTGAGTGAGTTTGCTGGTTGCTATAGGAGAACCTTAGGAAAATCTTCTAATAGAACCTGAAATTTCTCAGGTCCCTCTGAAGTGATGAGTTTTCTCCTTATGGCAGTATTGCTCAACCTGTTTTTAATTATGACCACCCTAAGGAGTTTTTCAAAACATTTTTTCCCCAACTGCTCCCTACCCCTCAAGAAATTTTAGTCCCACAGCTATACTGTGTATCCGTTTGTGTACTATATGTATAACTGTATTTTATACATAAAAAGAGTAAGTTCTTTTAGACCTCAGGAATGAATTTTTACTCCCTTGGGGCAATATCACCTTGGATGAGAATGCATGGACTAGAATAGCAACTGTGCACAGTGGCGCGTGCCTATAGTCCCAGCAGCTATTTGGGAGGCTAAGGCAGGAGGATTGCTTAAGCCCAGGAGTTTGAGTCCAGCCTGGACAAGTGAGACCCTGTCTCTAAAAATAAAAATAAATAAAAGGGGAATGCATGGACTAGAAGATACAACTATGATAACCACTGTTGTGAAGCAAGGTATGCTAAAGATCACTAAACCCATTCTTACAAAATAGCAAGACAGGCAGGCTAAAGATCAGTAAATAGCTGTGTGTTTGTATTTAAGGAAAATAAACAGATGAAATTACAGTATAGGATTTACCTTTATTTAGGATACCGCTATTAATAGTTTACTATTTTAATGCATGTATTTTGTAACTTTTCTAGGTGTTGACCCTGTCTCTTTACTTAAGGTCTACTGAAATAATGGCTCAGAGGACATGGGCCACTATTATATTAAACCTGTTAGGTTGCTTTGTGAGGGAATGAAAATGTTCTAAAATTTACTGTGGCACTGTAAATCACTGAATTACATACTTTAAACAAGTGAGTTGTATGGTATATAAACGATATCTCAATAAAGCTGTTACAAAAAATAGTGCTATTAAAAATATTTGTACATTTCATTTATGAGACCTGTCAATCTCTTACTTGACCTGAAACTTAAAATACATTGTGATTAAAAGAATCAGAATATCATCTATTTATAAAAGAAGGGAAAATGCTAATTTAGGAAGACTCTAAAATACTCGCTTAAAAATACTAAGGGAGCTGGGTGCGGTGGCTCATGCCTGTAATCCCAGCACTTTGGGAGGCCGAGGCGGGCGGATCACCTAAGGTCGCGATTTCAAGACCAGCCTGACCAACATGGAGAAACCCCATCTCTACTAAAAATACAAAATTAGCCGGTTGTGGCAGTGCATGCCTGTAATCCCAGCTACTCAGGAGGCTAAGGCGGGAGAATCGCTTGAACTCGGGAGATAGAGGTTGCGGTAAGCCGAGATCGCGACACTGCACTCCACCCTGGGCAACAAGAGCGAAACTCCATCTCAAACAAAACAAAAAAAATACTAAGGGAAACTATTTTAACATTTTTTATGGTATTCAAAGCAATCTTCCTTTCAACAAACTAAATGTGTAACAACAAGGGAATATAAATAAATGATACTAGACCTGAAATAGTCAAAACTGATTTATCCCAAGGTACTCATAAATCTACAAATTCTGAAAAAAAACACTGACATCTCATTTCCTAACAAATAAGTAATAAAAAAAATCAATCTTTCTAAGCTTTTAATTATTCTGTAAGTGGAAGACTACAACAATTTATAATACTAATAATGCCAATTTTGCCACTAAAATGAACACTATTCTGCATCATTACTATGATGACTGATATCCAGGAACTTATCTAACTCTCTGAAGAGATTTTTCTTTAATGACTTTATAAGAGTTATTGTGCATATTAAGGACCAGTAGAAAACAACAGAGTGGCACTGAAACGCTTATACTGGGCAGGAAACTATACTCACAAGCTGAGAAATGTATTCAGCACACATGGGGTAATAGCAGCAGTGACTCAGACTTGTGCATCAATAAAATCCCTGGGTCATGGACCTTTGAGAATGTTTCTCACTTGTTAAATCCATATCCAACAGTAGGATTTCTCAAAATAATGGAATATCATGCAGCCATTAAAATTGGTACCTGTGATGGCTACACAGAGAAGGTTAAAAAAAATAATAATAACATCCTAGGCCGGGCACAGTGGCTCACACCTGTAATCCCAGCACTTTGGGAAGCTGAGGCAGGGGGATCACAAGGTCAAGAAATAAAGACCATCCTGGCCAACATGGTGAAACTCCATCTCTACTAAAAATACAAAAATTAGCTGGGCATGGTGGCACACACCTGTAGTCTCAGCTACTCAGGAGGCCGAGGCAGGAGAATCACTTGAACCTGAGAGGCAGAGGTTTCAGTGAGCTGAGATGGCACCACTGCACTCTAGCTTGGCAACAGAGTGAGACTCCGTCTCAAATAATAATAATAATAACATCCTAGAATAACATAATAAAACAATTACATAAGAAAAAAGCACAAACTTTTAAAAAAACTATACATTTTATAACTTATATGCATTTTATAACTGTCAAATACAGTAAAAAAAGTTACAGTGATAGGATTGTCTAAAGCTTTTAAGATCCTTATTTTCTTTTATGATGTCTTAAAGGGTATTTAATAATAAAAATGTATAGGGCTGGACACAGTGGCTCACGTCTGTAATCCCAACACTTTGGGAGGCCGAGGTGGATCATTTGAGGTCAGGGGTCCAAGACCAGCCTGGCCAACATGGCAAAACCCCATCTCCACTAAAAATAAAAAAAAAATTAGCCAGGCGTGGTGATGGGTGCCTGTAATCCCAGCTATTAGGGAAGCTGAGACACGAGAATCACTTCAACCCAGGAAGCAGAGGTTACAGTGAGCTAATATCGCACCACTGCACTCCAGCCTGGGAGACAGAGCAAGATTCCATCTCAAAAACACAAACAAACAAACAAAAAAGAAAACAGTAATAGGAGGCAAGATTATTTAGAAGACAAGATTATTTTATTCATTTGTTTTTAAACATGTGTTTTGGTTTCAAAATTTTTATCTACTAATAATTTAATAATTCTTAAGCCTGACTTCGGTCTTCCTTTGTACATGTATGTCTAAGGCTGCTGACAGCCCATCTCAAAGACAGGCTTCCGTATATTGGCCTCAGGATAAAAGCACATGGAGCAGCAGATTTTAGTGGTTCATAGTAATATAGCTAGTCATAATCATCCTCTATGTCTAACATTTCATCCATGACCAGATAAATGGACGAGAGGCCGACTCTACTGAATTTTGAGATGATAACAAACAGTAAGGCATTAGCAGACACTAGAAGTTCTGACCAAGGTTAAATTATCAATGAAATAATTAAGTTCATTAATGACAAGTACAGGGTACATCAGTAATGCAAAAGAAATAAAGAAAGAAAAGTAAATGGAGAGTATAAATATGAAATGCAGAAAACTTGGCAAAAAATATGCATGTTTGTGACTGAAAGTAATGATCAGTTACTCTTGGATTCCATTAAGTTCACTGATAACAGGTTCAGAATGAAGCATAAGGGATTTAGGATAACTAATTAAAAACAGTTTTTCAATTCATTAAACAAAAAGCCAGTGCCTTCAAATGCAATTGTAAACCTCCGTACAAAGTTAATTTTCTAAACCAGGGGTTTTCATGGGGGGTAGTATCATTCTGGGGAGCATTCTGGGTTCTGCTGGAGCACTTCACCCTTCTAGTCTAATTATTTCATTTCTCCTTTATGGTACAGCTAGAACATAATATTGATTTAGTCAAACACCCTTTCTGTGATAGAACCAATATATACAAAAATGGATAAAGTATAAAGGAATAACTTAGCAAGCTACTGTAAAATGAACTCCTACCCAGCATCTCAGAAGCCCTCATGTGCCCCTTCCTACAACCCATTCTTTTCCTTCATAGGTAACTTGGCTACTTTTAATCTTTATACTTTATACATTTTAGAATAAGCTGATTAAATTCCACTAAAAACAGTTGGGGTTATATTGATTTTTTAAAAAAAGTTTATGTGTGTGGGCAGGTTATATTTTCTATAAATTTTATTTCAGGAGAGTAAGGGGCACTGGATAATATTTCTTTTAAAAAGGGAATATTGGTGCTGATAGGGATAAGAACCAATGTTCTAAATGAAATGAAGATGTAGAATAGGGATCCCTGTAGAACAGGGATCTAACATTCTAAGACTATATCTTCTATGAAAAATAAAACTCAAGATAATCACTGAGAATATCTCCATTTAAAAAACTTTCTCAGAGGTCACGATTTGCCTCCCTAATTATTTTACACAGGGTTTTCTAGGCACTGGTATATTTTGACGTTCTTTATCAAAATCCATTAACCCCTTTATAAATCTTCTTTTTGGCCAGATGCGGTGGCTCACACTTGTAATCTCAGCACTTTGGGAGGCTGAGACGGGAGGACTGCTTGAGGCCCGGAAGTCATGATCAGCCTGGTCAACATAGTGACCAGGTAAGTCAGATACATAGTGAGACCTCATCTCTATTTAAATATATATTTTTTAAATAGATTAGATGTGATGGCTGAGGCCTATAATCCCAGCACTTTGGGAGGCTGAGGTGGGCAGATCACATGTGGCCAGGAGTTCGAGATCAGCATGGCCAACATGGTAAAACCTCGTCTCTACTAAAAATACAAAAATTAGCCAGGCTTGGTGGTGCATGTCTGTAATCCCAGCTACTCAGGAGGCTGAGACACGAGAATCGCTTGAACCTGGGAGGTGGAGGCTGCAGTGAGTCAAGATCTCTCCAGTACACTCCAGCCTGGGCAACAGACAGAGACTCTGTCCCCCCCAAAAAATACATAAAATTAAAACCTTATTATTATTATTATTTTTTTAAATAGTGTGAGATAGGGTTTTGTTCTGTTACCCAGGCTGGAGTACAGTGGCACGATCTCAGCTCACTGCCACTTCCGCCTCCCAGGCTTAAGTGATCCTCCCACCTAAGCCTCCCTCGAAACTGGGACTACAGGCATGTGCCACCACACTCGGCTAATTTTTAAATTTTTTGGAGAGATAAGGTCTCACTATATTGCCCAGGGTGGTCTCAAACTCATGGGCTCAAGCAATCCTCTGCCTCGGGCTCCCAAAGTGCTGGGATTACAGGTGTGAGCAACTGTACCTGACCAGCTCCTTTACAAGTTACCATAAAATGACCAAAGGACACAAATATTAATGCCAAACAGGTTATTATAAGTAAATCTTTCATTTTGGGAATTAGACCCAAAATAATTAACAAAACTTGAAATCCACCAGGTCAAAGCATAAAAGTTAGTACTGGGATTTTGTAGTTAAATCATATAGTAAAAAATGGTAAGGCAGATACAATGCATTAAAAGAATGTCTTCAGAATTAAAAATTCAATTCAGTCTTGGTGGTCTAAGATGAATAAGCGACTATATTTTTAAGTAGTTCACGACAGGGCCCGTGCCATGTTCAGCTTTTTCACTTCCTGTCTACAGGACCATGGGCAAGTTACTTGACCTTTCAGAGGCTTGGTTTCCTTCTCCGCAAAATGAAAATAATCCTGGCATTCAACTTTTTGTGTGAATTACTGGAGATATGTATTCAAAGCATCTAGGCTAGGTACCCAGGATAAACTAAATAAGTGATGGTTATTAGCATGAATTTTATACTCATTCATTGACTAATGAAAACTTGTGAATGACTGAATGAGTTTCAAGTGGATTATATTTCCAAGGCATCTGCACTGTAGGCTTTTACTTCTCATTGCAGAATAAAAGTCTCTGGTTCCTTTAAAGAAACTTCAGGTATCAGCAAGCAGATAGCATAAGTTCACTGAAAATTCATCATACAAGGTCATATAGTCCATTCAGTTTATAAGAAACAAATTTGGAAGCAATTGGGAAATTCTCTGTGATACAGAAAAAATATAATACCGCCCAACAACTGGCTCAATGACAATGCTCCAGCTCATTGTAAATGTTTAGTCAATTATGGGCCACAAACATTAGGTAGATCTCTCAACCTACTAGGTGTGAATCTGAATGAGTTATAAAAGTTATAAAAAGTATATTTTTAAATTTTTTATTCTTTTTGAGATGGAGTCTCGCTCTGTCGCCCAGGCTGGAGTGCAGTGGCATGATCTCGACTCATTGCAACCGCTGCCTCCCGGGTTCAAGAGATTCTCCTGCCTCAGCCTCCCAAGCAGCTGGCATTACTGGTGCACACCACCACGCCGGGCTTATTTTTGTATTTTTAGTAGAGACAGGGTTTCACCATGTTGGTCAGACTGGTCTCGAACTCCTGACCTCAGGTGATCCACCTGCCTCAGCCTCCCAAAGGCCTGGGATTACAGGCATGTGCCACCACACCCAGCCTATTTATCTTATTTTATTTTTATTATTATTATTATTATTTGAGACAGAGTCTCACTTTGCTCCCCAGGTTGGAGTGCAGTGGCACGATATCGGCTTACTGCAACCTCCGCCACCCAGGTTCAAGCAATTCTCCTGCCTCAGCCTCCCGTAGCTGGGATTACAGGCACATGCCACCCAGCTAATTTTGTATTCTTAGTAGAGACAGGGCTTCACTATGTTGAACAGGCTGGTCGTGGTGATCCACCTGCCTTGGCCTCCCAAAGTGCTCGGATTACAGGTGTGAGCCACCGTGCCCGGCCTTTTTTTTTTTTTTTGAGTGAGAGTCTTGCTCTGTCATCTAGGCTGGAGTGCAGTGGCGTGATCTCAGCAACCTCCGCCTCCCAAGTTCAAGTGATTCTCCTGCCTCAGCCTCCTGAGTAGCTGAGATTACAGGCACCTGCCACCACGCCTAGTTAACTTTTGTATTTTTAGTAGAGATAGGGTTTCACTATTTTGGCCAGGCTGGTCTCAAACTCCTGACCTCGTCATCTGCCTGCCTCGGCCTCCCAAAGTGCTGGGATCTCAGCTACTCAGGCGGCATAAGTCACCGAGCCCAGCCCTAGTTCTAACACTTATAACACTAGTGTGACAGTAAGCAGCACATTTAATTTCTACCAGTTTCAACATCTCATCTAAAAATGAGAGGAATTATGTGGGATTCATTTTAAGCTCTGAGATTCTACGTGTAAAGTACATATAGGGAGAGAGAATAGGAGAGGGAGTTCTAGTTTGTCCCTTGCAATCACATATTATTTAAGGATAAACCCAGGCTGGACATGATAGCTTATGCTTGTAATCCCAGCACTTTGGGAGGCTGAGGTGGGTCCTCCTCACTTGAGCACAGGAGTTTGAGATTAGTTTGGGCAACACAGTGAGACCCCATCACTACCAATAACTAAAAAAAAAAAAAAATTAGCAGGGCTTGGTGGTGTGTGCCTATAGTCTCAGCTACTCAGGAGGTGAAGGTGGGAGGATTGCTTCAGCCTGGGAGGTCAAGGCTGCAGTGAGCCATAATTAAGCCACTGCACTCCAACTTGGGTGACAAAGTGAGACCCTATCTCAAGAAACACATACACACACACACACACACACACACACACACAAACAAAAGCAAGCCCAGACCAGAAGCTATAAAAGCAAGCCCAACCAGAAGCTACGTGTGTCATAATTCTTGATGTCTTTACAAAAAGTAGGATCAGGATGGACCTCCAGGTGGAGAGGAGGGGCTGTCCAGAGCTGCTTCAAGCCTGTTCCCAGGGGATGCAGTAATTAATGAAGAATGTTTGATGTGGTATTGAGAAACAGGACTAGCTGGATTTCCTAGGCCGACTAAGAATCCCTAAGCCTAGCTGGGAAGGCCGCATCCACCTTTAAACACGGGGCTTGCAACTCAGCTCACACCCAACCAATCAGAGAGCTCACTAAAATGCTAATTAGGCAAAAACAGGAGGTAAAGAAATAGCCAATCATCTATTGCCTGACAGCACGGCGGGAGGGACAAGGATCGGGATATAAACCCAGGCATTCGAGCGGGCAACGGCAACCCCCTTTGGGTCCCCTCCCCTTGAATGGGAGCTCTGTTTTCACTCTGTTTCACTCTATTAAATCTTGCAACTGCACTCTTCTGGCCCGTGTTTGTTAGGGCTCGAGCTGAGCTTTTGCTCGCCATCCACCACTGCTGTTTTGCCGCCGTCGCAGACCCACCGCTGACTTCCATTCTTCCGGATCCGGCAGGGTGTCCGCTGTGCTCCTGATCCAGCGAGGCGCCTATTGCCACTCCCGATTGGGCTAAAGGCTTGCCATTGTTCCTGCATGGCTAAGTGCCTGGGTTCGTCCTAATTGAGCTGAACACTAGTCACTGGGTTCCACGGTTCTCTTCCGTGACCCACAGCTTCTAATAGAGCTATAACACTCACTGCATGGCCCAAGATTCCATTTCTTGGAATCCATGAGGCCAAGAACCCCAGGTCAGAGAACACGAGGCTTGCCACCATCTCGGAAGCAGCTTGCCACCATCTTGGAAGCTCTGTGAGCAAGGAACCCTGGTAACAGTATCATGTCTAGACAAAGAGAGAGACCATCCAGCCTCCAGTGTCCCCTGAAATGTCTCAGTGAAGCTTCAATTCCCCATCTCCCCAGATTCCCAGGTAGCGATTCTACGTTCTGTATCCTACATCCTAGGCCTGTAGGACCTCTCTGCCCTCCACAGCACCCTGATACCCATGTCCATTCTCCTGGACAAATAACCAAGAAACCACTGTACCTCTATCCCTTTATGGCAGTGCAGTTCAGCCATAGCTGAATATTAAAATCATCTGAGGAGCTTTAAAAAAAAAAAAAAAGCTGATGCCATGCTGAGTATGGTGGCTCCCACCTATAATCTCAGCTATTCAGGAGGCTCAGGCAGGAGGATTGCTTGAGCCCAGGAGTTTGAGACCAGCCTGGGCAACACAGCAAGACCTCCATTTCGAAAAAGGAAAAGAAAAAAGAAATACCGATAGCAGATGCACCCCAGACCAATTTCATTAGGTTCTCTGTGAGGTGAGCTCTAGGCACTGGGCTTTTGTAAAAGCTCCCCAAATGATTCCAGTGCACAGCTGGAGCTGAGAAAAGTACGCACCAGGGAGCTGGAGCAACCATATACTGCATGGGCTAGCCATGCACAGAAAAGATGCCTCCCTAGAAAGGAAAAGAGGAAATCCCTGCAGCTAGAAATGCTGGAGTTTTGTTTTTCTAACCTGTGTGTCAAAGTATTTGTGTGTGTGCTTATCAGTGAACCAAAAAGATTAAATTATAGTGGTCTCAAAAAACACCCCTGTCAACAATCAAGATAATTATAGGTAATGGAGAACTAACAAAAAGAAGAGAAAATCCACAAAGATCTGTTTCCACTGCATAAAATAAATATGAATTGCATTCTCTTAGGTCAACCATTCTCTACTTGACTAATTATAATGCAGCACAATAACGATGAGGTATGTTATTACCTGTACTGTGTTAACTAGAGTAAGTTTTATTTGATTGCAAGATTAAACTGTTCCTGTATGCTTAACCTTCATAGTTAGTTACTCCTGAACAGTGTAATGTTTGAGGGAACATTGCTCCTGGGCACTAGAAGTGTTAATGTTCAACATTTGCATAAGTCAAGGTACTTTTCTATATTTGCATAAAAAGAGGTAAGCAGGCCCCTTCAAAGGAATGAGGAACAAAGAGCAGCTACTCTGAGGGCTGAAAGTTCTAGGAAGGGAGCTTTTTGGGTGAGGGGGATAACAGTGGGGCAGAACAGGCACCAAAGATTAACGAGATATATCCCTGACATTTGAACATCAAAGGTGCTTCATGAAGGACCTTTTAAAAGGGGACTGAGAAGTTTGAAGTGGTCACTCATGCTTCTTCAGGAGTTGGGCCCTTGAAAGGAAAAGCAGCATTGCAATAGAATAGCACCCTGGTTGAATTGACCACTCCCATCTTTAGGCCCCCAAAAACCTTTGTACACAACTCTATGTTAGCATGTTAGCACTTGCTCTATTAATGCCCCACCCCCACCCACTCCCAACTAAAACTACGTTCTCTGTTGCCCAGGCTGAAGTGAGTGGCATGATCGCGGCTCACTGCAGCCTCGAACTCCTGGGCTCGAGTGATCCGTATTAAAGCATTTTTTTGGCACACTCTATAAGGTCCTTGAAGACACAGGGTCCATGACTTGTTTCTCTTTGTTTTCTCATGCATTCCCAACACCAAGAACAGTGTTTGATACAAAGCTCTCAAAAATGAGTAAATGAATGAACCAATGAATGGTTCCCAAACAACTGTTAAATAATACAGCTTATTCAGGCATTGGAATGATTTTTCGTTTTTTCTTTTTTTTTTTTTTTGAGATGGAGTCTCACTCTGTTGCCCAGGCTGGAGTGCAGTGGCGCGATCTCGGCTCACTGCAAACTCTGCCTCCCGGATTCACGCCATTCTCCTGCCTCAGCCTCCCGAGTAGCTGGGACTACAGGCGCCCACCACGCCCGGCTAATTTTTTGTATGTTTAGTAGAGACGGGGTTTCACCGTGTTAGCCAGTATGGTCTTGATCTCCTGAACTCGTGATCTGCCTGCCTTGGCTTCCCAAAGTGCTGGGATTACAGGCGTGAGCCACTGCGCCCGGCCCCAGAATGATTTTTCATTTGACTCTGTCATCTACTGCATTAGTTCTTTCCACTTGCCTATTATATTTTCTTCTAGGTTTCTGGTCAGGAGAGAGCCAAGAGCAAAATCCAGTGATACCCCATTAGATACTTCATGGGCATCACTGATTCAAGAACCAACAACTGGGCTGGGCATGGTGGCTCACGCCTGTAATCCCAGCACTTTGGGAGGCTGAGGCAGACGGATCACTTGAGGTCAGGAGTTCAAGACCAGCCTGGCCAACATAGTGAGACCCTGTCTCTACTAAAAATACAAAAATTAGCTAGGCGTGGTGGCAGGCACCTGTAATCCCAGCTACTCGGGAGGCTGAGGCAGGAGAATCGCTTGAACCCAGGAGGCGGAGATTGCAGTGAGCCGAGATCGCACCATCGCACTCCAGCCTGGGTGACAAGAGCAAGACTACGTCTCAAAAAAAAAAAAAAAAGAAAGAAAAACGGATTTGAATATAATTTTACCACCCTATTGAGCACCTTGCACACATACGTACTTAAATGTTAACCTATCCTTCCTCTTATTTGCAAAACGTCATAAGAAACTCCATCAAATACTTGGCTAAAATCAAGTTACACTGCATCTACAGTGTTGCTCCAATTTTCCAACAATAAAACCCTAAAGGAAAATCTATTTCGGAATGACTTATTTTCAGAAAATTCAAGTTGGTTACTAGTGTTACGCATTTTTTCTCAAATGCTCAGAAACTATCAGGTTAATTGCTAGTTCTAGAATGACTGCCAGGGACAAAAGCCAAGCCTCTTTGCATAGAGAATTTCTCCTTTTGGGGGAAAAACAATCACATATAATATTAGGCTTCTTGCTAAAAATTATGCTGAATGAAAATTCCAAAATCAGATCTGAAAGTTCTCTGAGCTTCCTGGGATGTAATTCAGCAGAACCTAGAGATCAGAATTAATTTAAAGTGGAAGATACTCATTTAATCTCCCTTTGATTCTCTTACCTACCCTGGGCTCCCATATCTTCTCAAACATGTTTGTTTTTTCCTTTCCTGTTTGAAGACCAAACTCCTTACTGAAGAAAAGTAAAGTAAGGTAGGAGATTATAATTCTGTTTTGTCACTGATAGCAAATAACATCAGATGATTTTTCCTAGGTAGGTACTATCCTTTTCCTTACTTTTTTTCCTTATTATTCAGAATGTGGCTTTAAACTTTTTTATTTTATTTTATTTTTTTAGAAATAGGTTCTCCCTCTGTTGCCCAGGCTGGAGTGCAGTGGCATGATCATAGCTCACTGAAGCTTCGAACTCCTGGGCTCAAGGGATCCTCTTGCCTAACCCTCCCAACTAGCTGGGATCACAGGCTTGTGCCACACCACACCCAACTTATGTTTTATGGGTTTTGTTTAGAGACAGGGTCTCATTATGCTGCCCAGGCTCATCTTGAACTCCTGGCCTCAAGCAATCTTCCCACCTTGGCCTCACAAAGGGCTAGGCATGACCCACCGCAGCTGAAAAAAAAAAATTTTTTTTTGAGACAGGGTCTTGCTCTGTTGCCCAGGCTGGGGTGCAGAGGCATGATCACAGCTCATTGCAGCCTTGAACTTCTGGGCTCAAATGATCCTCCTGCCTAGGCCTCTTGAGTAGCTGGGACTACCCTAAGTATTCCTGGCTAATTTTTGTTTTTTAAATTGTTGTAGAGACAGGGTCTCCCTATGTTGACCAGGCTGGTCTCGAACTCCTGGACTCAAGTGATCCTCCAGCCTCAGTCTTCCAAAGCGCTGGGATTACAGGCATGAGCTACTCCAATAGGATTTTCATTCCCATCACTCCACTGAAATGTTTCCTGACAAGGCTGCTATCAATTAATCCTGTGCCAACCCAATGGTCAGGTCTGTCCTGGTCTTACTCTTCTCAGCGTCATTTGATGTGGTTGACTTCTGTCTTTTAATGCTTTCTATACTTTGCTTTCACAATGCAGTACCCTTCAGGTTTCCCTTCTGTCCTTTGACAGCTCCTTCTCATTTCGTTGTTGACTCTACGCCTTTGTCTTGACCTCCAAAGGTGAAGGGCCCCATTCTTCAGTCTTTGTCTCTCTTCTCTTCTCTCCTCTCTCCATAGGAAATCTCACCCAGTCCCATGGTTTTCAATACCCATCTGTATGCTAATAACTCTCAAAGTTTATCTCCAGTCCTGATTTCTCTCCTGAGTTCCAGACTCATAAATCCTATTGCCTCTTCAATATCTCATGTGGACATACACTAATATTATGATTATGGGTAATAGTAATAATATTAACAGTAGCAGCAACAATAGCTAACATTTACTGAGAACACAGTATGTGTCCAGTTGTGTTTTAAGTGCTTCAGGGCATTAATACATTTAATTTTCATGTAAACCATATAGCATACATACTATTACCAACCCAGTTTCACAGATGAGGAAATTGAAATAATTTGTTCAATATTCCACAAGTAATAAATGCCAGAACCATGCATTTAAAAATTAAGATAGCCTTCAAAAACCCTAGATTCCCATCCCTCAAACCTGCTCCTCCCCATTGTCTTATCTACCATCATTCACACCCTTGCTCAAACAAAAAAATTCTCTCCTAATCTCTATCTACTCTGTCAGCAAATTCTGAATATAACCTGACTCTGACCACAGGTCTTCAATTCTACTGCTGGCACCCAATGCACATCCCCTATCATTTCTCCTCTAGACTGATAAATGAATAGTGTACCTCCTTACTAGTTTCTCTGCTTTCTACTCTTGTCTGTCTATATCCCCATTGCAGCAAGAGTGAAACACTTTTTTAGTTTTTAAAAAGCTGTTTAAAATCTAATGGCATCCAATCTCATTTGGAATACAATTTAACCCTGCGACATGGCCTACAGGGGTCTTGCTATGGGTTGAATGTGTCCCTCAGAATTCATGTGTTGGAAATCTGGTACCTGGTCCTGGTATGGTGGTTTTGGGAGGTGAGGCCTTTAAGAGGTGATTAGATCTTTAAGAGGGACTAATGTTGCTCTTTCAGATGAATTCTGGTGGAAGTAAGTGAATTCTTCCTCTCACGGGACTGGATTAGCTACCTCAAGAGTAGGTTGTTTTGAGGGAAGGCTATCATGTTTTGTCTCTTTTGCACAAGCTTTCTTGCCCTTCTGCTTTTCACCATGTTATGATGTGGTAAAAAAGCCCTTGCCAGAAGCTGCCACCATGCCCTTGGATTTCCCAGCCTCCAGCGCTGTGAGCCAAATATAGTTCTGAAACTGCCTTTGCAAAGATCATGACAGTGAGAGAAATCTCGCATGGCTGACTTCATCTTGCCTCTAGCCTCACAGGCTGACTGTCCTCACTCATTCCTGAGCGGGAGGAATTTGGAATTAAGTATGATAACAGTCCCTCCCTAAAACATCCCCTCCTCATTTGGGGCTGAGACACCATTTGTAAGACTAATGAGAGGCCACAAGATTGGGATTATGGGAGGGTCCTGAATTCTGCTAAAATGTAGGCATAGTTTCCATAATCCCCTTACTGCTCAGAATCACATGGACAGAGGTCATAAGATTTGTGAATTCTCCAACTGATCCTATAGATAACACCACTATTGTAGAACCTAAGATTGGTCTTCTGAGATGTTTTTCAGACTTTTGCATTCTGGCAACCCACTGACCTCATGACTAATGACTTATGATTCAACAGGTCCTGTGGCACACACCCTCCCCACCTAGAGGCAGATTCAGTGTATGAGGACCATTTTCCACACTCCTAAGATTACATCGCCAATCAGCAGCATCCATTCCCTAGTCCTGTGCCCACCAAACTATCCTTGAAAAACCTTAACTTCTGCTTTGAGTGATACCTCCAGTTCTGTTGCATGGCCAGCTTCACATTAATAAAACTCTTTCTCTACTGCAATAGCACAGTCTCAGTGAATTGGTTTTCTCTGTGCAGCAGGTAGGAACAACCCACTGGGTGATTATATTTCTTTTCTTTATAAATTACCCAGTCTCAGATATTCTGTTATAGCAACAGAAAACTGAATAAGATAGCCCTATATGATCAGGCTCTCAGCCACATCTTCAGCCTCACATACTACCACTTGCACTAGCTCTTGCACAAACAGGCCTTCCTCTGTGCCTTGAGTATACCAAGTTCATTCCATCTTTGAGGATTCTGCAAAGTTCTCCCTTTACTTGGAATGCTTCCCCTTGAGATTTTTACTTGCCTAATTCCTTCATGTCAGTTAAGATTCAGCTCAAACTTTACCTTCTATGATGATCCAACTCAAAAGTTTCTCATCCCTCTACTGTCAGGCCTCTGAGCCCTAACTAAGCCATCATATCCCCTGTGACCTGCACATATACATCCAGATGGCCTGAAGCAACTGAAGATCCACAAAAGAAGTGAAAATAGCCTTAACTGATG
Source organism: Homo sapiens (assembly GCF_000001405.40). Classification (NCBI taxonomy): domain Eukaryota; kingdom Metazoa; phylum Chordata; class Mammalia; order Primates; family Hominidae; genus Homo; species Homo sapiens. The sequence continues at coordinate 38,433,428 of NC_000006.12, forward strand.
ACATTCCACCATTGTGATTTGTTCCTGCCCCACCTTAACTGAGCGATTAACCTTGTGAAATTCCTTCTCCTGGCTCAGAACCTCCCCAACTGAGCACCTTGTGACCCCCGCCCCTGCCTGCAAGAGAAAAACCCCCTTTGACTGTAATTTTCCACTACCCACCCAAATCCTATAAAACAGCCCCACCCCTATCTCCCTTTGCTGACTCCTTTTTTGGACTCAGCCCGCCTGCACCCAGGTGAAATAAACAGCCTTGTTGCTCACACAAAGCCTGTTGGTGGTCTCTTCACATGGACACATGTGACATCTACCATGTTTTATTTTCTTCTAGCATTCATTATATCTGAAATTGCCATGTTTATTTCACTGTTTATTTATTGTCTTCCCTTCCTCCACCATAATATGTAAGTTCCATAACAACAGAGACCATGTCTGTTAAGTTCACTGCTGTATACTCATGACTGGAACAGTGCCTGGCACTCAATCGCTATTTGCTGAAAGTGAGGACTAAGCTCTGATTTTTCTTATCCTGGCCAAATTCTTCTCTAAGGGGTCTGGCGAGTCATGCTCTACAAACCATATATTCTCAGCAGATGAGTTTTACTTAACACTATATATTCTGACTTACTTTCCATTCTGACTCTGGTATAGCATTATGTGACAAAGAAGAAAATCAAAATATTTTACCCCAAGTTTCTTTGCCATATTCTGAAATGGCCCTGCAAAAAATTTTGTGGGGCAAAATTTGCATCTGTAAAGAATCTCTATTAACATAGCTAGATCTTTTTCTTCCAGTTTCTCCCAACCCTGAAGAGATTAACAGAGTCTAGCACCTTTTAAAGGTCTGAATAGAAAACATTCGTCATCTGTTGTCTCTAAGGTCAGCCACTATGAGACTTCAAAGGAACCTTGGTCTCCACAATCTTTTATCTTAACCTGAATATTTCCTTTCTATTGATCCCAGGTCTTTAGACAAACTCAACCAGAAAATGTTTAAATGCACCTATAGCCTGAAACACCTCCCAGCCCCGCTTTGAGTTGTCCCACCTTTCTGGACCAAACCATTGTATTTCTTAAATGTATTTGATTGATGTCTCCTGCCTCCCTAAAATGTATAAAAAACCAAACTGCACCTCAACCACCTTGGGCACATGTTGTCAGGGTCTCCTGAGGGCTGTGTCACGGGCCAAGGTCACTCATATTTGGCTCAGAATAAATCTCTTCAAATATTTTACATAGTTTGACTCTTTTTGTCAACAAAAGACTGAATTCAAATTCAAATAGCTTTCTCTTACACACTCTCCCTAGTAGTAGTCTATCATGCAGGAAATTTGTGATTATGCATTAAATTTTGTTTTAGTTGTTTTATATAGACAGATATATGTATACTACAGTCCCGCAGTATCCACTGGAGATTGGTTTCAGGACCCCTGCAGATAACAAAATCTGCAGATGTTCAAGTCCCTTATATGAAATGGTGTATTTGGCCGGGCACAGTGGCTCACGTCTGTAATCCCAACACTTTGGGAGGCCGAGGCAGGTGGATCACCTGAGGTCGGGAGTTCGAGACCAGCCTGACCAACATGGAGAAACCCTGTCTCTACTAAAAATACAAAATTAGCCAGGCATGGTGGCACATGCCTGTAATCCCAGCTACTCGGGAGGCTGAAGCAGGAGAATAGCTTGAACCTGGAAGGCAGAGGTTGCAGTGAGCTGAGATTGTACCACTGCACTCTAGCCTGGGCAACAGAGCAAGACTCTGTCTCGGGGGGTGGGGGGGAAGTTAATTGCTAATATTCCCTATGTTCCATATCCTCAGTAGACTAATGCAGGCTACTGTATCAGAATGACCAGGCTTAGGTTTATGGCGCAAGACCAGACTGGCCAATATGGTGAAACTCCATCTCTACTAAAAATACAAAAATTAGCCCGGTGTGGTGGCGGTGCCTGTAATCCCAGCTGCTCAGGAGGCTAAGGCAGAGAATCGCTTGAACCTGGGAGGCACAGGTTGCAGTGAAAAAAAGAAAAAGAAAAGCATGGTTAAAGTTTTGTTCTTAAAAAAAGTCTAGAACACACTAGAAAAGAAAAAACAGCCAACTTTTGCACCAAAAAAACTCACAGACCTACTTTTCTTTCTTTCCTTCTTTCCTTCCTTCTTTCTTTTCTTTTCCCTCCCTTCCTTCCTTCCCTCCCCCTCCCTCCCTTCCTCCCTCCCTCCTTCCTTCCTTCCTTTCTCTCTCTCTCTCTTTCTTTCTCTCTGAGACTGAGTCTCACTCTATCGCCCAGGCCGGAGTGCAGTGGCGTGATCTTGGCTCACTGCAACCTCCACCTTCTGGGTTCAAGCAATTCTCCGGCCTCAGCCTCCCGAGTAGCTGGGATTACAGGTGCCCGCCACTGCGCCCGGCTAATTTTTGTATTTTTAGTAGAGATGGAGTTTCATCATGTTGGCCAGGCTGGTCTCAAACTCCTGACCTCAAGTGATCCGCCCACCTTGGCCTCCCAAAGTGCTGGGATTACAGGTATGAGCCACCTCACCCAGCCCAGAGAGTATACTGGTATAACCATAGGCCCAAGGGGACATTCAATATTAACATTCTAAGTACAAAGTTAACAATTTGGAGCAAAATCATGAAATGTCATAAATTCCTTAAGTATCCTGAAACTGAAAGTTATACAGAATCTGCCTAGTACTGATAAGTAGATAAATAGAAAGTACCATTTCAATAAACGTAAAAAATGAAGTTAAGAGGTAAAGATTCCTGCCCATAGTCAACATAAGCAGTAGAATGAGGAACACCCAAAAAGACACATTCCAATTTCCTGTCTTAAATCCAAATCTCCCACGCTACTTTCTATAAATACTTTATTTTCCAACACTGAGAAGAAGGGCTATAGAATCTTCTGTATGTGAAACTAATGAAGCAATAATATCTACCCCAATTCTATTTTTTTTTTTTTTTTTTTTGAGACGGAGTTTCACTCTTGTTGCCCAGGCTGGAGGGCAACGGCACGATCTCGGCTCACTGCAACCTCTGCCTCCCATGTTCAAGCAATTCTTCTGCCTCAGCCTCCTGAGTAGCTGGGATTATAGGCGTGCGAAACCACGCCCAGCTAATTTTTGTATTTTTAGTAGAGACGGAGTTTCACCCTGTTGGTCAGGCTGGTCTCAAATTCCTGACCTCAGGTCATCCGCCTGCCTTGGCCTCCCAGAATGCTGGGATTACAGGCATGAGCCACCACACCTGGCCCAAATTCTAATTTGGATATATGTTGACATCAACTTTCTCATTCAAGGGGTTTTTCATAAAAAGAAGGGAGCGGACAGGTTTGAATGCCTTGCTTGCGCTCCCAACTCCCTGGCTTTACCCTCAGTAAGAACAGCATCTCTGACTCATGGTTGTTGGCATTATTCAAGTCACAGAGTGAGTTTCTCTCAGTATCTGTAAACAGGAAGTGCTATAAATTACAAGTCTACAACGATGATGATAGTTGTAGTCATAGGAATATGTATATGTGTACCACTCTTCAATCACTCAGCTTTTTCCTGGCTTTCTGTGATATCTAAAGCAAGCCAGTTTTTCCCTTATCCTCCTAATGTTGCACAATCAAACACAGTATCAAAAAGGGCTGGGTTGGTGATAATGCATATTAAGCATCTAATTAATACAAATTACAATAAACCTAAGGCTTAAGGAGTATGAATACATAAATACAGAGTCAACTATGATCACGTGTATATTTTTAAGACTGAAAGGTCAACGTGACACAAAGACAGGTGGACACCAAAGATGCTAACGACAAAGCTCCCCTGGATGTGTGCCACTGCCTCAGGGTAGCGAAGGGAGGGTCACGGCAGCTGGTAACTCCTGACAATAGAGAAGCGGGGTGGTCCTAGTGAGTATCTTACCCCTGTCCCCCATGGCTCTGGAGTTTATCAACTGCAGGATTTGCCAGCTCACAACAGTTTTCAGAGGAAGAAATATAGGACGATGCAAATACCTTATCTGGATTCATGTTCTTTTCCCATTACTATTAATTTTTACTTCTATTCACTGAAAAGAAGACATGTGAAAATAATATATGTCTTTTTCTGGGTTTATTGTTATTTCTTTGAAAAAGAAAGACATTTTGAGAAAGACTGTGAAAACTGTAATGCCCTTTCCACATGTTTTCTGATGTGTTTCATCTTTAATCTTATACCCCAGACATATCTGTCTTACTTTGTAATGCTTGTAAGGATTCCAGGCTTTCTGCTTAGTACAGAGTTCACGTAGAGAAGAAGGTTTCATTAATGATAATTAAGGTTGAAGATTATACTGAAATGTTCAAGAGTAAACTAAAATACAATTTTTAAGCAGGGGACAGTGTTCAAATAGGATCTCTGTATTTAGGCTTTGAAAAATCCAGTGGTCAAGTCTTTTTTCTGGGTGGGGAATGGGAAAACAAAATGAAAAGGGGAAAGAAAGGAAAAGGAAAGTAACCTATGTTGAAAGGTGACATGTCAGACTCAGTCTCAGATTTTAAGAAATCTTTTCAAGGTCACATAGAGCTATGTAAGTATTGAAGATGGAATTCTAATTTAAACAAAGTCTACTGGTTCCAAAACCCAGGGATCTCCTGGGATACGAAGCGAGGATATTTTCACTCACATCAACAGCACTGACTGAAGCCTGAAAACATTTGTAGAAAGGATCTAGCTTGAAGAATACTACTACTTGATTCAGTAAGGCCAAACAGGAAAAAAAAAGGAAGGAAGGAAGGAGGAAAGGAGGAAAGGAAGGAGGGAGGGAGGGAGGGAGGGAGGGAGGGAGGGAGGGAGGGAGGAAGGAAGGAAGGAACAGACTACTACTGGATTGCAGCTTATGGCAATTTAGTACACAAAAAACTGCTTTCACATACTTTGGATCCTCAGCATAAGCCTGGGCAGCAGAAAAACCGTTGAAGTGGAGAAATGGTACAAGGTGCAGAGTATAGCTGATAGTTTTTCAGAACTAAGATGGCAAGTAGATAATTATAATTCTGGCAGAGGCATGGGAGTGATGGGACAGTGCATGAGTTCAGTGGAGGAAGAAATAAAAAGTACTAATTAAAATATCTCCTGTTTCTACCAACAAGGCAACATTTTCAACACTACCAGGAAATAAACCTTTCCGTCATTTAGGTCTCAATTAAATGGACAGATTCCTTTCCTTTGGAAACTACAAGGAAGGGTGAAAGTTCATTCTTTCAATCTTACAAGTATATTTATTGAGCATTTACTATGTACCAGGTATAGTTCTAGGTGCTAGAGAGCTTCATTTTAGTGGGGAAAGATAGAGACAACAGATTAAAAAGACAAAATAAATTAGTAAAATATATTTGGTTATGTGGTGATCAATACTATGCAGAAAAACAAAACAGAAGGAAGATGGGTGTTTGGCCTTACTAAGGCCTTACTGAGAAAACGGAATAGAAGTGGAGGCCTGAAGGGAGTGAGGAAATAAGCCATGAAGATATCTGAAGAAAAAAGCTGCCAACAGAGGGGACAGCAAGTCCTGCAGCAAAAGTCTATCCCTTGTGTGTTCAAGAACAGCAAAGCGTGTCCTGGAGTGAAGAAAACAAGGAAGAGAGTATAGTAAGACAGTCCAAGAGAAGACAGGACACCTGATAATGTGGGGTCTTGTAGGCTCGTGTAGCAACTGACTTTTTTTTTTTTTTTTTTTTTTTTGGTGAGATGGAGTTTTGCTTTTGTCACCCAGGCTGGAGTGCAATTGGACAATCTCAGCAGCTCACTGCAACCTCCACCTCCCAGGTTCAAATGATTCTCCTGCCTTAGCCTCCCAAGTAGCTGGGATTACAGGCGTGTACCACCATGCCCAGCTAATTTTTTTTTGTATTTTCAGTAGAGATGGTGTTTCACCATGCTGGTCAGGCTGCTGTCGAACTCCTGACCTCCAGTGATCTGCCTACCTCGGCCTCCCAAAGGGCTGAGATTACAGGCATGAGTCACCATGCCCAGCCTGTTTTTTTGTTTGTTTTTGACAGAGTCACACTCTGTTGCCCAGGCTGGAGTACAGTGGCACAATCTCTGCCCACTGCAACCTCTGCCTCCCGGGCTCAAGTGATTCTCCTGCCTCAGCCTCCCGAGTAGCTGGGATTACAGGTACCCACCACCATGGCCATCTAATTTTTGAATTTTTAGTAGAGATGGGGTTTCACCATGTTGGCCAGGCTGGTTTCAAACTCCTGACCTCAAATGATCCGCCCTCCTCAGCCTCCCAAAGTGCTGAGATTACAGGCGTGAGCCACCACACCTGGCCGCAACTGTGACTTTTAATTTGGGCTTCAATTTTAACAGCTCACTGCAGCCTCAAACTCCTGGGCTCAAGAAATCCTCCCTCCTCAACCTCCTGAGTAGCTGGGACTACAGGCATATGCTACTGTTCCACGTTCTGGAAATATTCTGAAGGTAAGAACTAAAAGGACTTGCTGGCAGTCAAGAAGAGGGATATGACAGAATGATGGCCTAAGCAAAACATTGGAATTACTATCTAGTAAACTCCTGAAGACTGCAGAAGATGGGGGATTGTAGAGGCTAGCTCAGGAGTATGGCTTTGTTTATGTTAAGTTTCAGATTCCTATTAAACATTCAAGTAAAAGTGTCAAGTAGGCCACTGAATTTATGAAGCTTGGGTTCAAGGAAGTCCAAGCTGGATATATAGATTTGGGAGTGTTCAGCATAGATATAGTTTAAAGCCCTTGAGACTTGATTGAGGTCACCAAATTTGAGCATGCTTATGTATAGAAAAGAAAAGAGGGTCACAGATGAAGGCCAAGGCACTTCAGTTTTAGAGGCTGGAGGAGAAGGAGGAACCGGCAAAACGCACTAAGTAGAAACAGCCAGTGGGATAGGAGGAAACCAGAGAAGAGAGGTGTCCTGGAAGTCAAGTAAATGACATTTTTCAAGGAGCAGGGTGTTAACAACTGAATCCAGTGCTGCTGCTAAGTGAAGCAAGACAAGGACTCGGAAGAGACTACTGGGCTCAGCACTGTGGTAATAATTGGTGACCTTGACAACGGCAGTTTGAGGGTGTAAGATGAGGGAAGGCCTGTTTGGAATAGGTTTCAGAAAGAACACAACCACTTCTGGACAACTTTCTTTTTCAAACATTCTTAGATAAGCTTTTTAAATTCTTCCATCAAGTCCCTTACAATTGTAAAAAGCAAGCAACACTAATGTTAATTAAATGTTTAGTGTATATTATAGTAACATATTACTTTTAGGTATGTCAAATTTATGGCATAATAGACATATTTTAATGTGTTGAATGTCTACTTTATAATGCATTAGGGCCTTCTGTACCACATATACTAATTAAACATTTATGTATATTTTATAAAACTTTTAAAGCACAGATAATGAGCTATAGTAGATATAACACCGGTCAGGGAGCCAGGAGATTTGGGTTTTCTAATACAGCATTGGCCAAATCTAGAATTTTTTTTGATATTGAGTACTAAGTTAGCAAAGTAATTTGCACTTATACTTTTCCTGTAGGAAAACATAATCCATTTTATCATATGCTTCCCAGAAACACCCTGTGGAGAAGTGGAGAAGCTGGGTGACTGCCTATGAAGGCAATAAAGAGAATCACAACCCCAAGGGTAAATTTCATAGAACTCAGAGCCAACACTAAGGTAAAACAGAAACCTTCTAAGGAGCACAGAAACACTGGGTGACACAATTCCAGGCCCAAAGTGTTGTGGGGCTGCTGGCCAAGGTAGCCTGTGTCCCAAAAAGGGCCAATTTAGAGGTCCTGCTTCTAGGTGAAGGGCTAAGAATGTGTTCTCTTGGGTGGTAGTAGATCCTTTGGAGGGACCTAGTCCCTCCCCATTTGTTTGCCAATTCCTACAAATTTGGGGGTGGGGAGGTGGTTGCAGGAGACTTTTGAATACAGAATCCTATATGAGATGCTATAGAGAGTTACAGAGAAGAAACTTATCACCTTATCCTAGGAGATGTTTTTGTTTTAGAGAGGGGGTCCCAGTCTGTCGTCCGGGCTGGACAACGCGAGCCAATCATGGCTCACGGCAGCCTTGAACATCTGAGATGTTCCCACCTCAGCTTCGGGAGTAGCTAGGACTACAGGCACCCGCTACCGTGCCTGGCTAGTTAAAAAAAATTTTTTTTCATAGAAACAGATCTCATTTTGTTGCTCAGGCTGGTCTTACACTCCTGGGCTCAAGTGATCCTCCCACCTTGGCCTCCAAAAGCACTAGTATTAAAGGCATGAGCCACCACACCCAGCCTCTGAGAGATATTAAGAAAGCAATAATAGCTGGCATTTATTGAGCTTTTACTGGGTGCCAGATACTATTCTAAGTGCTTTACATATATTACCTCATTATTCCTGACAACAACCTATGAAGTGGATGTTATCAACAGTCCAATTTTACATATGGCCCAAACAAAAGTTAAAGTCATACAGTTATACCTAAAGGTATACAACTAGAAAGTACAGAGCTGAGAGATAACCCAGTCTGGTTCTACAGCCCCTCTCTGATGCATGAAGCCTTCCTCCCAAAATTCCCGAGATGGTAAAAGTTCCTATTTTAAGGGACCAGGCAAAACTGCGGCAAGAGAGAATAGCTTCCCAGTACTAGATTGCACAGAAATACATATAACAAAATCACAGTGCCTTCATAATGCTGATGTTGGTGAGACAGTTTTTGTTAGGCTCCATTGCTGTTTTGTAGGGGCAACATTTTGTCTGTGAATTCCTATAATAACAGAGTCTGGGCCGGGTGCAGTGGCTCACACCTGTAATCCCAGCACTTTGGGAGGCCGAGGCGGGCAGGTCACGAGGTCAGGAGTTCGACACCAGCCTGGCCAACATAGTGAAACCCCGTCTCTACTAAAAATATAAAAATTAGCTGGGCATGGTGGTGCCTGCCTGTAGTCCCAGCCTACTCGGGAGGCTTGAACCTGGGAGGCGGAGGTTTCAGTGAGCCAAGATCACGCCACTGCATTCCAGCTTGGGCAAGAGAGCGAGACTTCATCTCAAAAAAAAGTCGTACTATATATATATTTAAAATAAAAACAGAAGTACTAAGTACATGGAGAGGAAGAATACACCCAAAGAAGTTAATATGATGACCCCAGAAGCTTCACCCAGTCCACACTGTTTAACAACAGATGTCCCTCCTGTGAAGAAGGAAAGTTGGAGGTCATATAGAACAGACTCATTTGTACTCTTTTTTTTTTTTTTTTTTTTTTTTTGAGATGGAGTTTCGCTTTTGTTGCCCAGGCTGCAGTGCAATGGTGCAATCTCGGCTTACCGCAACCTCTGCCTCCCAGGTTCAAGTGATTCTCCTGCCTCAGCCTCCTGAGTAGCTGGGATTACAGGCATGTGCCACCATACCCAGCTAAATTTGTATTTTTAGTAGATAGGGGTTTTTCCATGTTGGTCAGGCTGGTCTCAAACTCCCAACCTCAGGTGGTCTGCCCGCCTTGGCCTCCCAAAGTGCTGGGATTACATGTGTGAGCCACCGCGCTTGGCCCATTTGTGCTCTTAAAACATAAAAGGATCAAGGATTTTTTAAAAAAAAATTGTAAGAAACTCAAGCTAGACAGAATCATCTTAATTTCTGCTATGTTTGTGAAGCAAGTATTGACTTGGCAGGCAAATGGATTGTGGTGGTATGACTTTGTAACACAATGGACCACATGAACAATTTAACAAACAAAGCTAGAATTCTATACTAACTTTATCAGAGAAGAAAAATTCAGGCTGCTGTGAGGGGAATCAACAGAGACTGAAACCCTGACACTGACAGACAAATGTCCTCTGAAGCCAATATATAACACACTTAAGATTAGTTTAGGCTGGTCTTGCTTCTAGGTGAAGGGGTGAGAATATGTTTTCCCTGGCTCAACTTACCACACCTCAATGCCTACAGATGTGTTATCACCTAACTGTTCACTTGTTTCTGTCATGTGTTTTCATGTTCATTTCACAATGCATGCCCTGCCCCTGTCTCACTTTCCCCTTATTCTGGCATATCAACTCGTATTTCCCAATTTCCCACTATAAAGGGCATACAGTGCTACCACTTCCTCTCTCCTCCAAAATAGCTTCTCCACCATTCTCACTCATTATAGGGATTAGCAAGCAGGCAGCTGCTCAAGCCAGAAATCAGGAAGTTGGCCCTGAACACACTCTCTTTGTCTCTCTCTCTCTTTCTCTCGCTCACTCATTTCCACCTCTTACCCACATGCACACATCCAATTAATCGCCAAGTCCTAAACTGGCTTCCTTCTAAATCTCTCAAATCTATTTACATCTCCTGCCCTTGTTGCTACGACCTTAGCCTCCTAGCTAGCATCTCTTCTCTCATCAAAATTACTAAACAGTCTCCTTACTGGTCTCCCCATCCACTCTGAGCTCCCTCTAATCCACTCCACACCTCTGCCCAGGGGTATGATTCTTCAAAACGGAGCGGTTTTGAAAGATACAAATCTGCTTGTGTCATTCCCCTGCTTAAGTGGTTTCCTGCCTCTACAGGCTGCATCAGTGTGACCTAATCTGCTCTTGCCTTTGGTCACTGTGCTCTCTTCTTAACAGGCTTCTCCCAGTTCTTCACACTGGGTACCTGATCACTAAGTGCTGGACCTTCTTTGTCCATACCTTTTTGCCTTTCCTTATCTACCTCAGCTCTAATAGCAAAGAGCCAGGCTTAACCATCTAGAAGAGGTTAAATCCCCTGGCCATGTGTCTTCATTGGACGTTTTGTGCTTTCCTTCAATGACTGTCTACTTCATGGGAACTAATACTCTGAGAACAGGGATCAGTCATGTTTGTGTTATTCACTACAGTAAATTCCTGGAGTCAGCACAGTGCCTGGCGTGCTTGATAAGTATTTTGTGAATTTACTCCAGAATCATAAAAGAATCATATGGCTGGATGGAAATTTCCTGGTTACTTAGTCCAGCCCACTGCTGATACTTCAATTCTCTTCCTCTAGAGAACTGGAGTCTTTCTTATAGCATATAGAATAATTAGTTAACAAATATTAATAAGGAAAATGGTTGTTGTGAAAAAATGTAAAGTATCCTACGGCCTAGTGATTACGAGCTTGGACTCTGGAGCCAGACCACCCAAGTTAAAATCCTAGCTTTGCTACTCACTAATTATGTGATTTTGGGCTTCTTACTTAACCCCTCTGTACTTCAGACTCCACATCTATAAAATGGGGATAAAAAGGGTACCTTTTTCATAGGGCTGCTATGAGGATTATACAGACTGTTATGTTGGTGTTGGCTACTATTATTATTACTTGGTTTTATATTAAGTGTATGCCACAATTTAAATGTTAAAACAGCTTTATGGAAATGGGCTGACTTGTCAAATACAGTGCTAAAAAGCTACTTGCCCCCATGGTAACTTTTCACTAACTAAAAGAAGATTTATTCATTTATTCATACATAATTAGAGTCATTATTTCTACTTACTGATATCTAGATCCAGTTCTCTTCCTTCTGGACACATGGAAGACTAAATTTCCTATTCCTCTTTGGCTGGCTGGGGCCATGTAAATTGTGAGTGGGAGTGGCAGGAGTCCTGTCTGAACTGGAATATTGAATTGCTAGAGTGAGACCCTCTAGAGCTCTTTTTCCCCTGACTCTGTGATCATGGAAGCATGTATTGAGTCTCTGTCAGCGTGGGTCCCTGAGTAACTACAATGAACAAAGACCCTACCAATTCTTACTGAATTTGTTGTATGAGTGAGAAATATGGCACTAAGATTTTTAGAGTGGTCTATAACTACAGTATAACCTAGCCTATTCTGACTGATATAGTAACATCTGCAGGCTATTACTTTCTTAATCAATCCATAGGAGAGAAAACCTTGATAGGATTCTTTGGTCTTAACTATTTTTCTGTTGACTATCCTCATATTTGACCAGAGTTAATCTGAAGAGTTTAATAAAAGGCTGGAGAAAGTCAAAGTCTACCAGGAAGGGAAGTGACCAACCAACCAGTGGTATCAAGTTAATGTAAGATGTGTCAGTCTGAAAGAGAGTTAGTGTAATCCAGTGAAGTCTCCTCCAAGTCAGACTGTCTAGTATTATCATTTTATTATTCTGTAGTATTACACATTCAAAGAATATGGGAGATTCTATCTGTTTATGAAACACATTCCTAAAATAGACTTGTTAAAAAAATATTCTTTTTGGGTTATCTGTATCATCACAGTTTTTTCATTAAATACAGACATGAACTGAAAAAGAAAAATGTCTAAATGACTATATATTGAAAGAAAAAATGTCATCATCAGATCTTAAAAATGAGAATGTGGAATTTACAATTCCAGAAGACATTTGTATTGATACTGTTACCATATAATCTGGCAAGATGAGTATGGTGGGAAGGACAAAAGGCCACATGCTTATCTCTTGGCTAATATAAAGTTATTGAGAGGCTAAATATAGAATATCATGCCAAGTACTGCTGAAAAGGAAAAGAAATTAGAAAACTCATTTCTAGAAGCACATAATTTAGACGGTAGTTGAAAGAGTATATTAAATGTTTGTAATGCAATTTCTATCCCCCTTAGACAGAGGCCTTACTGGTCCTCTGAGGAAAGTTCTCACTGAACCCAAGGGTAAAAGATTAGAGCAAAACAAAAAGTAAGACACGTGAGTAGTGAGGGCTCCACTCACATGGCTCAGATAACTGCAGACTTGCCACTTTCTAGCAGAAGTATGTGGGCAGCTGAAGACACAGCACATTCAGTCAGTGTAAACCATCACAAGAGATTGACCACAGAAAGGTAGCCCCTTTAAATGCACCCTGTACTTCTGCCATGTAGCATAGGTAATCATAATTAAACAACTAGTTTTTTTTTTTTTAAGAGTGAGGTTAAGAGCAGAAGTTTAATAGGCAAAAGAAAGAGAATAGCTCTCTGATGCAGAGAGGGGTCCCGGAGAAATGGGTTGCCCTAATCAACTAGTTTTATAAGGATTTGTTGAGAGTCTGTCTCTACCAGTGGACTGTGAGGTAGCTGTTCACTTTTGTTTCTGTCACGTGTTTTCACATTCATTTCACAAGGCATGCCCTGCCCCTTTCTCCCTCTCCCCTTATTTTGGCATGTCCACTCGTATTTCCCATTGTTTCATGGAACGACCCTAGTCACACTGATACTTGGCATTTATTGAGTGGTAACTCTATGCCAGGCACTGATATAAATTTTTACATTTATGAGTTCACCTAATCCTGGCAATAATTATGAGGCAGGGTCGAGCTTTAGCCATATTTTACAGACAGGGAAATTAAGGCTTAAACAAGTAGCTTACCTAAGGTCATATAGTTGAACTTGAACCCAGTTTGTTGGACGTCAAAGCCAATGCTCACTATACTACACTAAATAGCTAGGCAGAGCGGGATCAGTCTTTCTAGCACGTACTGCAAAGTCCTAAAGTGAAACCCTGCATACAAATCTAGACAAATTAAACCAGGGCAGGCAAAATTCCTGTACACATGGCTAATTAGAAAGTCTGAATGATCCTCAAAACTCCTTGGTTTAAAAAAAATCAGTACTAATAATTCTTCAGTGCAACATTCATATTTTTCTTCTTTAATGGCATTTCACAGCTCACCAAACAATTGTCATTGCTTAGATTTTTGCAAAGAGTACTTGACCACAGTATTTGTTGTTTAGCAAGTAAATGAAAATATATCGAGATCTGTAAATGTTGGCTAGTACTGAAAGAAAATGTTGCAGCAGAGTGAAGACTCAAAAAAATCCTGCTGGTTTGTCAGCATGGAAACATGCATGGCCCATCCATTAGAGATACAGAATTTGGGTCACTGTATATAGCAATTCGTTACAATTCGGCTGTCAATTTTGGGATCAGAAAAATGAGAAGAGGCTCAAAGGACTTTTCAATCACCTGACGTAACAAGCAACGAACAAAAGACATTGCAAATAATTCAGCAAAGTCAAAAAGAACCTTAAACATTAGTAATATTTGGAAACTGTGACTGAGTTCATGTAAAGCGCACTGACATCCTTATTCTAGAAGAAAAACACCAGCAGGAGAAGAAACAAGAGCTCTAACAGTCATCAACAATTTAGCATGTTGCTAAAGAGCAAGAAAGTGGAAAAATTCAAGGATGTTACAGTACAGACTCTGTACCATCATACTGAACTTTGACACAAAAGAGCTAATTACTAGACATCTTTTCTCAGCAATTAAGATTACAAAGCAAGAAAAAATATGGAGCTGCCTGCCTCGGGAAGAAGAAAAAACCCTGTATCTCTTCCTTCTTTTTCCCTATTCACCAGCCTCTTTATTGGAAGAAGGCTGTACAATGTAGTTTATCATGTCAGAAAAACATCTCATCTTAACATGATTGATATTTAAGCTTTTCCAGGGTAAAGTTAAAGAAGCTGGTGGGATACAAAAAGTAAATTAAAGTTTTAGTCATAGGATGAGTGAAGACTGGAGAAAGATACGTGGACATTTGGTCCTCATTCAATAGCTTTAAAACGGATCTCTGGACCTATATTCACATAACTCTCCAAAAGGCAATTTATGGTTTAAATTCAGCTTGTTCAGTTGCAGCTCTGGTTAACTCCAGAGCTCAAGCCTTGTTACAGTAATCAGGGTGTGTCAAGGGACATACGGGAGGAACCAAAGGGATGGAAATGGCAAACTTTGCTTCATCCCCAGCCAAAGCCTCTCTTCCGCAACCAAAATTCTCCACAATAGTGTATCACTTTGTCCCACCTGAAAGTACCTGGAATGAGGGGAAAGCACAGATAACTTCTCTAACCTTACACATGCAAAATCCTTATCAAATGAGGAAAGGAAAGGTAAAAGAAAGAGAAGGAGAGGGGAGAAAGAATGCAATGTAAGAGGGAAGGTGACGGTGGGAGATAAATATTTTTGTAAGCCAAGGTATAGAGTAAAATTAAACATGGAAGGAAAAAGGACAAAGACAGTATTCTAGCTTATTATATTCCATTCTTAAATTTAGTAGCTGACAACTACCAAGCACACTAAAGGCCAGTTCCTATCCCGCTCTTTTTTTGCTTGCATATCATCCCTCTCTTTTTTTGAGACAGTCTCGCTTTGTCTCTGCACTCCAAGCTGGAGTACAGTGGTGCAATCTTAACTCACTGCAACCTGCACCTCTTGGGTTCATACAATTCTTGTGCTTCAGCCTCCTGAGTAGCTGGGATTACAGCCGTGTGCAACCATGCCTGGCTAATTTTTGTACTTTTAGTAGAGACGGGGTTTTGCCATGTTGGCCAGGTTGGTTTCCAACTCCTGGCCTCAAGTGATCCGCCTGCCTCGGCCTCCCAAAGTGCTGGGATTACAGGCATGAGCCACCGCACCCGGCCCCTTGCTGGCATATAATCTCTTAATAAAGGTTATTCCATTCAGCCCCTTGTCCCCAGAGTTCTATTATAGTATTTATGAGGACCATATGAGAAAATAATTGATATAACCACATGGCCCATCTGGGTACTATTCAATCACAACTCAGAGACCATGGAGTAATAGTGTTTAGTTCTGGGTGCTACACTTTACAAAGGTCATAAAAAAACTGGAATGCACTCAGAGGCAAGTGTTTAGGACAAAGAAAGAACTCAAAACCAAAACAAGAGAGGACCTGCATCTGTTCAGCTTACAGAAGAGAGGCCTTCCAACACTTGAAGGGCTCTCATAAAAGAAAAACCTGGTTACTGTTTTTCAAGGGGGAAGAGCTAAAATCACAGGTAGAAGAGGCAGAGAAATTTCAGCTCGATAAAAGGAAAAAGATTTCTAAGCAGCAAGTCTACTCAAAGAAAGAATAGTCTGCCTCAAAAGACAGAGTCTCACCTGGAATAGACAAAGCAATCTTGAGCAAAAAGAACAAAGCTGGAGGCATCACACTACCTGACTTCAAAATATACTACAAAGCTACAGTAACCAAAACAGCACAGTACTGGCATAAAAATAGACACATAGACTAGTGAACAGAATAGAGACCCTAGAAATAAATCCACACATTTACAGCCAACAAATTTTTGACAAAAGTGGCAAGAATATACAATGGGGAAAGGGCAGTCTCTTAAAAAAAAAATGATGCTGAGAAAACTAGATATCCACATGCAGAAGAATGAAATTAGACCCTTATTTCTCACCATATATAAAAATAAACTCAGCTGGATGCAGTGGCTTATGCCTGTAATCACAACACTTTGGGAGGCCAAGGTAGGAGGATTGCTTGGGCCCAGGAGTTCGAGACCAGTCTGGGCAACGTAGTGAGACCTCATCTCTATTTTTTTAAAAAAGAAAAAAAAAAGATAAAAATCAACTCAAAATGGATTGAAGCCTTAGATGTAGAACCTGAAATGATAAAACTACTAGAAGAAAACAGAGGGGGAAAGCTCCATGACATTAGTCTGGGCAATGATTTCCTAGGTATGGCCTCAAAAGCATAGCCAACAAAGGTAAATAAATATAGACAAATGGGATTACATAAAACTAAAAAGCTCCTTCTGCACTCCTATGTTCATTCCAGCACTATTCATAACAGTCAAGATATGGAATCAACCTAAGTGTCCATCAATGAATGAATGGATTAAAAAATGTGATATAGATAGATACATAAATGGAATACTATTCAGCCATAAAAAGAAGGAAATCCTGTTATTTGGATAAGTCTGAAGAACATTAAGTTAAATGAAATAAGCCAGGCCAGAAAGACAAATACTGCAGGATCTCACTCATATGTGGAATCTAAAAAAGTTGATCATATAGAAGTACAGAGTGAAATGGTGATTACCAGAGGCTGCGGTGTTTAGCAGGGAGGAGAAGATGGGGAAATGCTAGTCAAAGAATACATATTTACAGTTAGACAGAATAAGTTCAAGAGATCTACTGTACAGTACAGTGACTACAGCTAATGACGATTTACGGCATTCTTGAAAAACGCTGAGAGAGTGGATGTTATGTGTTCTCACTACAAAAATGATAACTATGTGAGGTAATGCATTAGTTAGCTAGATCTACTATTCCACTAAGTATAATACTTCAAAACATCATGTTGTACATGATAAATACAAACAATTTTATGGGTCAATTAAAAAGAAAGAAAAAAAAGAAGATGATGACAAAGTCCCAGTTCAGGCAACAGGGAGACAACTACTTAGCAGAGATGCTTAGAGAGAGATTTAAGTACTAACTGAATGTCCAGGATCAGGTTAGTGCTTCTCTAAGTGTTGTTCAAAGACAAACTGAATTAACCATCGACTTATAAAAAAATGTAAATTTAGCAAATAATAGAAGTTCAGAAAATAATGCAAGTTCCTGAATCACTCTCTGGGTTCCGTGACTCAGAAGGGGACAATGCTTGTGAATGTGCATTCTAACAAGGTCTCCAGGTGATTCTAATGTACACTCAAGGTTAATAACTAGACTAGTTGACCTTTGAAGCTTCATCTATCACTTATCCTCTAATATCACTGGGCTGTCCAAATAGTTTCCCTGCTTTCATCACTTTGTTTGTTGCCTCTGTGAGAAACTTACCCTCACTCAGGTTTCACTAACCTCTTCTCTATTGAAAGTCTACCCATTCCTTCAAGATGAGCTAAAATGAGTCAGTGATTCTTTTCTGCTTTTCCAATCACATATGATCCCCGATTACTCTAAACCTCTGTACCACTACTTTGTACCACACCAACGGAACTTGTTACTGCACACTAGAGTTAATAATAGTCACCTATCACTATAAATACTTTGAGGGAAGGATCTCTGTCTCATTCCCCATTTTATTCTCATTGCCCAGACACATACTGTGTTATAAACATAACTTGACAAATACTTGCTCAATGAATAAATGTAGATATTTTGTGCTTACTAAAGTGCAAGTTCTTTGAAGACAAGTGCTCATCTCTATCACTGTAGTCCTAGCACAGTGCTTAGACAAGAAGGTCTGATAAACCTTGACTCAAACTAACTTATGAGTAACTGACATTTTCTTTCAGCGTTCTCAGGTAACAAGCAATTTTTACAAACAGTTGTCTCAGACAGTACCCATTGTTACCTCTTATAACTCCCACTCACCTTAAATACATATCTTAATACTGTTTGAAAATGGCAAACATTGTTGCAGAAGAGAGGCAAAAGAGTACACTCCTCTTTCTTCTATAGAACAAGGATGATGGTGACCACATATGAAGACGATGATAGTACCCAAGTGCCATGTTTACTACTGGTATTTGTTGCCAAGTCTTGATTCATCCTTGATAATTTCTGTTCCATCCACCTCTCTTTTTCATTCCCATCTGACACTGACTGTTCTATGAACTGCACTCTGAAAAGTAACCATCAAATTTCTAATAATCAAAACCAGTGGTCATTGATCCTTGGGTTTGCAAAGTTTTAGTTCATGTACCTGAAAAATACTGTCTGTAGTGTACTTGAGGAGAGAAGACTCTGATATATTTTACAATGTGAGCATCTTAAGAACTACAAATTTTTTAAAGTCCTCATTCTTTGAAAACTTTAAAAAGTCCTCAGCCCTTCCAATGTAGAAGAGCTCTTTTACCTAACGCTTTTAATTGGAACTATTCTACCTGGTTCCATCCTCTACTCCCTGTTCCATTTCTCCATTTTATCCTCACAGATAACAATAACAGGAACAACACTTCTACTAATAATAACTATCATTAATTGATGTCACTAAACTATGTATTTTACAAACTGTGGTTAATTTTTATAAGACTATCATATTATTCTCCCCATTTTCAAATGAGGATTCCTATGCCCCAAAAAGGTCAAGTAACTCAGTCCCCAAGAGTACACCACTACTAAGGGATTAATTTGGGATTCCAACCCATATCTATTTAGTTCCAAAGCCAATACAGTATACCACTATACTATGCTGTCTCTTAACAACATTAATAACTTCAATTACTATTGCAATCATTTTGAAACTTTGAAATTGCTAAGTTTAACAAAAACCGTGTTTTAGTAAGATAAATCTAGTGATGATGTTCAGGATGGATCAGAAGGAAATTAACTGGATGTTGGAAAAATCAATTAAAGATGTAATAATTTAGGCCTGAGTCCATAATGCTCTGCATTAGGATGCTGGCAATGAGAATGGAAAAAAAAAAGATGAATATAAGAGAAATTATGAGAGATGAATGAAAAGAACTTGGCAACTGCTTAAACATATGAAGAGTAGAAAGGAATCAAAGCTGATTTAAATTGTAGGTCTATGTGACTAAGAAACAAAAGGGGTGCCATGAAGTGAAATAGGTAAAACAAGGGGAGAAAAATGATAAATTTCTTGTTACTATTATTGAAAGTAAAACAATGATATGACTTAGATGTAGGAAGGTGATCACTTTGTAATACATCTATCTTTAAAATAAGAGTAAAAACACCATTATGCCTTTTCCTTAATGTGATACGGAAACTGAGGAAAAGGACATCAATTCACATAAAAACACAGATCTCTGACTGGAGTAAATACTCGTGTTTTCCTTGTATGCAATCCCTTTCTCTTCCTAACTTGTAAGAAGTGCAATGCCTGCAAATTCCAATACCATTCATTCAAAGGAAATAGCTAATAGGTCTCATCTGTTTAGCTAGAAAGCGTATAACAGATCCTTCATAAGAAGACCACAGACAATAGTTTGAGTGAAAATTTATGCAAAGTAACAGACTAGTAATAGTTTTATACCAGCAGGGCTTCATGTCTCATTATTTTATACAGACCACTAATAGAGTTTAGTATTAGAATTTGAAAAGGAACAGAAAATGGAAAGCTCTCCCCGTAGAATTTATTGTCATCTTTCAGCTATTATATGGGTTTCATTATGGATTTCTATTCCAAGGCGTTATTCTTTGTTTTATTTTCAAAATGTGGCTCATACTTTTAAAATGGCTTTCTGGGAAACCTCCACATTTGCATGAATTCAAATGAAACTCCGTTCTCTGTTGTCATCATTCTGTTCAGCAGCTTGTTACATATTTTATAGGGTTAGGAAGTGATTAACAGTGGACTCCTCTACAGCATTCCATAAAACAACAAAATCACCAGTAAGGATCAGCAAAGTAAACATCAGAGTGGTTTTAAGTATTTGGTTTTATCACTTTTAAATGACAAGTTTTTTTAAAATGCTATGATATAGTTGAGGGTGTAGCTACAGCAACACCCCCCTGAGGACAGCCTGACAACTGGATAGATTCTGTGTAAAGAATGCCCCTTAGTTACTTAGCTCTTCAACATTCTCTTATGATCTCAACTGGAACATCAAATGTCCCTCTGCCTATCATCCCAAATGGAGAGAGAAGATGATAAAGGGAATTAAAATGCTACAACTGCAATAACCGCTATATAAATAAATCAAGCTGCTTTTTGGAAGAAGACATTGGAAAAAGGGATAAGTTTCAAATAGTGGGCGAATGTTGAAGACACATTCCAAATCCAAACTTGTATATTCTATATATTTAAGAAATAGAGCGATACACACCACACCAGGTCGTGCATCAGCAGGACAAAAGTGGCTCCTTTTTATTGAGGGAGATAATAGAAAAATAAATGCTAGGAAGTGTTTCAAAGGAGATCAAAAGGTGCAGTGATTAATGACTCTGATGTACTTCAAAATGAAAATTCTTCAAGCAAGTAGGTTTGGGTTTCAAGTAATTAACCTAACACTTGAACAATGGACTGTTACAAAATATAATGAAGTTAAGTACAAAACACTGTCTGATAAATGTTAACTCAATGTTCATGTCCTCTGGCGGACACAGCTATTTTATTGCATATAAGGACAAACTCTTAAAAAACGGGGGAAATATATTATTATACACCTTATTAGTTGAATTATTTTTGAGGTTAGAGAGTTTAAAGTTTACATATGGAATGTTGGATCATAAAGCACTGAAAATTGTCCCACTCTTAAGAAAATTCAAATTTAAAGACATCTTTTCACAGTGGTTTTTAAGAAGCATCATTACCATAATTAAATATTGGCCCTATATTTAATTATCTTAAATATAGGGCCAATATTTAATTATCTTAAATATAATATAATTAAATATTATATGTGGTGGCTCATGCTTGTAATCCTAGCACTTAGGAGGCCGACACATGAGGCTCACTTGAGACTGAGAGTTCAAGACCAGCCTGGGCAACATAGTAAGACCCCATCTCCACAAAAAATTTTAAAAACTAGCTGGGCATGGTGGTGTGTGCCTGTTGTCCTAGCTACTGGGAGGCTAAGGTGGGAGAATTGCTTGAGCCCAGGGGCTTGAGGCTGCAGTGAGCTATGAATGATCATGCCACTGTATTCCAGCCTAGAAGACAGAGCAAGACTCTGTCTCTTAAAAAAAAAAAAAACACTAAATTTCAGAAATAATCAAGTTCATGATAAAATGAAACCTCACTCATTTAACAAAAGCTAATATAAATGAGGAGAATTAATACAACATTATCAGCTTAAAGAAAGTCATTGCCATCTGGACTGTGCAAGAGGAACCAACACTTCCTATAACCAGATACCTCTGTTCTGGAAAGAAGAATAAAACTGATTTTTGTTGGCCTTCCAGCACAACAAGCATTATAATGAAACAAACAAAATAAATAAATAAATAAATATTTACTCAATACCTAAAGAGCACTGTCCATGATCTTTTTGCTTTCATTTTAAGTGTATTTTAAAATTTACAGATAGTAAAAGTCCCCCTTTTGGTGTACTGTTCTATGAGTTTAAAAAATGCAGAGACTCATGTACTTACCACCACAACAATCACAAAACAGATCCATTACCCCAAAACTTGGGCTGCCTTTTTGTAGTGAAATTCTCACCTCACCCTTAACCCTGGCAAACACTGATCTGCTTTCCATTGCTATCATTTTGCCTCATTTTTTTCTTTTGAGATGGGGTCTTGCTTTGTTGCCCAAGCTGGTCTTGAACTCCTGTGCTCAGGTGATCTTCCTAACTCAGCTTCCGGAAGTCTTGGGATTACAGGCGTAAGCCACCGTGCCCAGCCTCATTTTGCCTTTTATAGAATGATATATAAATGGAATCATACAGTATGTAGCCTTTTGAATCTTGCTTTTTTCACTTAGCATAAAACATCTGAGATACATACATGCTGTTGTGTGTGTAAGCTGCAAATTCCTTTTTATTGTGAGTAGTACTCCATAATATGGATATACCACAGATTTTTCACCCATTTATGGATTGAAGGGGTATTTCAGTTACATCCAGTTTTTGTCAACTTTTTTGTTTGTTTTTTTGTTTCTGAGAAGGAGTTTTACTCTTGTTTCCCAGGCTGGAGTGCAATGGCGCGATCTCGGCTCACCGCAACCTCCACCTCCTGGAGTAGCGGGGATTACAGGCATGCGCCACAACACCCGGCTAATTTTGTATTTTTAGTAGAGATGGGGTTTCTTCATGTTGGTCAGGCTGGTCTCTAACTCCTGACCTCAGGTGATCCACCTGCTTCAGCCTCCCAAAGTGCTGGGATTACAGGCATGAGCCACTGCACCTAGCCCTTTTTTTTTTCTTTTTTTTCTTTTGAGACAGAGTCTTGCTCTGTAGCCCAGGCTAGAGTGCAGTGGCGCCATCTTGACTCACTGCAGCCTCTGCCTCCGGGGATCAATCAAGTCATTCTTCTGCGTCAGCCTCCTGAGTAGCTGGGATTACTGGCATGTGCCACCACGCCCTGCTAATTTTTGTATCTTTAGTAGACAGGAGGTTTCACCATGTTGGCCAGGCTGGTCTCAAACTCCTGACCTCAAGTGATCCACCTGCCTCAGCCTTCCTAAGTACTGGGATTACATGACTGAGCCACTGTGCCCGACTTGTTTTTGTAAACTATTAATAATGTTGTTGTAAACATTCTTATTCAGGTTTTTGTGTGAACGTACGATTTCACTTGTCTAAGGAGTGAAATGGTGGTATCATATGGAGGTTTATGTTTAACTTTGTAAGAACAACTATTTTTCCAAATTGGTTATACCATATTGCATTCTTACCAGCAGATTCCAGATGATCCCCATCCTGACAGGACTTGGTATTATCAGTTGTTTTGTTAATAAAGTCATTCTATTAGCTGGGTAATAGTTATCTTATTATGGTTTTTGTTATCTCAGTGTGGTTTTAATCTGCATCACCCTAATGACTAATGATAATGGGCATCTTTTCATGTGTTTGGTTGCCATCTGGATATCTTTGTGCCTGTTCAAATATTTGCCCTCTTTTCTTAAAAAAAGTTGGGTTGTCTGTTTAGTTACTTTTAAGTTTTGAGAGTTCTTTATATATTTTGGGTATAAACCCTGCGTCAAATATCTGGTTTGCAAATACTTCCCCCCCAAACTAGTCTTTTTTACTTATCTTCTCAAATATCAGCTAGTTAAAGAAATATATCATTCCCCTGCTCAAACAATTTGCCATACCCTTTCACTAAATTATCTGGCCTAGCATTATAAAAAGCACTTTGAAGGAAATAAATACAGTGACATGATAAAGATAGAGTTATCAGGAAAGAGTCTCTGAGGTGATATTTAAACTAAGGTCCAAATGATAAGAAGCCAGACAGAAGAATATCCAGCGAGAGAGAAGAGCAAAGCAAAAGCGCTAGGGTGGGAAAAATGTTGGCAAATTCAAGGACAAGAAGGTAGAACATCCTGGCTGGAGCTCAGTCATGGGGGCAGAATGAGATAGGAGATGAGGACAAAGAAGCAGAGGCAGACAGCAAACCATTTAAGGTCACATAGGCCTTGGAGGGATTTGGAGGTGAGACACCAATGAAGAGTTTTATGCAGAGAGTAATTTGACCCTGCTTAACTTTAAGAAAATTTATCTGGCTGCCACATAAATACTTTACTGGAAGACCAAGCAAGAAGACCAGTTAGAAGGCTCCCACAGTCTGGGCAAGAAATGGTGTTGGTGTCAACTACAGTGGTGTTAGTGCAGATTGCAGTAGATGGATTTAAGGTATATTTTAGAGTTAAAACCAATATGACTCTCCAAAGGACTGAAATGTGAAGAGTTAATTTTTTTTTTTTTAAAGGCAGGATCAAGGATGAGTCCTAAGCTTGGGGACTAAAAAATAGGATGGATAATAGTGACATTTAGTGGGATGGAGAATAACTGATTGGAGGAGTGAAAAATCAAGACTTCCATTTGGGAAGCTTGAGATGCCTAAGAGATAGTACAATAGAGATTTTAAGACAATGGCTAGAACACAAGGGAGAGAGGCCTGGCCAGAGAGATTAAATTTGAGAGCTAGGAGCATATACATGTATAAGAAAGGAGAGTATAAGTAGAGAAAATAGGGAGTTCAGGATGAATCTCTTAAGCACTCCAACATCATACTGAAATTATCAGTTTACATGTCTCTCCCCCAACTGGTCTGTTAGTTCTTCGGATCCACAGATCATGTCTTTTTCATATCTGTAATTAACAAATCGTATTGCCTGATACTTAATAAGTGCTTACTAAGTGTTGCGGAACTCACACAGGCATGATATGTAAGGGAAGATGATATCATCATGTATGTGGCGTATAAGGATTGCTGAAGACAAACAACCCTAAGGAGACTGTAGTCCCAGAGAGCAAGCTTTACGCGCCAGATTTTGCCATATCCATGATGGGCAACTAGTCTCTCAAGCAAAAAGGAGCCCTTCAAAACAGCAGATTATTGTTTCCTATAACACGATTGGAAAAAAACAAAACAGATTAAAATATTTGTTTGCAAGTAAAAGAAATCACTTTTCACCTAGAATTATTCTGAGGGTTCTCTTTTCTACTAATTTTAAATTCCTACCTGCAAAATGAGTTCTTTCATTAGAGTTTACAAGCTAATATGTCAGATAACCAGGGTAAATTGAGACTGAATATTTTCTATTTGATAATCTGAGTATGAACAACTCCTCATGTTCCTAAAAACGCAAAAGGACCCAGTAGTCCCTGCACTGCTGCCCTACATTCCTTCCACATTTGATTTGTCCTCCCAAAAGACTCAGGAAATAGCCTTCCCTAAAAGGCTTAGAAAATAGCCTAAACAAAAGCTCAGGATAATCCTATCATGATATAAGATTCCCCTCCTCAACAGTCTAGCTTTATTGGAAGGAAAAATGTAACATCATAACTCAGCAAAAACTAGAATAGACAGATCCCTAACAGGAAGAACTAACCAAAGATACCTGACATCATTCTAGCAGTTTTCAAAATATACTGTGAGTTTTCACTGTAGCAACATATTTCTACACAAACAACACACACAAAATCTCACTTTGTGGTCAGAAGCAAGGTCATCTGGATTATTTGAAAAATGGCAAATGGCAAAGTACCACTTATATGAATAATGGTAAATTGAAGAATATATTGATTCTGTTTCCCCCCTCCTTATAACAAATGAGAATACACAAAAAATTTAAGTATGACAAAAAAAGGCCATTTTATGAGCATCTTTGCCAGTTGAATACTTTAATTATATGACATCAAATGTTCTATTAAAGGTATTATTTCAAAGATGCCAGGCAAAGCGTAATTCATGCTATATAAAAGTCTGACCATGCTTTTATTTTTTATTTATTTTTATTTTTTGGAGACAGAGTCTCACTCTGTTGCCCAGGCTGGAGTGCAATGGTGTGATCTCGGCTCACTGCAACCTCTGCCTCCTGGGTTCAAGCAATTCTCCTGCCGCAGCCTTTCAAGTAGCTGGGATTACAGGTGCGCACCACCACGCCTGGCTAATTTTTGTATTTTTAGTAGAGACACGGTTTCACCATGTTGGCCAGGCTGGTCTCGAACTCCTGACCTCAGGTGATCCCCAGCCTCGGCCTCCCAAAGTGCTGGGATTACAGGCGTGAGCCATGTGCCTGGCTATGACCACCCTTTTATAACAAAGACATTTATCACTGAATATCCATGAGCTCTCCCACAATTCTCCAGCTAGTTTGCAGTTAGGTGAAGTCATGTTACTGGTTCTGGCCAATGGGTTGTGAGTTGAAGAACATACCACTTTCATGCTGAAAAATGTAAATGCTGGTGTATGAATCATCAACTCTGGCTTCCCATGCTGCAGTGCTGAAGGAAGCTACATGTTCCAGATAGTACAGCTATAAGAGGATAGAGCCTCCATTAGCCTAAGTCCCTGAGAGCCTACGAGGAACAGAATCCTTGACCTATGGCAGATGTGTAATGTCAACAAGAAATAGACTTTTGTTATGCTAAGTTACTGAGATTTTGTTTTTGTTGCTGTTATTACAATACAGCTTAGCCTATCCTTACCAATACACCTTCACAGTTAAAAATTATGTTCATAATTTGCTCAAAAAACCCACTTCACACTGCACACAGGTACATTTAATTTGCAAGTATAATTATTTGCAAAGACCATTTATTTTAAAGTAGAAGTCAATATGTAGCCTTTGATTTTAAAAGAGCCATTTTATTTCTTACTGTGACCTCCAGAATTGATTTGTCTACCGTGGTTTTACAACATTACGAGAACAGAGTTTTAGCTTTGTATTATTTCATTTCTTTCATCATTTTAGAAGATCATCTCAAGCTAGCTTATGATATAAATTTCAATTAGAAAATCCTAGCAAAACAGTCTATTTAACAGAGTGGGAAGTCAATGCTAATACAATTATTTCGGGGAGATAATCTGTTTGCTTATATTTTAACACCTAAGTTAACAGACTTCTCTGTTACAACACTAAACTTCCAAGGATCTGCATCTAAACCTTAGGCAGTAAGAAAATGTAAACATCACATTTCTGTAATACATGAGTTTCTCTGTACTGTCTATTTAAGTTCTGTGTTTTCTTCCTTTCCAATTTAGCAATATCACAGCAATCATCAAACAGCTGGATCCGAGAAATGATCAAACCAGTCTGCCCCTTATGTCATTTCTACCCAGGAATCTGACAACACATTCCTATTTGTTTTGTGGTTAGTAACAACATTAGTCTGAACATCATTATGCACACCGCAGTTGCGTATTTATTTCCCCTTCCAAGAGAAAAAAGAATTTACTGGTGTAATATAAGAACAATAGGACACCCCTACACTAATAGCTAGTGAATTTATAATAAACAAAAAGAAATGTTTCTTCACATACCATATAGACACTCAGCCAACCCACAGAATGTGTTACTAATCATTTCACAGTTAGGGTTTTTTTTGTTTTTGTTTTTGTTTTTTTGAGACGTAGTCTTGCTCTGTCACCGAGGCTGGAGTGCAGTGGCGTGATCCCGGCTCACTGCAGCCTCTGCCTCCTGGGTTCAAGCAATTCTCCTGCCTCAGCCTCCCAAGTAGCTGGGACTACAGGCGCCTGCCATCACGCCCGGCTAACTTTTGTATTTTAGTAGAGACGGGGTTTCACCATGTTTCCCAGGCTGATCTCCGTCTCCTGACCTCAGGTGATCCGCCCACCTTGGCCTCCCAAAGTGCTGAGATTACAGGTGTGAGCCACCACGCCCGGCCCCACAGTCTGGGTTTTTTTAAAGGCTGGATAACTTAGTAATTAATGAAATATTTTATGTTTGTCACCTAACTATGAAAGTAATTAAATTTGGTTCTTCAGGAAATTGCCTCCCTGGTTCTAACCAGGCGTTTCACGCTCACTCTGTTTACCCTCTTGGGGTAAAGGGAATGGCACAGTAAGTTTTATAGTTACAGACCTCACATTCCCTTCTTAAGGAGAGTGAAGCTTTTGTTTGCTTTTAACAACTTTATTGAGGATTAATGGAAACAAACTGTACGTATTTGAGATGAACAATTTGTTAATTTTTGACCTGTAAAACCATCACCACAATCAAGATAATGAATATATCCATCACCCCAAAAGTTTCCTTGTGCTATTTTGTAATGGTTCACTCTCATATCTCTCCACTCCCTACCTCTGTTTCCAATCTGTAGTGCTTTCTGACATTATAGGTTATTTTGAGGTTTCTAAAATTTTATATAAATGAATCATACAGTATGTATTATTTTTTGTTTGGCTTACTTTGCTCAACATAATTATTCTGAAGTTCATACATATTGTTGCATGGATCAATAGTTCATTCTTTATCATTTAGTATTTTATTGTACACAATAAATTAAAACACAATTCGTTTTATCTGTTGATGAACATTTTGGGTTGGTTCCAGTTTTGCATATTAAAAATGAAGCTGCTGTGAACATTTATGTGTAAGTCTTTGTATGGGTATATGCTTTCTTTTCCTAGGGGTTAAATACCTAAGAGTAAAATGGCTGAATCATATGTAGGTATATGTTTAACTTTTTAGGAAACTGCCAAGCTGTTTTCCAATGCGGTTATACCATTTTAGATTCCCACCAACAGAGCAGCAGAGTGTTAGAGTTACAGTTCCTTCACATCCTCTCCAACATTTGGTATGGTCAGTTTTAAAAATTTTAGTCAAACTAGTAGGTATGTAGTGGTATCTTATTTTAGCCTTAATTTGCATTTCCCTAACATCTAATGGCATTGAATATCTTTTCATGTGTTTATTTGCCACTCATATATCCTTTTGGGTGAAGTATCAGTTCAAATGTTTTGCCTTTTTCCCCCTGAGGTGTTTTTGTTGTTGTTGTTGAATTGTAAGAATTCTTCATATGTTCTTTATTAGATATACGATTGCAAATATCTTCTCCCAGTTTGTAACTTATCTTTTCATATTCTTAAAAGTGTCTTTAGAGGAGCAAAAGGTTTTACATTTGAAGTCCAGTTTTTCAATTTTTTTCTTTTATGAATTGTTCTTTTGATGCTATATCTTAAATACGTTTGCCTAAACAAGAGAAAACAAAGGTTTTCTCTTACGTTTTCTTTTTCCTAAAGAAAGTTTATAATTTTAGGTTTTACATTTAGATCGATAATCCAGTTGGGGTCAATTTTTGTCTATAATACAAGGAATGAATTTTAAGTTCATTTTTACATATGAATATCCATTTGTTGAAAAAACTTTCTTTTTTCCACTGAATTGCCTTTGCACCTTTGTTGAAAAGCAGTTGTCCATAATTGTGCGGGTCTACCTCTAGGTTCTCTATTCTGTTCCATTATCTTTTATATGACTACTATACTGTTTTGAGTAAGGTAGGTTTATAATATATCTTAAAGTCAGGTAAACGTTAAGTCACTAGTTTGTTTTTTTCAAATCCGTTTTGACTAATTTGGCTTCTTTGCATTTCTACGTGAATTTGAAAATAAGCTTGTCATTTTCTTCAACAATGCCTGCTGGGATTTTATTGGAATTGCACTGAATCTATGGATAAATATGGGGGAGACCCAAAAACTTTACAATATTGAGTCTTCTGACCCATACACAATCTCTCTCTCCATTTATTTCTCTAAGCTTTTTTTGTTTTGTTTTGTTTTGAGACAGGGTCTCACTCTGTCGCCCAGGCTGGAGTGCAGTGGCGCCATCTCAGCTTACTGTAACCTCCACCTCCTGGACTCACACTATCCTCCCACCTCAGACTCCTGAGCAGTTGGGACTACAGGCACATGTCACCATACCTGGCTAATTTTTGTATTTTTTGTAGAAACAGGTTGCCATGTTGCCCAGGCTGGTCTCAAACTCCTGGGCTCAAGTGATCTGCCTGCTGCAGCCTCCCAAAGTGCTGGGATTACAGGCATGAGCCGATGCGCCTGGCCTTGCACATCTTTTATCAGATTTTTTCCCCTAAGTATTTCAAATCTTTTGATGCTATAATAAATGAGTTTTTAAAAATCAATTGTTGATTGTGGATAGCATAGAGAAATACAATTGATTTTTGTACAGTGATTTGTATCCTGCCACTTGCTAAATTCACTTATTAGTTTTAGTAGCTTTTTTGTGGATTCCATTGGATTTTCTGCATAGACAATGATATTGTCTGAGAATTAAAAAGTTTCACTTCTTCCTTTCTAATTTGGATGCCTTTTACTTCTCTTCCTTGCCTTACTGCATTAGCTAGAACTTCCAGTACAACGCTAAATGGAAGACATGAAAGTGGATATCCCCAACATAGTCCTGACGTTAGGAGGAGAGAGTATGTAACTTTTGACATTAAGTTAGCTATTGAATTTCTAGAGATGCCCTTGATCAGTTTTAGGAAGTTTTCTTATGCTTCTAGTTTGCTGATATTTATTGGGAGTAGGTGTTGGATTTTACAAAATTCTGCCTTTATTAAGAAGATCACATGATGTTTAGTTTGTGTTATAAGCTCAACTGTGTTCCTTCTACCCCCTAATTCATATGTCACAGTCTTAAACCTTGGTACCTAAGAAAGTGACTGTATTTGGAGACAGACTTTAAAAAGGTAACTAGAATGGGCATGGTGGCTCACGCCTATAATCCCAGCACTTTAGGAGGCCAAGGCAGGTAGGTCGCTTGAGTCCAGGAGTTTGAGACCAGCCTGGCCAACATGGCGAAATCCCATCTCTACAAAAAATACAAAAATTAGCCAGGCATGGTGGCATATTCCTGTGGTCCCAACTACTTGGGAGGCTGAGGCAGAAGGATCATCTGAGCCGGAGATGCAGGGGTTGCAGTGAGCTGAGATCCCACCACTGCACTCCAGCCTGGGGAACAAAGTGAGACCGTCTCAAAAAAAAGGGATATTGAGTTAAAATGAGTTCGTTAGGGTAGGCTCTAATCTGAGAAGTGTCCTTATAAGAAGTGATTATGACACAGTCACACACAGAGGAGTGACCATGTGTGGGTACAGGAGGAAGGCAGCCATTTGCAAGCCAAGGAGAGAGAACACAGAAGAGATCAAACTTGCCAATGCCTTGATTTTGGACTTCTAACTTTCAGACTCGTGAGAAAATAAATTTCTGTTGTTTCATCTATCTAATTTATGACATATTGTTATGGCAGCCCTGGCAAACTAATAGTTTTGTTAATTTACTAAGTGACATTGATTGACATTTGAGTGTTAAACCAGCCTTGCATTCATGAAAAAAAAAAACCCACTTGAAAGAGTTGTCCTTTTTATGGATTGCTGGGTTCAATTTGTTAAAATTTTTAAATTCTGTGTTCCATGAGGAATATTGTCTATAATTTTCTTTTCTTTTCTTTTCTTTTTTTTGAGACAGAGTCTCACTCTGTTGCCCAGGCTGGAGTCCAGTGGCACAATCTCGGCTCACTGCAACTTCCACTTCCTGGGCTCAAGCGATTCTCCTGCCTTAGCCTCCCAAGGAGCTAGGATTACAGGTGCCTGCCACCGCGCCTGGCTAAGTTTTGCATTTTTAGTAGAGATGGGGTTTCACCAAGTTGGCCAGGCTAGTCTTGAACTCCTGACCTCAGGTGATCTGCCTGCCTCAGTCTCCCAAAGTGGTGGGATTATAGGCTTGAGCCACTGCACCTGGCCTATAATTTTCTTTTTGTATAATATCTTTGTCTGGTTTTGGAAGTAGGGTAATGCTGGCCTCAG
Source organism: Homo sapiens (assembly GCF_000001405.40). NCBI lineage: Eukaryota > Metazoa > Chordata > Mammalia > Primates > Hominidae > Homo > Homo sapiens. Next base: position 38,464,859 of record NC_000006.12, read on the forward strand.
AGACTGAACTGGGAAATATTCCCTTCTGTTCAATTTTTCTAGAAGAGTTTATGTAGAATGGATATCATTTATTCCTTAAATGTTTAGCAGAATTCATCAGTAAAGCCATCTGAGCCTGGTGTTTCTCTGTGGAAAATCTTTTAGCTTTAAATTCAATTTCTTGCCCATGTGGGGCAGCTCATGCCTATAATCCCAGAACTTTGGGAGGCTGAGGCTTTAATTCAGGAGTTCAAGACCAGCCTAGGCAACATAGTGAGACCTCATCTCTGCTAAAGTTAAAAAAAAAATTAGCTGGGTATGGTGGTGTGTGCCTGTAGTCCCAGCTACTTGGAAGGCTGAGGCAGAGGAATCACTTGAGCCTGGGAGGTTGATGCTGCAGTGAGCCTTCATTGCGCTACTGTGCTCCAGCCTGGGCAACAGATAGAGACTGTCGCAAAAAAACAAAAAATCAATTTATTTAATATATATGGGTACTCAGGCCGGGTGCGGTGGCTCACGCCTGTAATCCCAGCACTTTGGGAGGCCGAGGCAGGCAGATCACGAGGTCAGGAAATCGAGACCATCCTGGCTAACAGGTTGAAACCCCATCTCTACTAAAAATACAAAAAAAAAAAAAAAAAAAATTAGCCGGGCGTGGTGGTGGGCGCCTGTAGTCCCAGCTACTCGGGAGGCTGAGGCAGGAGAATGGTATGAAACCAGGAGGTGGAGCTTGCAGTGAGCTGAGACTGGGAGGCAGGAGAATGGCTTGAATCTGGGAGGTGGAGCTTGCAGTGAGCCGAGACCACGCCACTGCACTCCAGTCTGGGTGACAGAGCTAGACTCCATCTCTAAATAAATAAATAAATAAATTATATATATATATATATATATATATATATATATATATATATATATATATGTATGTATGTATGTATTTCAGTTATTTATTTCTTCCTGAGTGACTTAGGTAATTTTTATCTTTTTCTTTCTTTTTTCCTTTTTTTTTTTTTTTTGAGACAGTCTCACTCTGTTGTCCAGGCCAGAGTGCCGTGGTATGATCATGGCTCATTGCAGCTTCAACCTCCCAGGCTCAAGCAATCCTCTCATCGCAGCCTCCAGAGTAGCAGGGACTACAGATGCATGTCATCATGCCCAGCTAAGATGGGGGTCTCACTATGTTGTCCAGGCTAGTTTCAAGTTCCTGGTTTCAAGTGATCCTCCTGCCTCAGCCTCCCAAAGTGCTGGGATTACATGCATGTGAGCCACTGTGCCCAGCCAATAATTTTTATCTTTTAATAAATCTGTCCTTTACAACTAAGATGTCTAATTTATTAGCATAAAGTTGTTCATAGTACTCTTTATTAGTCTTTTAATATCTATGGAATCTGTACTGATGTCAGAATTTCTAAAGTTGACTGAAAATCTGAGCTCCATGCTTCCTTTTCCTTTTTTTTTTTTTTTTTTTTTTTTTTTAGATGGAGTTTCACTCTTGTTGCCCAGGCTGGAGTGCAATGGAGCTATCTTGGCTCACTGCAGCTCTGCCTCCCGGATTCAAGCAATTCTCCTGCGTCAGCTTCCCGAGTAGCTGAGACTATAGGCATGTATCACTACGCCTGACTAATTTTGCATTTTTTTAGTAGAGACGGGGTTTCACCTTGTTGGCCAGGCTGGTCTCAAACTCCTGACCTCAGGTGATCTGCCCTCCTCGGCCTCCCAAATTGCTAGGGATTACAGGCATGGGCTACCGCACCCGGCCCTTTTTCCTTCTTAAAGAAGGCAAAGCAGGTTTTTTGTGAGTTTTTGTTGGTTTGTGGTCTTGAACTAAAACTTCCCAGGTTCAAGTTATTTTCGTGTCTCAGCCTCCTGAGTAGCTGGGGTTACACGTGCCCACCACCATGCCCAGCTGATTTTTGTATTTTTAGTGGAGAAAGGGTTCTGTAATGTTGGCCAGGCTGGTATCGAAGTCCTGACCTCAAGTGATCCACCTGTCTCAGCCTCCCGAAGTGCTGGGATTACAGGCGTGAGCCACCGTACCCTTCCTCAATCACATTTTTAAGACAACTATATATCTGGAACATCACTCATGCCTAGAGAAGCTCTATTATTGATAAAATAAAAATCCCAAAATTCAAGTGCAATTAACAGCAACCAGTCTATGCATAACCAAACATACATGGAGAATCCACTAAACTTCAGTCAATAAATCAGGGAACATTTACATTAGAATGTGCTAATGAGAGAGCTGATTAAACAAAAATACAAATGGCAGATTTTCCTATTTGTGGTCCTGAATTAAAACAAACAAACAAAAAAGAATTACAGAATTAAAAGAAATTATTAAGACCATTTCCTAAAACCACAGAGAAAGAATGCCATAGAAAAGGATCTCATTCTATTTTTGTCCCTTTTAGCTTGGTTTTCAGAAACCGTCAGACGCTTCTTTTCCTCAAAGTTTCTTCCCCTACAGCTAAGAGAGGATGTCTGTCATTTTCGCCTGAACAAATACAAAACTATCTGTTTCTGAATTTGTGTTCTGTTAGAGTCTATGTATACAAATACCTTAGAAATAAAACCAATGTAAAAATCAGAAATTACCTCCCCCCATATTAGGCCACAATACCAACTTATATATTATTCAGGTATACTAGAGATAGTTGAACTCAGGTCACAGAAAGTTAGAGTTATAAGAAACTGCTGAGCAATTTGTTCCATTCATATCCATTGCTTCAGCTTGTACAGCATCAACTGAGAAGGTGATCTACGCCATGCACCACCATTCCACATTTTCACCTGCCTCTGGGACAAAATCACTGATACCTTGTGGACACTTCAGTTACAATGTGTCCAAGAGATTCATCAATTCATCAAAATGCTTTTTCCTCCTTCCTCTTGACTTCTCTATTTCTATTCTGGCTCCACAATTTTCCTAAATTACCCAAGCTTAAAAATTTCATCATGTTTGACTCCACTCCTACTTCTTCACTCTTTCCATCCTCCTCTGTAGATTCTATTTCCAAAATGTCATTCAAATCTGAACTTTCTTTCATCTTTCCAAGTTCAGTGCCTCGTTATCATAGCTTACTTTTTTTTCTTTAAACGGCCTTACTTAGGTATTACTGGCATATATAAACTGCACATGTTTAAAGTGGCTCTACCTTTGTTTTTTATAGGTAATTCCAATAGAATTTCTGAATTCCAATTTCTCTGTACCCTCTATCCTTCATTCTAATCTATTTTACTCATGGCTTTCCAGTACATTTTTCTTAAACTCTTGGCCTCAATTTTCCCACCTTGGCTTCCCGAAGTGCTGAGATTACAGGTGTAAACCACCATGCCCAGTCCCCCAGCACATCCTTCTAAAGCACAGTTCTGACTGGGTAATTTCCTAGTTTTCAGTCTTCAAGATCAACTATCATGTAAATTCAACCCTTGTTGCATGGCATATTCAAAGTTCTATTCTGACCCCAACCTATATATCAACCTTATTTCCTAACATTCCCTACATACCTCGCACACACCTTATATTGCAGCCAAACTGAAGCACTTGTCATTTCCTAAATATGTCCTTTCTCACTCCTGTAACTTTTTCCAGAAATACATTTCTCTGCCTCTTCTGTCTAAAGAAATCCCAGGCATCTTTCAAGGCCTAGTATAAATATCGTAAGGAAACCTTCCCTGCAAATATGGGCTTCCTTCCTCTAAAATCCTAGAGCATTTGTACTTCTATTACCTCACTTAATACATACTGCTTTATTATTTTGCATCTATCAAACTGTAAGCCCCTTGAAGGCAGAAATCATGTTTTATTCTCCTCTGTAACTCTCAAGTTTCCCTAGGATAGTCCTTTAAAATTCAACTCAAAAGAGATCAAATCATCTACTATATAGAGTATACCCAGAAAAGATACTCAAACATTTGGTGAATGAACCAATGAATGAATATCACAACCTTAGAATATAAAACTTTCTTAATAAAATAACATTTACAGACAGAAATACAGTTTCTATATCCCTCCTCAAAGGTTGCTTTACCTCTCTCTGAGCAAAGCTTCTCTCAGCCTCACTCCCCATCCAAAATATTTAACTTTGACTATGTAGGGAAAATCCCCAGAGGACAGATTTGGGACTCAGAGGATTATTAAAACATTTTGAAAAACCTATGAAAAGAATTTCAATCCTTACTAAGGAAATAAAATATCACTTGTCAGTCCTACTAATCTTGTTGGTATGTCTGTAAAAATCTAAAGTTGCATTAAAAAAAAAAGGCCTATTTAGAAATGTGTGGATGGTCAACAAGTAAATAATCTGAATGAGGCAAAAGCAGTGGATGGCCTACCTCACCATATTTCACTGACTTTCAATAGTGCTTTTATATCCCTCAGCTCCAAATAAAAGTGTCTAGGAACTTTCTTAACCATGTGTCCTGAGGAGTACAAAAAGGGGGATTAGGGCATTTAAGGAACCCACTCTCTCTTTTTTTTTTTCCTTTTTTTTTTTTTTTTGAGACAGTCTCGCTCTGTCGCCCAGGCTGGAGTGCAGTGGCATGATCTCGGCTCACTGCAACCTCCGCCTCCTGGGTTCCAGCAATTCTCCTGCTTCAGCCTCCAGCGTAGCTGGGACTTACAGGCACATGCCACCACGCCTGGCTAATTTTTTTGTATTTTTAGTAAAGACGGGATTTTACCGTGTTAGTCAGGATGGTCTCGATCTCCTGACCTCATGATCCGCCCATCTCGGCCTCCAAAGTGCTGGGATTACAGGCGTGAGCCACCGCGCCCGGCAGGAACCCACTCTTAAAATACCCTGTATGATTCATGGCATCGTAGCCTCCTTGTCATTTAAGAGACTTTGTTAGAGGACCGTTACACAGATACCAGGATTTTGTCGTCTGAGTAGTTTTAATTTGAATTGCACAAATATCACTTAATTTTCACCTTGAACTATAGCACCTCTATTCCACAGCCACATCTTTTGCCCTTTCAATAAACTCTCACACTCACTTTCATTTATTATATGCCACATACTCTTTCAGACTTGAGATACTTGGAAGCCATACAAAATATTGTAATACGTAATTCAAAATTGAGCACGTACACAAGAATTTAGAATTACCTCAAAATTTTATCACTGTCAGAAAATACTGTAAAATACTTCCTCAGAAAACAAAAGACATCAAAATAACATCCTGGAGACCAGACTGATCCTCCTAACACCAACAAGTTCCAAAGAGAAAACAGAGAAAGAAAAGAGAAGGAAAATTTTAGTGAGTGGTAAATTTCAATTCCTTATTAAAGACATAAATATGTTTTGTTGCCAGTAATCTTTAAGGTCTCTGCAGACTGTGTGCTTTGCAGTTGTTAAACGGGCTTTGTTCTCTTTTCTACAAGAACAGAAAAAATAACCACGGGAGGACAGAAAATAACCAAGTGGAGAACCTAGCCATGAAATGCAGTCCAATCTTCACATTTATCATCCTGGCCAGTACAGGCCTGTGTATGCACTGGCCAAACTTAGATGGGAAGACAACCATGATCCTGGCCACAGAAGTGTATCTAGCCAAAAGATGTCTTGTTCTTGAAAATGGAAGCATAGGTTGAAGACGGACTGGATTATAACTCAGGGAATTGCACACAATGTCCTGTCTGGACATAAAGGTTGATTAGGGAGGGTTGGTTTTATTGTGAACTCAGAAAAAAGGACCTTTGTGGAAATCCTTCAGATACCATCCCATTTATCCTAGTGATCTACTGGTTAGCTTTCAGAAAATGCTTTAGCATTTTAATGTGAACATTTTTGAAGTTTCTAAGTCAAACAACCAACAAGAGAAGAACTGGCCTTCTCAACAAGAGAAGAGTGTGTACCTCTGCAGAGCAGCTGATGATGGCATGAGCCATCTAAAGCATGCGCAGCACTCTGCTGATAAAGCACCCTTCACACTTAGTCTGCCTTCAGAAGAGAGGAGCATTAGAAGCCCTCCTGCCTCAGTCCAACAGGCCAAGCAAAATGCCAGTGAGTATCAACTGGAAAGTGCCACCTCAGAAGCCTTTAAAATCACATTTAATTATACGATTCACTGCTGCTTCTTTAACATGCACTGAACGAAGTAGTAAATTAGAAAAGAGCAGTTTTCCAAGATTCATTTGCTACATTAAAATTCTTTGGGAGTTGTTTATAAAAAATCTCCATCGCAAGATGATGACTTTTGGAGCTCTAAGGAACATGTAAATAGAGGATGGTAAACTTACCATAGCATCACTATTTTAGGGGCAGAACCAATGGCCTTAATTTTCTGCAAATGTACTTTAAATAAGTTGTAAGGTATTCCATTTATAAAAATGGCTATCAAACCTTAACATACCCTTGAAAAGTGATAAAAGCTCAGCTCTGGGTGACCTAACTGGCAACTAACATCAGTCTATTTTTAAGGCACAATAATCATTTCAACTGGCTAACAAGTAGCAACTTTGGGTTTACTAGGTGGTACTCGGCAGTGATGCTTCCATCAAAGCAAGGAAGATGAGGTCAGTGCACAGTTTGCCTCACCCAAGGAATCCGACCCACTAGGACCTCAAGAACAAAACTAACTTGTATAACTAAGATTAACCCACAATCCACTTCTTTCCCTCATTTTTACTAATGAAAGGCAGGTTTAGAGCTCAGAATAAATATAGGTAACAAGTCTAAGTGACTTGTACTGACTAAAGGTTTTTCGTTGTTGTTGTTGTTTTAAGCAGGGATGAGTTCTCACTATGTTGCCCAGGCTGGTCTCAAACTCCTGGCCTCAAGAGATCCTCCATCTCAGCCTCCCAAAGGGCTGGGATTACAGGTATGAGCCACTGTGCCCACCTGTGACTGAAGTTTGCTCAAAATGATCCACAGAAACTCTTCCAAAGCCCTACACCTTTCATCCCTGAATCGTCTCCTCCAGCTCAAGGTCACCCAGAGAAAGAAACTAAAATGTCATTACTTGGAATTATGTCTCTTCATTACCAAAAAGAAGATCCAACTTATGTTATTTCTGGCCCATTTAATAAATATTTTTTGAAGGTAAAAACATGGTCATTGAAGCAATAATGATTGCCTCTTTTGAGTTGAATATATTTGCAATTTCAGGCCTCTATAAGCCAGTTAGAAATACAGGGAATACATGAAATAACAGAGCTTCTCTGAACATTCTGCAAGATTCCACTTTGCCTCTGTAGAAAATGTGGGTATTATATGTAGATTTTCTGCAAAGTGCTCTGAAAATTCCATAAATCCCATCCTGCAGGGATTTCACTTTTCTGTAGCCTTTCCACCACACTTGTATCCTATCTCCGCTAAATATATGCTGCAATACCAACATTTCCATAGACAAAGCACTGCACACTAATAAAACACAACACTGTTTACATACAGTGCAAATATATAACATATTTTTAGCATAGGTTAGGAGCAATATTTTTAGATGGATGGAGCCTGCAGTGCTATTAGTAACAAACTTCTACTGTAAATTACTGGCCTAAATAGAAATTTATGTTCCATAAAACCCAGCATGAAACAATAAGTTAGAAATATTTAAATAACATTTTACAGAGTGTTAAGCAGCAAGTGCAACTGTGTCAGGCTGAGTTGGTTACTGAAAAGGAGAGTTGGGCACTGTCATAGAAAGGTCCCCAAGCAGCAAGACGATTCCTTGGTCTTTTATATAACTTAAAAAAAATTATATATGAAATCCAGATTTGCCATACTAGTATGTCAAAGGTAGCCTACATGTTGAAAACAAGTAAAAAATAACCAACCAGTCCAGGAATAAAATGTTGCAACTTCTACAGACAAAAGGCCAAATGGCACCTACAGGAGATGGGATTTTGGTTCCTACCTTCATTCGTTTTCTAAAAATACGCTAGGCCTGCAATGTGAAAAGATGAGCTTATATCTAGGTAGGCCTTTCTAAGATCTATAATCCTGCTCAAGTCATAATCAAGCCCACTCTTGCATTACTCACATTTCACAGAACAAAGAATATTTCTATGATTTCTTGGGGGAAAATCAGCTTCCAATTTAAATGTATCTTTGCTCTTCTGCAAAATACCAAGATTTTAAACACTGTATTCAAAATCTAATATTGTAAGCCTGATACTATGGTTGGATCCTGTGAAGTATGTGAAAACACCATGGAAGCTCCTGAAATTTGTAATTTAGATATTTTTCCAAAATAATGGAAGTGAGGATTGGCTGGGGAGGTGAGGAAGGAAGAAAAGGTCCAACTTCTGTTTCTCTTCCAAACAGAACAAGAAGTCTTCAGGGATTCAGTAATAGAGATGACAGAATGCCATGTCTTCAAGTGAAAATAAAATGATAGCTTTCTCTCTTCTATTTATCCATCTGCAATTCAGTAGGACAAATGCAATACTCTTTTTAAAAAATGGGCTCTGGAACCTCAATAAAAAGAAGTGAGTTCTCTGATTCATAAATAATGTCCCCAAATAAGAAATAAACAATAGTTTTGGGTTATGGTTTTGTTTTATTAAGGCAGGAGATTGGTACTGGCATGCTGATTTTTTCCAATGGATTATCCAGTTTTCATCCTTAAATTCCACATGCCTAAAATTGGATTCATTTCTTTCCCAATCTGACTTATCTCTTTGCCTATTTCTGTCAGTGCTATTTTAATTCTACCAACCGTCTACATTAAAGCCCTCATTCATCACTTCTGATTCCTACTCTGCTCTTATCGGTAGAACCAATATGGAAGCTCAGTAAGAGTACAAATCCTAAGTACACTGGGATGGTGTCTCTTATTCACCTTTCATTCATTCTTTCGCCCCTACCATATGACAAAGACAGTGATAGGTACTGGGTAAAAGTGAACAAAACAGTCACAATCCCTGCCTTCATGGAGCTTACAATCTAGTAGAGAAGACATACATTAAATAAAGATATAATAATAAATTGTGATAAGTGCTTGAAAGAAAAATACTTGGTATGGAGGAATTAATTAAGGGGTGATGGTAGTCAAAAAGGCTTCTCTCTGGTAGTAAAAACTGAGCTGAGACTAAAGGGTAAGTATAACATATAAGTAAGCTAGATGAAGACTAGGGGAAGAGTATTCTAGAAAGAAAGGCAATGTGTTGGGAAACCCTAAGATAGGAAAGAGCTTGGCACATTTTAGGAAAATGCACAAAAGGCCAATAAGGCTGGAGTATTTAATAAATGGGCAGTACAGTGGCCTTGTAGACCATATTAAGAAGTTGGGTTTTATCTCATACTTCCATATAATGAGAAGCTTAATGGGTTATGTACATGATCTGATTTATGTCTTAAAAAGAACACTCTAACTGCTGAGTAGAAAATGGAGAGAAGAAAAGATGGAAACAGGAAAACTAGTTATGGGGCTATTGCAGTAGTTCTGGAAAGAGCTGAGGCTGGGCGTGGTAGCTCGTAACTGTAATTCCAGCACATTGGGAGTTGACGTGGGCGGATCAACCGAGGTCAAGAGCTTGAGATCAGCTCGGCTAATATGGTGAAATTCTGTCTCTACTAAAAATAGAAAAATTAGCCAGGCGAGGTGGTACATGCCTATAATCCCAGCTACTCAGGCGGCTGAGACAGGAGAATTGCTGGAACCTGGGAGGCAGAGGTTGCACGAAGCTGAGATGGCACCACTGCACTACAGCCTGGGCAAAAGAGTGAGACTCTGTCTCAAGAAAGAAAAAACAGAACGGAAAAGAAAAGAAGAGAAGAGAAGAGAAAAGAAAAAGGAAAGAGCTGAGAGTAACCTGAACTAATCAAAGCCATCTTCATTCCCAGGGCCTAGCACAGCTCCTGGTTCATACAAATACATGAATCAATAACAGCATCAGTTCTCAAAGCTCTTTTTTTAATAGTATTTCCACTTGTTCCAGCATAGAGATATCCTCCTGTCTCTTTCTTAAACATAATTACATTCATTTCCAGGGCCAAATTTTTAGTCCACATCATGATAAAAAAAATTAGATGATCTCTAATGCCTATAATTTGAAGTTCAAACTCAACTGCCACATTAAACTCCAAATGAAAGTAAAGTATACTTTTAAAAAATCTCAATCAGATAAATAAGCAAAAATTTATATACAAGAATATTCATCAGAGCGTTATTTACAACAGCAAAACAGAAACTATATGTGCTTCAATATAGGAAAAGTCAAATTATGGTACCTCTATATAATGAAACACTATACACCCCTCGAAAATGTTTTCAAGGAACATTTAATAATGTAGGGAAAAGTAAAACAATGTTAAATGAAATAAGCAGAATATAAAACATACATAATATGATCTGAAGTTCAATTTTAAAAAGAATACATACATATACACATGGCCAAAAAGAAGTAAAATGAAGTACTGAATTAGTGGTCTACGGACTATAAGATTATGGGTGATTTTTACCATCTCAATCTTTTTCTATTTTCCAAATTTTCTTCAATAGTAATACTTATATTCTCAGAAAATCTCCTAGTAACAGTTACATTTAAAAGGAAAAAACATCTTCAGCTGGATCCACATTGCTGTCTCCATCTTTGTTCAAATCTGTGGCTGTGTTTCCTACAGCCCAGCTTCCACCATTGCCTGAACATAGCATATTCCTGCTCTGCAGCTATGGGTCTGTGAGGCTTCCCTCAGCATCTCAAAGCCTGCCCTCAACATTTACTACGCAAAGCACTAATCTGACACAACATATGCTGCCTTTAGCTCTCATCTTCTCTGTCCAATTCACTGTTTTCTGGTTTTTTGTCCTTCCCCACAGCACCACGCACAGCATCATCCTATACAGGAATGTAATATTTGTTGACTGCCCAGAATGAACAAGTTATTCCAATATAAGGGCCACAATTTGGTTCTGAGAAGAACAGCATACCCATGATCTCTTGGGTCTCTGCTGTTTTTCAGCCAAAAGCTGCTGCCATACTTCCCAGTTTGAACCACGGACTGATAGGGCAGGGAAGAGAAGTGGAGAGGAGGTCTAGCTCAACCCCTGAAATGAACACTGAGTTCTAAAGGTCCAGAGAGATTCTCTGAGAGTCTCAGAGAATCTGAGCCAGGCCTGGAAACACGATGGCTCTAGATTCAGTGGTCTTATTCCCAGTCTGTTCTATGGCAGCTCCCTCCAAGAGCTCTTCTCCCTAACTCTTCAAAGAATGTAAACTGGCTAATTAAGTCTGGAAATGTCCACTCGATTTCCTGAATGTCCATTTGGCAGGCTGGAAAAAATTAATTTGGGGTTGCCATTGTGTTTTTCACTCTGTATAATTTAACCGTTAAATATCAAAGGTTCACTGAAGTAAATGAAAGTAGTTTTTAAGCTTAACGGTTAGACACTTTAAAAATTGTTTTCAAGGCAGCACAGCACAAAGGCCAGAATCATCTGATCACAAATTCCTCCCAGGGATATAAAATTAAAAGCATAATTCAGTGTACTTGTAAGGCTACATCTTCCCTTCTCACATCCTTGGAATAAATGAATGCAGACCTGAGTGAAGCCAGGGTGCATAACATGTGCTTATGAGCCAGCCTGAAAAGTACACATTTCACAACTCCAGGAAGACATATTAAAGTCACTGATGAATAATTATTCTGATAAAGCTCTAAGATCCTATGAGGTTAGGCTGTGATTTGAGTTGACAGCTTTGCTTATAAACATTGGTTCTAAAAAATACCAATTAATGATTCATTTGAATCCTGCTTTGCTCTGATACTGTCCAAATTCTGGCATTTCATGTCATGTCGTCGTCTTTTACCATATAAACTTCAGTTTTATCAAGGCAAAGACAGTAAAAAATACTTTCAAGTAAAAATAATACAAATAACAAAGGATCTATTTTACTGTTGTGAACTCTGACAATTTCCTCTTTGCATTAAAAAAGATAATAAGTGTCAAACCAGTTATTATAACACATGACAGCTTCAGAATAGAGACAGCGTATCCAGCTTTATATTATTCAGTATAGACACATGGGAAAAGAGCAAACAGTTTTTCTAACAGATTTCTCTGCCTCAATGCCAATATGGCAAATAATCATAGGAAAATGTTATTACTATACCTAATTTTCCCTTGGAGCTTTTAAATAGAAACTTTTGTTAACTGATTTTTAAAATATGCACAGGGAGTGAGGACAGCAACAACACTACATGGGGCCCTGCCAGTGACATTCAGGCTTCAGAGAGGTGACACCTGGGATGGGTGGGGTTCTGAAGATTAATAAGGGCTGAGGACCAGGGGATGCATCACAAAGACAGATGTCTATCCTAAAAGGGAAGAGCTCCTGAAATGGCATGAATTCCACTGAGGGAGAAGTTGGGGAAATGAAATGAGAAAGCTTAATCTGCGCTTTCTTTCTCTAATTACTGGGGATGACAATCAAAATTAGAGGAGAGTAAAGTAATCCAGATGTACAAGGAACAGAAGCAAAATGAAGTAGTTAAAAGACATTTTATTAGAGACTAAGAGCGATTCACTTCAACTAAGTGTTACCTAGTACCTACTATGTGCTAGCTGTAACATCGAAATACAATTGAATAGACAGGGCTTATTTTGTAAGAGCAAACTCTCATCTACAGGACATGCCAGGGGCAGAATCATGCTTACAATAAGATGCTCAGAAGCAAGACTGTCTTTTCCTTTATACCTAAAAAAGCTTGTTTAGCAAACAGAGTTATCTTTATCTGAAATGCTTCTAATCCTGTGCTTTGTATTTATATCCATACCTTTTAGATAAGACCTACTTTATTGCCAATTCTCACATTTTACTGAGCTAACGAGCAGTATCTATATTTGCTGATTTTATTTTCTGTCACCCTAGTGTTATCATAACTTAATGCTATCAGGGAATAGGAAAGAATCAATGCTGATTATAGTTAAGAAAGCGAGGATGAAAGCAATACGAACTGGGGGTATTTGAATTTGTAAAGCCTCTACAGGAGGTCTTCTTATCCTCGAGTCATTTAAGAATTACTCACTTAACTCAAACTGAGCAACGATGCCACGAACACATCAAGTAAAGCCATCAGTGGCTCTGTGGTGAGGCAGCATGGTTTAGTGGAAAGACAATTCACACAAGGTCTTTAGAGTCAGGTGAACCCGTTTTTGAAATCTGGCCCCATCACTTTTTAAAAACGGTGCAACCTCTCTGGGCTTCAATTTCTTCATCTGTAAGAATGAGAATACCCCTGCTGCCACAGGGATGTTATACAGGATTAGGTAAGACAAAAAGCATGTGTGAGTGCCTAAGAGGAAGCAGCATGTGGTCAATACATGCTGTTTCCTCTCTTTTCCCTCAACTGCTTCCTACCAGGAAGGGGGAGGGGGTCAGAAGTTTAAAAATTTTACCACCAGTCTCTGATTACGTGCGTATATATGTGAGGAGAAACATGTGCAAAGGAAGGTTATATATTTCTGAGTACTGGGCTCTCATGAGCTTTGCCACCTTTAAAATATTTTGGTTTTATTTTATTGATTTTGACTATCATATTAGCTTACTCATATATATCATCTGACACATCCATTTACTGGTCTTTTAAGCATCTCTGGGCATGTGGATGCTTGAAAAATAGTTTATTAGTATGATTTGACTATCTCTATCTTGTCTCCTATTTTTTTTAGAGAATTACATGGCCGGCAGTGAGGATGGTGTCAAATCTCATCAGTCATCTACAACCACTTTCTCTGACCCTTTCTGCATCATTGAATTTGACTCCCTTTCTTCCCATACTCTCCTTAGAGGACCTAAGAGGAAATGTGCATGGGCAGACAAAACAGAAAACTAAAGGAGGGAAGATAAGTGGGTTCTTGGCTTCCGGAAGGATTCTGACCTACTTCACTTGCCTTCAAATTCTGTGTGAATTTATTTCAGAAGCTACAGGGAAGAGCTAAGAACTCCTGTTTTCCTTGGAGAAGGGAAGAAACAAATGCCAGATTAAAACTCAGAGGAAACTCTGGAAATTATAAGCGAGGCTGCTACTATATAATGACCAAGTCGCCTTGGTATGTCTTGTGAGCTAAAATTCCATTTCACTTTTATCATATATAAAACCAGGATTATAGCTCCAGGAGGAGCTACAATCTGTGTTCTCTTTGGTCTATCTGAACATCCCAAATAGTATCACAGTCTACCTGAAGAAGTGCTGCTGAAATAGACTGACAATGCTTCAATTATTTTGGCTGCAGGCAAAGACAAAATAAGTCTCAGGAGTTCTCCAAAAGCTCAAAAAGTTCTCTGTAAACTATGCTGTTATCAAATGGAAACTACAAGAACGCGACCAACACCACAGGAGGAGAGATTTCCCTGGGCTTTGCTCTGGCTATGAAAGAGTTTCCAAATATACAATGAAAAGTCAGTGGAACCTGACAGGCGCCCAATGTGGAGCACAGGGGTTCAGACACACAACCCCTCCAGCTCCTCTCCCGACGGCTTCCCACCCACTGAGCACTGGCCAAACCCTGGTTAAGCGAGCACTGACCTTCCTGTTTATCTGATAATCCACACAGTGTAGATGGGAAAAAATTGAAAGATAGAAAGGAGGAAGCATAAAAAAAATCATTTCCTCAATGTTAGTAAAAACATAAATTGGTTACATGACAAACATGAGGTGGTGACTATGTTAATGGTACAATGGCAAAGTTATTACAATCTTTGGAAGAAAAAAAAAATCCCATTTCTTCACAACTTTCCAACATTTTAAAATCCAAGCCCAGGCTTGAATCACTGCTTTATGAGGTAACACTCCCTTTCTGACTGCATCCGTGTGACTGGGCCACCAAGTCCCACTGATGTAGTTGGTATTACTACTGCTCAATCAACACCTCTCAGAACAACAACTTTCACTTCAGAATCCAAGCCTCAAGTTATAGGGGGCACTAAAATCTTTTTTTATTTTTATTTTTATTTTTAAAAGACAGGATCTGGCTCTGTCGCCCAGGCTAGAGTGCAGTGGCGTGATCTCGGCTCACTGCAACCTCCACCTCTCGGGCTCAAGCAATCCCGCTGCCTCAGCCTCCTGAGTAGCTGGGACTACAGGTGTGCACCACCATGCCCAGCTAACTTTTGTATTTTTGGTAGAGAAAGGGTTCCGTCATGTTGCCCAGGCTGGTCTGGAACTCCTGGGCTCAAGCGATCCTCCTGCCTCGGCCTCCCAAGGTGTGGAGATTACAGGCATGAGTCACTATGCCCAGATGAGCACTAAAATCTTTAAATAAACGCTCTTTTCTATAGACTGCTAAGAGAAATAGAAGGGAAAAAAGCAATACAATACTTAAGATTTACTGGAGAAGTACTACTGGGAATTGAGGGGAGAGTGTACTCTTTGGAAACAGATAAACGTAGCTCTGAAACCCTGCCTTGCTCCTTGCTAGCTGCATGATTCTGAGCAAGCTTCTTGATACTCAGCTTCCTCATCCATAAATACGGGGAGCAATGCACTTCCTTTGCAGGGCTCTTGTGGGCTGAGAGACAGCATGCATTCAACACTCAGAGTACCTCTCCTTTGTCGGTGCTCAATAAACAGTAGCTCATCTCTGCCATTCCTGGAGTTAAGGCAGAAGACCCACAGTACAGCACTCTGCTTAGGAGCTCTTATGAAAGTGTAGGTCAGATTGGTGCAAGTCCTGTCAAATGGGCATTGGTGGGTTACACAATCTGCTTTTAGCCTCTCATTTAAATTAAGCATGGGCCAGAACATCAAACTCTTTTCAAGAAATCAGTGCTGTAACTGGGACCCTGAGACTACCTCCATGCAAAGTAGTATATAAGTAAAAAGCTCTAATTTTGCTTGTAGCTCAGCTATAGAACACGCCAAAACCCCCCACCAAACCCACTGTTCTAAGTAATGGAAGTGTACTCTGAGAACCATCTGAAAAGAAGCCTGACAACTTGCCTGTCTTATTCCCCACCTGACCTCAATCTTTCTTCCTCTGAGTGGATGATTCCAGTGCCAGTTTTAGATCCAGTGCCTACCCAAGATTTGGCGCTTCCCAAACAGACTGTAGTGTTGGTAGACAGCATATAGCCATCACACAGGCTGACACTAAGAGATAGTGGGTATGAATGTGCGCTCTGTGCAAAATCCTCATGGGGAAGGAAGGCAACACCTGGGTACCTTTGGCAATGTAAAAATTCCCTTCTTTTAAAAATGCTCTTTAAACAAAGAGCTTTATATCTAGACTCAAAAATGCCTTTCCATCAGTATCAGCTTCTCCCAGGTAAAAGGAAGTGAAGACAGAAACAATGGAAATCCCATTGAGTAGGGAGAGGCAAAACAGAAAGGTTTATTCTAACGTGAGAGGAGCCCATGATGATGTGAAAGGGAAAGAAGAGAGAAGAATGGCATATAACCTGGAAGATTCAAGTACATTCACAGATAGATACTTTCCCAAGGTGTGCAGGAATCTAGCCCTTCTTCAAGGAGACAACCATAGCATCATATAATTCAAATTAATTCCTTTCTGAATGAGAGCTGAGTAACAAAGACAAAACTTGGCAAGATGGCACAGCACAGTGAGTGCAAAATTGTATTCCCAGTTGATACTTGGTGAGATGTTAGGTTGTCAGCTTAATGTAAAATAAAATGAGGCCGCACATCGTAAAGTGTTTTGAAAAGTAAAAATCCAAGGGAGATAGGAAGGCAGCATTTTAATGAGTCTAGAGAAAATGAATTCCAGGGTGAGCAGCTCTGCTCACGACCTCTTTTCAGTTGGTATCCCATAGGCCTCTGGGAAGCGGGGCACATGAGGGAGGGGCCAGTGCCTGCCTCCACACTACCCCCTCTCCCCTAATGAGGCTGGCAGCACCATTTGCTAGCACCTGGCAGATGAGAGAGAAAGAAAACCTGGTGTGGAGACCCCCATCCATTAAAGGCAAGAGAGTGAAAAGTGGGAGAGAAAGCTCCCAAGTTCAACAGCAGTGACCTAGGGTCATGCAGTGAGGACTTACAAAGGTATAAAAGCTTCTTTATTCAGGTGGTTCCTTTCAGCGCAACTTATTTGATGATGCTTAATGCAGGCAGTTAAAAGAACAGTTCAGTTGGATATAACTTACAGTACGTCACACAAATCTGGAGTGCCCAAGGAACATTAGTTTCAGGGAACACACTGAGATTATAACCAGCCTTTTTGCCAGGGGCAGCTTGTAACTCAGAAAGTCATGTTTCATTTAGGATGTGCTGTATAATGTTGAAGGGGAAAGTAACTATTTTGTTTTGTTGTGTTTCTTCCCAGTCCAAGAAGAAAGCATTTGGAGAAGTGCTACACATGCTCAACTGAACTTCCTGTCAAATTGTTCTCACTCGTTTGGGCACAAGTCTGCTTAAGCCATCTCTCATTAACATTTACTCTTGCCCGAAGCCCTCTACGCCCCCAACCCCTGCTAATCTTCCACAAGCAAGCTGATCACACTGGGATCTCCTTTTCCCAGACACGTTTGATTCTCACTTTCTCCTGAACCTAGAAATGTGCTTCCCACCAAAGCATGCCAGGCACTAACTCGTCCCTACTGAAAGGGGCTGTTAAAAGCTCATCTTCTTTCCAGATGGTAGTGAGGTGTGAGGTGATCCTTTCTCTTTCTTTTTTTTTTTTTTTTACTTTTAGCTACCCCTCAATTCTGGTGTTCAGTAACAATGTATTCCACTTAAAAGAGAGAAATCATATTAATTATTCTAAGATATAAACACTTAATTTTATTCATGCTCTTGAATTACTTTCCTTTCTACCGCATGTTTGTGTAGCTGTTATATGAGTCCTTTCTACTGATGTAGCTGTCATTCCTTCAACTCAGTTCTTGCCAAACACTGAGCTATGTCTGGAGATACAAAGATAACTACTCTTGTTGAAGAGATGCCAGTTTAGTGGGGGAGACAGACATGTAAACAGATCTGTATCTGAGATAGATGGCCTGGGTAGGAAAAGAATATATATAGCACAAATAACTCAGTGGACCTGCAAAAACAGAGCTTGAGGCCATGATATACCACAAAGACCCACCAAGGCACAAGCACTGTCAACATGAAGGTAAGGCTTCCATTTTTGCCTCTTTCAATCTGGGTACATCTATTCTACATACTCTGCCTTTCCTCCTGTTACAGGAAAAGAAGGAACCTCAATTCTACCTAAAGTCAATCTTCTCCTTGAGCTAGAGATCCAGCCCCTCTCCCATAATGAGGTACACGGCCCCTACAAAGATCCACTCTCCTGCATTATCAAATCCTCCCTCCCTGTGGTATCATTCCAGTCCACACACACACATACCTTAACATCATCCTCCCTTGACCCTAGGTCCCCCTCCATCCTCTTCATCATTTCTCTGCTTCCCCTCCCAGTGATACTTTATCTTCTACATGTATTGCTACCCCTATTCCCTCAGCCTCTATTCCCTTCTCCCTTGACTCCACTGAAATGGCTCTTAAAGGACGCCACTAAGCTCTATCTTGCTACAACCAGGAGTCGATTTTCTGTTACCTACTGCCCTCTCCCATCTCCCCTCCTCATACCGAAAGACTGACTTTTTAAGACTTCCATGAAAATGTTGTCCTTGTTTTCTTCCTGCCTCACTGGCAGCTCCTTCCCAGTCTCTTGTATTCACTTTTCCTTGCCCACCTGCTGTCTGGTCTTCCCTATAGTCCATTCTCACACTAGATCACACTAGAGTTATCTTTCAAAAATCTCAACTACCATCACCTGGTTTAAACCCTTCTATGGTTTCCCATCATCCTTAGAATTCGACACTATCAAGTCCCTGTAGGACATGGCTCCTGTCTATCTGTCTGCCCTCATTGCTAAACATACCTTCCTCCCAACACCCTACAGACTATCTACCCACCAGATTTCAGAAACACATGGCCTTCTTTCTGTTCCTCAAAAACCCCAAGCTAGTTTCTACTTCACAGCCTTTACTCTTGCTGTTCCCTAGCCTGGAACACTTCTCCCTTAGATTGCTGCATAGCCAAGCCAACTTCTTGTAATTCAAGTTTTGGCTCAACTCACTTCCTCAGAAAGGCCTTCCCTGACCGTTCTGCTCAAGTGCTCCTTCCCCAAACTCAACCACTGGCTAGCTTATTCCCCCATTCCAATTTTGTCAAACTATGACTAGTCAGTATCACATTTATTTCTTTACATCTCATTTTTCTCTCTCTCCTACTACAATGTAAACTGCGTTAAGCAACAACTTAATCTCGTTTACTGCTATATGTCTACTTCCAGGCACAGTGTTTAGTATATTGTGGGTGCTCCGTAAACATTTTACTCAATGGATAAATGAAATGACGATGAAATCCTTGTTTAGAATCCTGTGTTCAGCTCTTTGCTCTTCAACTGTAGACATGCACAGAAGCATAAAGGTGAGACATAATAACTAGTGCACAGGGAAATCAGACCTATGAAACTAGAACTAGAATTACTAAGGAAGTGTTATATTTTTATTCTTCAGGGGTAATCATTAGTTGTTTTTTAAATGTCTAATGAGGATTAAATAAAAAGAAATGGATTAAAGGTTCAGCAGATGGGCAAAAGTTCTAGAGTAGATAAAATGTGGGTTAGATTTATAAAAACACTTCCTGGGACTGACTACTATTTGAGATTATAATCAGTTCCTGAAGAAGAATACTGGATATCTTTTTAAAACAAAAAGAGATAACAGTAATCCTTTATCAACTGAGTGCTTCCTTTGTACCAAGACCTCTGCTAAGGCTGTTTTACAAGCCTGATCTCCTTTGACATTTGTAGCAACCCTATGAGACAGGTACAGGGATAGCTGGGAGATGTCATGGGTTCAGTTTATGACCACACAATAAAGCAAGCCACACAAATCTTTTGGTTTCTCAGTGCATATAAAAATTACGTTTACACTGTATGGTAGCCTATTAAGTGTGCAACAGCATTATGTCCAAAAAAAGTACAGATTATTAATTAAAACATACTTTATTGCTAAAAAATGTTAACAATCATCTGAGTCTCAAGTGAGTCATAACCTTTTTGCTGGTGGAGGATCACGCCTCAATGTTGATAGCTGCTGACTGATCAGGGTGGTGGTTGCTGAAGGCTGGGGTGGCTGTGACAATTTCTTAAAGTAAGACAATGATGAAGTCTGCTGCATCTATTGACTCTTCTTTCATGAAAGATTTATCTGTAGCATACGATGCTGTTTGACAGCATTTTTACCAATAGTAGACCTTCTTTCAAAATTGAGGTCAATCCTCTCAAACCCTACTACTGCTTTATCAACTAAGTTTGTGTGACAGCCTAAATCTTTTGTTCTAGAATCTACCATTTCAACAATATTCACTGCATCTTCACCAGGAGTAGATTCTATCTCAAGAATTCTATCTTCACTTTCTTTGCTCATCCATAAGAAGCAACTCCTCAACCATTAAAGTTTGCAGCAATCCAGTCATATCTTCAGACTACACTTACTGCTGTTAATATTTTGACCACCTCTCACGAATCACAAATATTCTTAATGGCCTCTAAATGGTGAATACTTTCCAGAAGGCTTTCAATTTGCTTTGCCCAGATCAGAGGAATCAAAAGAATTTGCCATCAAAGGAATCACTATCTATAGCTATAAGCTATAGCCTTACAAAATGTATTTCGTAAATAAGACTGGAAAGTTAACATGATTCCTTGATCCACGGGCTGCAGAATGGATGTTGTGTTAACAGGCATGAAAACAACATTCATCTCCTTGTACAGCTCCATCATAGCTCGTGGGTGACCAGGTACATGGTCAATGAGCAGGAATATTTTGAGAGGAGCTGTTTTGTCTCAGCAGTAGGTGTCAGCTGTGGGCTTAAGATATTCAGGAAACCATGCTGTAAACAGATGTGCAGTCATCCAGGCTTTGTTGTTCCATCTACAGAGCACAGGCAGAGTAGATTTAGCATAACTCTTAGGGCCCTAGGATTTTCAAAGTGATAAATGAGCACTGGCCTCACCCTAAAGTTACCAGCTACATTAGCCCCTAACAAGAGAATCAGAAATGTCCTTTGAAGCTTTAAAGCCAGGCAGTGACTTCTCCTCTCCAGCTATTAAAGTCCTGGGTGGCATCTTCTTCCAATAGGAGGCTATTTCATCTATCTTGAAAATCTGCTGCTTAGTGTAGCCACCTTCGTCAATGATCTTAGCTAGGTCTTCTGGGTAACTTGCTGCAGCTTCTACACAAGCAGCTGCTGCTTCTTCTTGCATTTTTATGTTATGGAGATGGCTTCTGTTCTTCATCTTATGAATCAACCTCTGCTAGCTCCAAGATGAATCAACCTCTGCTAGCTCTAAGCTTTTGTTTTGCACCTTCCGCACCTCTCTCAGCCTTCACAGAATTGAAGAGTTAGGGCCTTGCTCCGAATCAGGCTTTGGCTTTAGGGAATGTTGTGGCTGGTTTGGTCTTCTATCCATACCCACTCAAACTTTCTCCATATCAGCAATGGCTGCTTTGCTTTCTTATCATTCCTGTGTTCACTGGAGTGCTTGGACTTTCCTTCAAGAACTTTTCCTTTGCATTCACAACTTGGCAAACTGTCTTAAGAGGCTTAGCTTTCAGCCTATCTCAGCTTTCAACATGCCTTCTTCACTAAGCTTAATCATTTCTAGCTTTTGATTTAAAGTGAGAGAGATGTGGCTCTTCCTTTCACTTCAACACTTAAAGAGACTACTGTAGGGTTATTAACTGGCCTAATTTCAATATTGTATCTCAGGGAATAGGGAGATTGGAGGACAGGGAGAGATGGGGGAACAACCAGTCAGTGGAGCAGTCAGAATACACACATTTATCTATTAAATTCTGTCTTCTATGGGTGTGGTTTGTGATGTTCCAAAACAATTACAATAGTAACATCAAAAATCATCGATTACAGATCACTACAATAGATATAATAATAATGAAAAGTTTTGAAATATTGTGAGAATTACCAAAATGTGACATAGGCACACAAGTAAGCACATGCTGCTGGAAAAATAGGGCCAAAACACTTGTTGAACACGGAGTTGCCATAACCTTCAGTTGGTAAAAACAAAACAAAATACCACAGTATCTGCAAAGTGTAACAAAAAGGGGTATGCTTGTAGCACTATTCTCATTTTAACTTGAAATGGTCAGATAGTTGGTAAATGACCAAGCTGGGACTGAATTCGGTCCATTTAACTCTAAAATCTGTGCTTAACACTTATGTTTACAAGAGAGAGTTGAGATGGGCCCTGCTGAGAGCATGAGAGTTAACTACTTGAATCTGTACCCAAATCTAGGATTCTAACATATTTTCAGGAACAGCACAAAGGACACAATATAAAGAACAATTTAAAATAGTCCTGTGTAAGGTAGATTCCATCTTTGAGCTTTTGGTTATAAAGACATTTGAAGAACTAGACAAAATTATGTGCTTGTGGTTATCCATTATATAAATTATCTCCTGTCATTCTGAAGGATTATTTTATTTATAATCTGAAGACCTACCTTAGGAGGGGGTGGGCTGGGTGTGGTAGCTCATGCCTGTAATCCCAGCACTTTGGGAGACCGAGGAGGGCAGATCACTTGAATTCAGGAGTTCAAGACAAGCTTGAGCAATGTGGGGAAACCCCAGCTCTACAAAAAATACAAAAATTAGCTGGGCATGGTGGCACATGCCTGTAATCCCAGCGACTCTGAAGGCTGAGGTGGGAGGATCACCTGAGTCCAGGGAGGTCGAGGCTGCAGTGAGCTGAGATCACGCCACTGCATTCCAGCCTGGGTGACAGAGCGAGAGAGACAGAGAGAGAGTCAGCGAGAGAGAGAGAGAGAGAGAGAGAGAGAGAGAAGGAAGGAAAGAAAGAGGAAAGGAAAGGAAAGGAGGAAAAGAGAAGAAAAGAGAAGAAAGGAAAAGAAAAGAAAAGAAAAAAGAAAGGTGGAGGGGAATCGAGTTTGCAAGTATCACCAGGTATGACTAAAACAATTTCTTGCTCCTTTAAGGTTTTGAACAGAGATCAGCAAACTATGGCCTGCGAGCCAAAAATAAATTTTATATTTTTAAAGTATTGTTTAGAAAAAGAATAATTTGTAACAGAGACTTTATGTTGCCCACAAGGCCTGAAATTTTTATTATCTGGTCCTTTACCAAAAACATTTGTTGACCTCTGCTCTAGATCTTAAAAATGGGTGCACAAAGTATGAAATAGGTGTAATAGAGAATAAAGTCCCTAGTTAGAAAAAGCAATTCCCTAAAGGTTGTTTTTTTTGAGACAAGGGATCAAGCCATCCTCCCACTTCGGCCTCCCAAGTAGCTGGGACTACAGGTGCATGCCATCACCTCTGGCTAATTTTTAAATTTTTTGTAGAGACAGTGTCTTGCTGTGTTGCTGGTCTTAACCTCCTGGCTTCAAGCTATCCTCCCACTTCGGCCCCCCAAAAGTGTAAGCCACCATGCCCAGCCCCTACAGGTTTAAGTGTCCAAGGGATTTTTTTTTTAATATCAACAACAAAGATTCCCAGAGTCAGATTTTCAAATGGATCTAGCCTCCCAACTTAGCATCAATGAGATGATATTAGGGGACAAAAAAAGAAAAAGAAGATGCTGAGAAGCTTGGGGAAGAATCAGAATTATCCAGGTTTAGAGCTGCAAGGAACCGTATAGAAACTATGGACCAACGTTCTCTAGCTCCGTAAATGAAGAAACACCCAGGGACGAGGCAGTGACTTCAGGCTGCGATGTGTCGGCATAGCACAGTCCTGTCTCCGGGCTCCTAGGCCACGTCTATTCTCACTGTGCCATGAGGCCTTTACCTTATTACAGAGACATGCTCTGCAAACCAAGGTGTGGTGGACAGCTTTTTAAAACGTCAGACGAAAACCAGCAGCTCTGCAAAGAATGTGTGATCTGAAGGTGAAGTCTCAACCCATTTTGTTAAGAAAAATTAATGTTTCTTTTTTTATAATGCTTTTTTGAATTTCAAAAGTGGTACACATTCATTATAGAATTTTCATTAAGAAAATTATTTTTCAATAAGGAAATTCAAAAAAAGAGAATAATTATTCATAATCTCTCCATCCAATAATAAAATATTTTCAACATTTTATTATTTCCTTGCAACTTTTTTTTTTTTTTTTGAGACAGAATCTCACTCTGTCATCATCCAGGCTGGAGTACAGTGGCATGATCAGGGCTCACTGTAGCCTCGACCTCCCAGGCTCACGGGATCCTCCTGCTTCAGCTTCCCAAGTAGCTGGGACTACAGGCATGCTTCACTATGCTTGGTTAATTTTTGTATGTTTTGTAGAGATAGGGTTTCACCATGTTGTCCAGGCTGGTCTTGAATTCCTGGGCTCAAGTGATCCACCTGCCTTGGCTTCCTGAAGTGATGGGATTATAGGCGTGAACAACTGTGCCTGGCCCTTACAGCTTTTTTAAAAATGCAGATACACATATGCCATTTGAAAAATTAGAATATTCCCAGAAGTTTGAGACCAGCCTGGGAAACATAGCAAGACCCCATCTCTACAAAAAAATTTAAAAATTAGTTGAGCATGGTGGCACATGCCTGTAGCCCCAGCTACTAGGGAAGCTCAGGTGGGAGGATCACTTGAGCCCAGGAGTTCAAAGTTGCAATAAGCTATGATTGTGCCACTGCACTCCAGCCTGGGTGACAAGAGTGAGAAGACCCTGTCTCAAAAATAAATAAATAAGTAAATAATTACAGTATTTTTTTTCACTTAATGTCAGCATTTTTGTGTCACGTAAATTTTCCTAAAACCTTTTAACATTATACAATTCCATTGTGTGTATGTATAATAATTTCTGTAACTTCTAGGACGGACCAGCTTATAGAAAGAATGTTTTACCTCGCCCTCACCAACAGTGATTATGAGCATTATTCAAAATATTTTTCCATTTGATAAGCATGAAATGGTTTCTCTTTGTTTCACACTGACGTTGATCCTTTCTTCACATGGCATTTATTTATATGCCATCTTTTGTGAATTGTCTATTCCCAATGTCACACGTCCTATTCCCATTTTTCTTCTGAGGTATTCATCTTCTTTTTGATGATAAGAGCCAAACAGAAAAGATTTTAACCTTTTCTTCTATCACAAATATTGTATGTTTCCCACTTTTCCATTTGCCTTTTAATTTTGTCTTTTTAATTTGTTGTTGTTTTAATCTTGAAATGTAGCATTTCCAGCTAGTCAAATCCTCTGCATTTGTCCTTTGTAATGCCATATAAGGGATGATCTACCGAAGCTGGCTAATGACCTATTAGTTTCTAAAAAGCAGCCAGTGTAAGTCCCCCAAATCTGCACAGCCTGCAGAGGTTCCACTCAGTGTTGGCCAGATGGAAGGAATGTGGAGTAGAAACGCTACCAGATGGACTATGAGTCAGGAGGCCCAGATGCTTGTCCTGGGTTTGCTGCTTGCTTGCTGCAAGTCCTTAGGCAAATCTCCCATTCTCTCTGGGTACCATAACCCTCTGTCAACAAAATGAAAGGTATGGACACTACACTCTCAAAAGACACATCCATTTCTTTTTTCTTTTTTTTGAGACAGAGTTTTGCTCTGTTGCCCAGGCTGGAGTGCAGTGGCGCAATCTCGGCTCACTGCAACCTCCGCCTCCCAGGTTCAAGAGATTCTCCTGCCTCAGTCTCCCGAGTAGCTGGGATTACAGGTGTGCACCACCAGGCCTGGCTAATTTTTGTATTTTTAGTAGAGACCAGGTTTCCCACGTTGGCCAGGCTGATCTCGAACTCCTGACCTCAGGTGATCCACCCGCCTCAGCCTCCCAAAGTGCTGGGATTACAGGTGTGAGTCACTGTGCCCGGCCGACACATCCAGTTCTAATGCTCATTCTTATTTGACATGTGAAAGAAGGGAAGTCAGTGCTAGATGTTCCAGGCTAGTCAGAATCCACAACCCCAGAGAGACCTGTCAGTGAGAAGAGGGAAGAAGGTGAGAGATGGTAAAAACGAATGTCTGACAGGAGAAAACTTGCAGCCCTTTTGACATGTGGCTTATAGAATTTATTTCAAGTAAATCAGCATGATCTGGAAAGTCAAAGGCAGCAGAGAACCAAAACTGAAAAAGGGCTTACTTCTAGTGCATAGATTTTTCCCAGAAAAGGCACCAGGTAATCTGACTGTGACTTCCTCTAAGCCAGTTGGGGGATTATAAATGTTGGATATGGGCATAAAAGCCAGAATAAAAAGATCCAAAAGGGATGTGGATGACAAAAGTGGTACAAGTTTTGATGTAAAAGGGAAAAGCTGTTCATGAGGGTCATCATGTTGAGAGAGATCTCTTTGAGGGCTGGTATAGATCAGATCATAAAAACAAAAGGGACAAAAGACAACGAAACTCAAGCATAGGAGAAGAAATGGTCTCAAGACAGTTTGGCAGGTTTGTAGTACAGATGAAAGTGATGTCCTCTGTCCCGTGGAAATACCCGCAAACACAATATCGTGAAATAAGAATATGTGCTTTGAAGTATTAAGGTGCTGGCAAGAAAGGCAAGGTGTTAGTTACATAATAGTGGCATTGTGTTGTGGGTGCCACCAACAAAGCCCTGAGTCCAGGTGACACAGGGTCATGAGAAATCACATTAATGAGCTAAAGTCCTTACCTACCATTGCTAACTAACTAGTATTTTATTTATGTGTATTTAACAATTATTTTTTCTTGCATAAATTAAGTAATAACACCTGTTTTCTTCACTTTATTGCTACTTTAGTAGTTATTTATCCTTTCCATTTTATTTTAGCACTGATTAAAACATAAAATGTCTTTAGGAAATGTTATGTCCTAATTTATGGTTTATTTTAATCTTAGCAGTCAAACACTGATGACATTGCATCTCTTTAAAAAATTAGCCTATTATCACACACCAATAAATACATTCTTTAAAAAAAAAATCTCATTCTCAAATGAGAAGAAACCACAAAGCAATGAGGCAATGAAGGAAGAAAAACAAATCCTGAGTCTTTCACCTGGCCCAACAGGGTGTATTAAGAGTAATTATGGAGTGTATTAAGAATCATTAAAGTAATATTTCCTTGGGTTTCTGTGATGAAGGATGGCTCATCTGTTCACTTCCAATACTTAATTTTTTCAAGCTTGCTGTCTTTCATGTAAATAAAAAGGAAAGAGTAACTTTCCTTTTCCAAAAAACACAGAAGGGCAAAAACTACACTACAAATAGCTTTTACCCTCAGGCTCAAAGTTCTCAATAAATTAAATCTCCATTATTGTTTACTCTGTTGTGGATACAACTGAAAAAAGATTAACCGGGTCCCACTTTAGAGATGAGAAAATGGGCCCACAGAAACAGCCTAAATCAATCTATAATACACAAAGAAACAAAGGCCAGCCTTTCCATCCAAAGGCCTCTCCTGGGATCTCGGTTCACAGTCTCCATTCAGGGTTCAACAGCACCCCTTCAGGACTGCACCCTAAGTTTTTAAAGGAGGGAGATGTGCAGGAAGGAACACTGACCAGGAGCAGGTAACTGAAGCTCAGCCCTAGCTTTAGCCCATGCTATTTCTATGATCTTGGGAAAGTAATTTTCATCTTCCTATGGCCCCATTTCCTTCAATATAAAATGGAGATAATATTTACACCTACTGCCTCAGTGTTTATAAAGTTCAAATGGAGGAAAGGGCTCTTTTCAAAATACAGGCCACCTGTGTTATTTATGAATTTAAAATAGAAGAATAAAGCAACTAAAATAATGATTTTTAAACTTACATCATCCTCTCATTCATGAATTTCATAAACTCATCTCCTTAAAGTGCTACATGGCATACATGTAAGAATAAACATAATTTTTTATTTCAATTATTTGTTTTAATCAACTAAGAGAACTATTTTGTGTGTATGTATAATATTGACATTTTATGGTAAGGAAAATTATAATGTGGCACAAATAGCATATCAATTCTTTTCTTAAAGTGTTGATAAACCAAAAAACTGTCAATATGCTAATAATAAAGTTGCATTTTGCTCTAAATTAAATGTACACTTTCGATTTAAGATTTTATTCACAAAATAAACAGTACCACTGCATAAAAAAATTACATGATGATATAAAATACTATGTGAAGGAGTTGGCAAATTATGTTTATAGCTGTTCTTTAAACCTAGACAATTCTAATCTAGAATTCGATCTAAAAATAAGATACTTCTGCATTTTTAACCCTTAAAAAATTGTCCATTCAATACTACTCATTAAAGCAAAAAAGAAAAAAATTTTTCAACTTACATACAAAAATTCCATGAGTTTTAAAATAATAAGAAAGTGTGCTATAACCTACCGATTACTTTGAATAAAGGATATTTATCAACAATTACACTGGGTAAAAACGTTCCTTTCTCTGAAACCCTGGAGGAGCAATGTTTAATGAGAAAGAATTATTTATGCCTACAAACACAGAACTGTAATAGGTAGTTTTAATGTAACACATCACAGCAGTAGATGCAGGCGGCCAGAAACGTGTTACCTGGTTTTGACTTATACCCAATTTCCAAGACCAGACTAAGACTTTGTAAACAGCAGGGGCTTTTAGTTTTGTTTTTCCTTATTATTGATAGTGGATGGCAACAATATTTGTGCTGACGGGGTCTTTGGGAGGAATACTGAGGTTCTCCCTTTTCCTGAGGAAAATGAGGTCTCACTCATCTCCTATTTGCCAGGACTAGTGATCTCAGCACATGCTTTGTTCTTTTTTCTCTCTGTTTAAGTGCTGGTAGTAATTTAGTGATTTCAATCATTGCTACATTCATTTTGGAATAATAAAGTGATGTTAGGAGATTCCTGTCATTGCGAAGACAGGTTTTAGGAGGAAAAGGATCTATAGTTAGTCAGTTTTGCTACCAAGAGTAGCCTTTGGTACACTGAAATCAAATTAACTACAAAAACATCAGGGATACGTGTGGGGATGGAGCTAGCTGTGGGGAGATGAGCACTGAACCCAAACCAGTCTGGGCCAGAGGAAAACTCTACAGTCTCATCATGCAACAAAACAGGGAAATTGGTTTTAGCGTTTTTAACTTTAATTAGTCACATTAATTAATGCTAAAAACCAATGTTAACAGTATATTATTTTCATCTAGTTAAATAAAGGATTACACACATTTGAGTAAATTACACAGCATTAAACATTTC
Source organism: Homo sapiens (assembly GCF_000001405.40). Classification (NCBI taxonomy): domain Eukaryota; kingdom Metazoa; phylum Chordata; class Mammalia; order Primates; family Hominidae; genus Homo; species Homo sapiens. The sequence goes on from NC_000006.12 coordinate 38,493,953, forward strand.
GATAACTTGAAATGAAGCCATTACTGTCATTCAAACAAGTTTCCACAGCTAAAGGCTGAATGTTAAGTATGAACTGATTTGGCATTACAAGAATATAAATCCTTTATCTTTTTACTGAGAAGAAAAAATGAAGAGATTCGATGACTTCTGACTTGAATAAGTGGTTTGCAGTAGCACAGCGCCCTCCAGTGGCCAAATTTCAAAATGCAGTTTCAAAGGACAAAGTTCAGTAGCAAATCTTTTCATGTTGAATGGTGTTAAGCTGGTAACATTAGCTCCTTTTTCTTTTCTCTTTTAATATAATTGTTTATCTCAGCACATATTTTCAATATCAAACCATTTTTCTATTGCCAAATTTCCCTCACCAAATTAAAATTCTTCTATTCAAATCTGATTTGTTTTCCCTCAGAAATATTCTGAAAAGTAAAAAAGAAATCAAAGCGAAACAAAACAAACCTAATGTGGACACAGACAACTGCAATGAGAGGGAATTCTCTATACGCCTCAGATAATGGCGAATGCCAGCACTAGAGTAGTAGTAATGAATTCTTAAGTGTTAAAATCCAAACTCCAGAGTAAGATTATACAAATTATGGAACTCTATTTTGCCTGATATACATCATGATGAGTACATATGGTGAGTTCAAAGTTGTAAGCATATCTTTTACTCATTTTTTCTATATGTGAACATTTCTGTTTTTAAATAACAGTATAAAAGATTTCACTGTATGCACATTCTTTCACTATTACAACTCCTATTAAAATGGATCCAAATATTTTTCTGTGGAAGTAGGAAAAGATAACCCTTTGGTTACCTTTGCAGATTACCAGAAAAGCTCCCTTAGGCCAATCTAAAATACTCCTATTCTTGAAAAGACATTGATTTCTCACAATGAAAAGAGATCATAATTCCACTTTTAATAACTACTGCCATAGAGTAAACACTTATAATATTCTTGGTCTGCCAAATAAATACTGCAAGGCATCTGGGGGCATACAAGCATTGCCCCGGATCCTATACCAAATAGTTACTAGGTAGCATGAGGGAGTTTGCTATCAAAAGGATAATAATAACTAGCTATTTTTTCCCTTTTCTGCCTACCCAAAGAATAGAAAAGTTTAAGCATGTTTTAAAGAATCATACCTTTCACCGAAACCGACAAAGCAACTCTATATAATGTCAAGAACAATGGCTGTGGCCTTGCATCTTGTTTCCACCGCTACAGATCAAAACAGGCAAATAACATCTCTGTGTTTCGTTTCTTCATCTATGAAATGAAGATAATTGTTCCCATCTCATGGGAATGTGGTGAGGATTCATTGTAATGATGCAAATGAAATAACTAAGCCTGACTGCCTGAAACTCACACGGGAGATCTTCAAAGAATGTTAGTTCTCTTCTCCATCTATTCTTACCAACAAAAGAATGCAGAAGACCTATTTTCACCAGAAGGAGGACTGGAACCAGAGTTAGCAGGTATGGAGTCACATGGGTGAATCAATAAAACCCACTCAAAATTTCATCTATGAAAAACCTGTCCTTCTTTATTATACATTAGAAGACCCAAAGATGGTTCTGGAAGCAAACACACTGAATTCTGGAAAGGGGAGGAAAAGGAACAGAATTGGCATTTGTTATGTGCTTCATGTGCTACTGGTTGCACCCAGCTTTTCTATACATAATCGTATTACTTAAGGCACCACAGAACTCTATACAGCAGTTAGAACTGTGATGGAACCAGTGAGGCTGGCTTCCTCTTATCCAAGTATGACTGGAGGACAGGGCTCAAATGACCGTGCAGGTGCATCTGGGCGGGGGGGCGGGGGTATAACAATGAAGAGGAGGTGCAATAACAGCCCCGTGGGGATGATGACAGACAGAATATGCTCATGAATAAGAATGTCTTACTTATCCCATCTTAATTACTTTCTTCTGTCTCTTTCTTCATGTTTAAGTATTAAGAGCAGTGAGGTGGTAAGAAATGGTATGGGAGTCATATCAGAATCCTTTGGAGAGAAGAGATGGGCACATGTGTCATCTAAAAAAGCATTTTCAAAATTATAATAAAATACACAACATTTGCAAAGCAGGCTTTCTGCCCGTTGTGACCGTGAAAACAAAGCAGCTGAAGAGGCCTGATGTGAAAGTGACCTCCTCTGTGCTCTGTCACTGGCAAGAACAGGAAAAACACTTGGGGCAAGCAAGCCAGCCCCACTTTCACACATGACTCACACGACTGAAGGAAAGAAAGGGCATCCTTCTCAGGCTGTCACTGCCTTCTTTTATTACAATTCTTACTTTTTATAATATTTTAAATAATATTAAAGGAGATGTAAGATTTGTAAGTTTATCAAAGAGACATGAGTTTTTAAATGTTGAGAAACACATTTTTCTAAAGATGCAAATCAGCCAGGCGCAGTGGTTCACACCTGTAACCATAGTACTTTGGGAGGCTGAGGTGAGAGGGCTGCTTGAGCCCAGGAGTTCAAGACCAGCCTGAGTAACACAGGGAGACTCTGTCACTACAAAAAAAAAATTAAATTAAATTAGCTGGGCACGGTGGCACACACATGTAGTCCCAACCACTCAGGAGGCTGGGGCAGGAGGACTGCTTTAGCCCAGGAGGTTGAGGCTGCAGCAGGACATGATCACACCACTGCACTGCACTGCAGCCTGGGTGACAGAGCAAGACCCTGTCTCTTAAAAAAAAAAAAAAAAAGAGAGAGAGAGATGGAAATCAGCTTCAGGAAAATGAGAGGGTAAAGGGAAAAAGGACTCAATGGACAATTTTAAAAATTCGGGCTTTTGGCTAATGGTCATTCCAATTAAAATGCAAATGAATGAGGCTTCTAGCTTTTGCCAGCTTGCCAAGTACCCTATGACTTACTAGTGGCAACAGCCATCATGCCTTCCCTTGCTACGTTAGTGTCTAAAACAATGCCCTAAAAGCTTAAGAGAGCTGGTGGCAGACAGCAAAGTAGCCAGGGCCTAGCCACATGCTCTCACCAAGATCCACCCTGAAGGTGAAAACTTTCAAGCAGGGAAGCAAAGGTACCAGCATGCCCCCTTATCAACATGGGAAATACCTTTTTCTCAAAAGACAAATGCCACAATACAGAACTATGACCATCTAGCAAGCAAATGACAGATGGGTCTAGACACATAAGGTAAAGGACAAAATTGGTTTTGGTGACTCTCTGAATATTCATGGAATCTATAAAAGTCCAATTCTTTTAGGATGCAGTCTGTTAGAAATGAATATGCAACTGTACCAAATAAAAACAGTGTATTTCTCAAAATGCACACAGGGAGGGGACTTTTCCCACCTCCCACTGCTGTCACAGGCAGTTGCTGTATACGATCTAGTATTATCTGAACTGTATATTGATTTGTGATTTATATTCTCTAATGTAGGTCCCAAGGATACACTTTTTTTCCCCAAACTGTACTTCCTCTGGAATTTCACACATCACAAAAGATGCAACATTCAGTAAGATGTTTCCTAACCATAGCATTAGAACGGGCTAGCTCTTCAAAATGATCAGGTTTCCCGGACCCTACACATGGCAGCAGTATGGAGTCCCTTTTTGCAAATTTACCAGTTCATGATATGGAAAGAAAGAGAACGAGAAAGGCAGTGAAGGGGAGGAAAGGAGAGAGCAGAAAAGATGAAAGGGAGGAAAAGAAAACTGAGAAGAATAAAGTATTCAGCAAGAAGGAACTGATGTCAAAAAGGATGACTACTTACAACTAGACCTATTAACAATAAAAACCATTGTATGGTAGAGGATTTCCAAACCTTGTTGCTACAAAACTCCAACTACTGAGCAACCATTACAGCAAGCAAAGGCTTCAGAGCTGGCTATTCTCTCAAGTCCCAGGCAGAACCGAAGGTATTATTTTAAGTCTTAATTAAGCAAGCTAGGCTACAGTCAAACTGCAAGCAACCCACTGAGGTAGCAACAGCTAGGTTTATAGAAAGAGGTATTTAATAAGAATAATGTGTGTTAGGCATGCTGAAAAATGGATTTAAGGCTGAGATGCCCCTTGGTCTCAATACTGTTATGTTTGAATCTTGTTGGCTTTATGGAAACAATAACTATAAAGTGTCTTTCACATTAATAAGAATTTCCAGCACAACCAACATCCAAGTGATTCCCAACAAATTATCAGACACAGAAATCTGATCATTTACAAAAGTGGTTTACTGTACAAATTCAGCTGCCTGACGCACCTGTCTATAATATCTAAAACCAAATCCAACCTATCCCAGTTTTTCCACAACTAGGTTGTTCCAGGACTGGTGAGGTATCAAGGATGAGTCACAACACCAGAGCTGGACTCTGCCATCCACACTCCATGTTCATGGGCAAGAGAATGCTAAGCATATTTCTTCACAGACTGTACTAAACAGTTCTACATCACATAAGCTAAATTTCTTTCATTATTTAGAGACACATATATTTCAAAATTTGTATGGTTCTATCTTTTTCTATCTAGTACTAAAAAAAAAAAAAAAAAACAAGGCAAGAAGTAACCCAGAAAAGGATGTAAGAGGAATACTAGCTTTTAAATGCCTTGGCTCAGAAGTGTCCTGTATCCCTTCCACTCATAGCTCGTTGGCCTGGGCAAGTCACAAAGCCCAAATCCAATAGCAACAAAGGCTGGGCAACATAAGGGGACACATGAAACCTGTGGTGAGCACCACTATTTCTACACACCATCCAATTTCAAAATTATTTGATTCTAAAACCCAAGAAGCCCCGGACCACTCCTCCTGTAAGCGTCACTATCCACACCAAGGATGTGTGTACCCTCTACTTTGGTAACCCCCCACGCCCCACCCCAGTTGATACTGAGGCAGACCTCAGTTCTGTGTTGATTTTCTCACAAAATTACATTCAAAACAAATGGAGCCCTAAAGATATAAATTCCACAGAACAAAGACCTGTACAATCAAGTTAAATCCCCACACATTTTTATCCACATCAATTATGTGTCATTTAAAAGAAAGAAGCCATAGTAATGAATGATCTAACATAACTGGAGTCTAAACAATGCCTGTCAGCAACTGCGAGAGGTTCATCTTTTATAGTTGGTCTTTTGCTGAGCCTATTTTCGTCCGCTTTCTTATTTTCTCTTTAATTTTGCTAAGTGAACACTATTTTGACAGGAGGTTAAGCAATACACCAAAAAAAAAAACAGAGAAAAAATATTAACAAATTAAGCACTTTTGTCTCATCCTCCTCAGCACACTGCCAAGTATTGCCCATTGTACACTGCAGTCTCAGAAAACACTGCTCACAGGGACCGCCCGCTCTGCATTCAGCACACAAATCACTCTGTGATCACATGCATTTCTCTTTATTTTTAAAATCTCCTCATTGTTGCCCATGGCACTTGAACACTATTATTACTAATCCAGCTACTCCTAATAATAGTATTTAAGTAACTTGTCATCTTGGGAACTTTATAGACAATAGCTAATTAATTGTCAAGCATTTAATGTAACAGGATTCTAATCTCCAACCTCTGAAGCAGGGTATTTATTTGTTATAATGGTAAAACTTCTGTTTAAATTGCTTATTTATGCAATATATATTCTCTATCATCTCAATTCTAATTTTTATATCTGCTTTGTAAGTAAAATAAAGAATCCCATGCAGAAAGACACAGACAGTACACTTCACAAACAGTAATGAATCTCTTGTGACTTCTTTTATTCACACTACAATAGATTCTATATTACCATGCAGAGAAAAACAAAACAAAACACCATAGATTATTTCCCTCGTTTGCTCACAGTATTCTGATAGCAACAAGAACTTGAAGGTGCAGCATGCTGTCTTAGGACTGTGAGTAAATACGATATTCTGTTGACATCTTGTTCCTGCTTTCAAACAACCAGGTATGTTACATATGAACTGTCAGAGCGCTGAATAAGTTTTCCTGTCTAAATGTGCCCACATTCTTTTCAGAGACGTCATCTTAAGCTGAGCTCCGTATCTTAGTTGAATACTGCAGTTAACAATTTCTTAACTTGCAATAGTCATTTCAAATCAATATTTAAAAGGTATAATCATTACTACTTGTCTGCTAACCTTCCCCTCACACACACCATGCATACTTTCCATGTGGCAATGGAAATGGTCTGAATCCAGCAGAAAATAGAAAGGTGTCAAAGAAAGAGAGATAGAATCTCTTTCTCAGGCCCTTAATGAGGTCTCCAGAGCCAAAGGCAAACCAATAACAAATTGTATTTTCCACATATTGGGGGATGGAGGGGGGAGGAAAAGGCAGCAGAGGGGTGGTAGTAGGGGGGACCTGGAGCTTGTCATCTGAAATTAATTGAATTTAGCCATGCCAAGAAAACACTGGTAATAAACCCTCCCCATCTAAATTAAGGGTTTTATACCATGAAAAAAAATAAAAATTTACGGCAGTAATTTCATCTGGGTTTTTCAAAAAGTGCTTGCTGATTTTCTTGTACTCAGTAGAAAAATCCCCAAGGAGCAATGCAGACTGCAATAAGGCAGACTTCTAAAAAGATACCATTTAATTTCTCACTCCTCCCTTTGCACTATTACACACTTCCACTTTTCTCTAACTCAGTATTAACTCTCTCAACACAATTCTCTTCCATTAACTCTGAGCAACATCTTACAGGGCAGGTGAGAGTGCCTGATCTGCAAATGCCTATCCATTGCTCTTAGCAAGATAAGGACAAGTCAAGAAAACCAGAAGCCCCGGAAGCGCATGCATGAATTCTTTATGATACCTGGCCATCTTAATTGAAGGCATCAAAAGTCTTAAAGGCTTAAAAATAACCCCAAAACAAATCCATCACTCAATGTCTTTAATGCCAGTGACAAGAACAGATGAGTGAATTCAGTTCCCAACTTGTGGGTCATAGGCGACATGGCAGGTACAGAGGCCAAGCACAGATATATCTGCAAAGGTTCTGCAGATCTCCATGGGTACAAAGCACTGGCTGAAGACCAAATGTTTAATGTATACAATATAGAGTATTCATTTTCTAATGAATTTTCTATCTAATGTCCATAGATATTGCTGTGATGAATAAAACAGAAATTTATTAAAACGAGAACAAAATTCACAGTTGCTTTTTGTTCACTTTCTCAATGGATGCTGTAAGTTAAAAAGTTAACTTACAGTTCTAAAAATTTTTTTAGGCCAAAATGAGCCTTCACATTGAAGAAGACAGAGAACACCTGACGCGAGTGTTAGTGCAGGTTGAGTATCCCTGATCCAAGCATCCAAGATCCTCCAGAATCTGACTTTTTTGAGTGCCAACATGATGAGCAAAGAAAATGCTCATTGGAGCATTTCAGATTTCAGGTTTTCGGATTAGGAATGCTCAACCAGTAGGTATAATACAAATATTCCAAAATCAAAAAAAGTTCAAAATCCTTAACACTTCTGGTCCCAAGCATTTCAGATAAGGGACACTCAACCTGTATCTTCAGTGCTTTCCACTTGGGCACATAGTAAACACTCAATACTTGTTGATCATAGATGTGAGTACATTTTTCTTGGCCCCTTTTTGCATCTAGTTTTTCTTTCACTGCAGTCCCTGCCAATTTACATCACCAATCCCATCCCTTGGTGTATAAGAGAGCAACAGTTCTCAAAATGTAGTCTGGGGACTCCTGGGAGTCCCTGAGACCCTTCTGGGAGGTCTGTGAGATCAAAACTTCTGAATTCAGAGAAGTTATTTACCTCCCATGTCTGTGCACTTGAGCTTTCCACAGGCTCCATCACCTGTTCTGTCACAACAGATTGAATGAGAAATGGAGAATCCAGCAGTCTTCTCTTTATTATGCCAGACATTAAGATTTGCAAGGCTACTCTCTCCATTAAATTAATTTTTAAATAGTTATTTTTCATCAAAAATGATATCTATATTGACATGTAATGGGTTTACTGTTGTATTTTTAAGACAACAAATAAATATTGACATATCCTGCATAAACAAAAGCTCTTTGGGGTCCTCAACAATTTTTAAGAGAATAAAGGGCTCCTGGGAACAAAAGTTTGAGAACTACTGGTATAGAGATAGCAATCTGCAATATCCTGGTGTCAATGAGAAGCTGGTTTCTATTGTCAAGAACTCTGCTAATCCCTAGAGATGCTGATGCTGGACACCTGCCAGATGGGGATGTTGTAAAGGGGATTCAAATGTTGGCTTGGGTGGCTGGGCCAGCTGCTCACCATGGTCTGTTCTAACAGAAGATTCTATAATTCTGTCTGAGAGGGAACCTAAAGAAGTCTTTCAGAGCTTTGGCTACTGACATGGAATATGAATAACACTTAATTTACCTTCATTTTGCTACCCACGAAACAATATGAGTACATTTTTTTTCCATGGTGTATTCTCTTCATTTTGGTATAATATTTCCAACATTTTGGAAGCAAGGTGATTTTTAAATTTTGCTTGTTGAGTTTTTATTAAAAGAAAAGCTTTCTCTTCCATGTCCAGCCTCCTACCATGTTCAAATCACAAAGACCAGTACCATTTGCTCTGAAGGGAAAGAATGCTAAGGGAAGAGGACTCTGAGAATGTCCTATAGACCAAGGTCAATAACGAGGCAAACATTCTGCTGACAGAAATCCCCAAGGCAAATACACAAATACCAAACCTGCAGAGATGAGCAGGATATCTTCATCTTCTGCGCAGGTCTTACTCTTGCGTAACACAGAAATAGGATGGCTTATCATTAATGAGCACACTGTGCCCACAGAAATGAATAAGTTGTTTAGAATATATGGCATCAGATTCATGAAGGGAAAGAGCTATTAGGAAAATAAAATGACCATACTTGTGCAATTTGATTCAATTCAATGAACGTTAACTGAGTGCCTGTTACATTCCAGCCATTATTCTAGGTGATCATGAAGAGAGGATAAATAAGCTTTACTGTCCAAGAACTCACACTCTGAAAGGGAAAACAGGTAAATCACTGTAACGCAATGTGATAAGTGATATAAAAGTAGGTGCTCCACACTATGGAAACAGATGAGAAAGCAATTAATTCAGTTTGGTGGAAATAGGGGAAAACTGACATTCTACGTGTAATGAAAAGGGAGGGAAGTGAGTTTATGCCTAACTCACTCTCCAATCTCAGCTGAGCCCTCACTATCTCCTCATGCTCTTTCTATGTGTCACTTCTATTATTCCATTCTCCACAGCAGCTACATCACACCTCCTCCATTCCTCTCATGTCTCCTACCCAATCCCCCATCGCCCTACTCTCAGCAGCTGTTCCCGCTGCCTTCTGCAGAAATGAAAGAGGAGGGGCAGCCTCTAGCCAACAACCCACAAACAGGGCTGCTGCCCTCCCCCTTCTCTCCAGGAGACGGCCCAGGCTAATCTCTCCACCAAGACTTTACAGCCCATCTACCTGTTCTCCCTTCTCAGGTAGCTCTGCTCTTCAACCTCTCCCTCTCCAACCTCTCTCTCTCCTGATTTCTTATCACTAGCAGTTAAACATGCTTCCCCAACAGCCCTCTCAAGTTACTATTTTTTTCTCTTAATGCCCCATAAATCCCAGAGCCAGGAGATAGAGGAGGCAGCTGTCCTTGTTCCCCCCTACTACTCTCAAACCACTTCATCCCTTTTTGCTTGCAACTCTCCCTGCCCTTTCACAGTTCTAGCTCCACCCACACCAGTCACCATTACCTACCAACTTCACACTCATCCCACCAAACTAAAAACTTACACTCCTGGCTCACTTTTCCTCCACTCCTACTGCTGGCATCACACGCCAACAATAATGCACACTATGTAAACAATATATTGGCCTCCCAGGTCCTTCATTTCCTCAACTACAGGGATCCTTTCTTCCGTTAAACCTCAGTGATTCAAATCCATGGGCAACTCCTTCAGTTGGTCAAGAAAAATCATAACTCTGCCAAAATCTAAATGCAAATATATCACACTCTAACAGCCCTTCCCATCCTTTCTATTCATTTGCTTTATTGTCTCCATTGCTAAAAATTCTTGCCCCTCTTTGAACCTTCTAATCCACTGATCCCGCCACAGTCTCACAACCCCTTTCTGCCCTCATTTCCCTCCTCTGTTCAGCTTAGATACTATGGTCTATATATAATCATTCCCTTGCAGAGTGCCCTCACTTCCCCGTCTGTCTCTTTCCATCATACATGCCTGGCAAACTTCAGCCCTAGATGATCTCAAGTATCCATCTTCTCTGGGCACAAACCCAAGTAACTGCATACGGCTAGAGAAAAATCACACAATTGGACTTCATTTCAAATGCAACACTGCTCAGCAATCTTACTACACTCCCGCTCCTACTTTCTAGGAATTCTTTTGTGCTTTGAGCTTTCCAAGTAACCTCCTCTTTAACTGATGATGGGCTATTATTTTACGGAGACTACAAACTTCCTCATGTTACCACTACCCAAACTACAAAATTATGGGCATCTATAATTTTCCTTCCTCCCTTTCCCTATGAAAGTCCAATCCCTCTACTGAACTTTAGACCACATCTCCTCTTACCTTTTGAGGACTTTGCACTGTCACTGTCAGTTAGATCCCTCTTCTCCTGTATCATAGATCTCTCATAAACTGCGGGTGAAATGTGGATTTTTTTAGGCTTTGGGGGAAGTTATTAACAATATAGTTTAAAATTATATAAAATACACCTATCTTTCAACCCAGGAAGCCCATTCCTAGAATGTTTCCTATATAAATACATTGTACCAGTGTGTAAGGATGAACACAGAGACAGAGAAACATGAATGTTTATTGTACTATTATTTTCAGTGACAAAAATGAAAACAAAGGGAATGTTCATCAATAGTGAAAGGTTGAGTAAATTGTGGTAGAAGCATCTATGAACCATCATACAGCCTTCAAAAGAATGAATTAGGTCGATTCCGGTGCAATTGCTATGGCTCTACTTCCTTTCACTTGTCTGCTGTTTCCACCAAAACACTGGAAATGCTTTTGTAATAGCAACCATTAATCTAGATGATGCCAAATTCATAGACACTTTTCTGACTCTATTAGAACCATTTAACAAAGTTGCTTATTCCTTCATTCCTGAAGCACTACCTCTCAGCTTCCACTATACTACCTTTTCCTGAGTTTCCTCCTCCCTCATAAGCTGCTTTCTCAATTTTTTCTTACAAGTTATATCTCCTTTGACCACTAAATACTGGCATTCCTCAGGGCTTAGTCCTGTATCCTCTTCCCAGGTGATCTCATTCATTTTCATGGCTTTAAGCAAATCTACATGCCAACGAATTTTAAGTATCTGTCTATAGACCAAATCTCTCCTCTAATTTCCACGTGTCTACATTCCACATATCTACATTCAGTTGCCAACTTAAAATCCCCTATGGAGGCCAGGTGCGGTGGCTCACACCTGTCATCCCAGCACTTTGGGAGGCCAAGGCAGGCAAATCACTTGAGGTCAGGAGTTTGAGATTAGCGAGGCCAACATGGTGAAACCCCACCTCTATTAAAAATACAAAATTAGCCAGGCGTGGTGGCAGGCACCTGTAATCCCAGCTACTCAAGAGGCAGAGGCAGAAGAATTGCTTGAACCTGGGAGGCGGAGGTTGCAGTGAGCCGAGATCGCACCACTGCACTCCAGCCTGAGCGACACAGCGAGACTCTGTCTCAAGAAAAAAAAAAAATCCCCCATGCAACTGAATTTCAGTATATATAAAAAGAGAACTCTTGGGCTAGGTGCAGTGGCTCACGCCTGTAATCCTAGCACTTTGGGAGGCTGAGGTGGACAGATCACAAGGTCAGGAGTTCGAGACCAGACTGGCCAATATGGTGAAACCCCATCTCTACCAAAAATACAAAAATTAGCCAGGTGTGGTGGCATGCGTCTGTAGTCCCAGCTACTCAGGAGGCTGAGGCGGAAGAATCACTGGAACCCGGGAGGCAGAGGTTGCAGTGAGCTGAGATTGTGCCACCGCATTCCAGCCTGGCAACAGCATGGCTCCGTCTCAACAAAAAAAAAAAAAAAAAAAAGGAACTCTTAATTCTGCATTTCCACACAGCTCCAAATTGTGCTGCAACTCTGGGTCCCTCTCATTTTTCCTGCCTCAGTAAGTGGTGCCACCATCTATGCTGACTCTAAAACCAGACACCAAAGTTCTCCCTCCTCCCTGTCTCTTGACCCCTCAGACAATAGCCAAATCATCTTGATTCTATACATTACACAGATGATCCTTGTTTTACAATGAGTTAAGTTCCAATAAACCCATCATAAGTTGAAAATATTGTAAGCCAAAAATGTGTTTAATACACCTAACTTACCAAACATCATAGCTTAGCCTATCCTACCTTAAATGTGTTCAGAATACTTACATTAGCCTACAGTTGGGCAAAATCATCTAACACAAAGCTTGATCCATAAACAGTGTTGGATGCTCATATAATTTACTGAATAAAGTAAACTGCAGAGATTCGGCTGTTACCCTCGTGATCCCGTGCTGGCTGAGCTGCAGGGCTTGCTGCCACTGCCCAGCAGCATGAGAGAATATTATATCACATATCACTAACCTGGGAAAAGATGAAAATTCAAAAGTCAAAGAGTTTCCACTAAACACATCCTGCTTTCACATCATTGTAACACCAAAACTTCCTAAGCTGAACCATTGTAAACTGGAGACTATCTGTATTTTACTAGCCAGTCTCTTTTCTCCACCTCCATTGCCACCAGCATAATCCAATCAGTCATTAACTGACCCCTCTGCTTCTGTTCTTGACCCACCTCCATTTATAATCTATTCTCCACAAAACAGTCATTGTGACTTTTTTTAGAATGTAAATCAGACTGTATCACTCTGCTTAAAATCTTCCAAAGGCTTTCCATTTTTCCTGAATAAAATACAAATTAATACCATGGCATAAACGACCCAACTGGTCTCAAGTTTCCTATCTCTTCAGCACCATCTCATTTATACTGTTTTTCCCTAACTCACCTCACTATGGCCATAAAAACCTCCTGTTCCTGCTGGCTTCTAGAATAACCCAAGCTCTTTCCCATCCCAGAGCTAATGCACTTGACGCTCTCTCTGCATGAAATCCTCTTTCCTAGGCTCTTCTCACCTGTCTCCTTCACATCCTTCGGATCTCAGTTTAAAATAACACCTTCTCAAAGAGGCCTTTTCTGACCACACAATCTTAAGTAGGGCCTCACTGTTATTCCTGACCACAGCTTGCTGCTTACTTCCTTCAGAGCCCTTCTAATTCTTTATTTGCTATTCTTTTATTGGGTAGCTACTTCACTAGAATTAAGATCCATGTGGACTGGGATCTATTCTCAGCATGTAACACAGAGTGTGTCTCACAGAAGACTCTTACTAAATGATTACTCCAGGAAGAAATGAACAGAATGATCAAATTTCTCCTGTCTCAGCAATTCTTCAACCCCTCCACTCCCAGCTACCACCTATCTGCCTATTCTGTTTTCTCAAACTTTTTGAAACAATTGCCTATTCATGATTATTTTACTTCACACTCTTCAACCCTCTTCTCTCCATACCATCCAACTGCTCTCCCTTCTGATGTAACATGTTTGTTGTTAAAGCAAATGGAAATGTCTTACTGACCTCTCCGTGACATTTAATCCTGTTCATCACTCTTTCCTTCTCAAAAAGTTCTCTTGCCTTAAATGACAATTCACTCTTTTGATGTTCCTCTTACCTTTACCACTCCTTCTCAGTCTCATAAGCCCCCCTCTTCTCTTTTCCTGAAACGTTAGTGCTTCTAAGGATTCCATCCTAGACCTTCTCTCTATATATACACACTAAATCATCTCATGTACTTGTAGAGTTTCAGTTACTATCAATATGAAAATGTCTCCCAAATTTTTTTTTTTTTTTTTTTTTTTGAGACGGAGTCTCGCTCTGTCGCCCAGGCTGGAGTGCAGTGGCGCGATCTCGGCTCACTTTACGCTCCGCCTCCTAGGTTCACGCCATTCTCCTACCTCAGCCTCCCGAGTAGCTGGGACTATAGGCACCCGCCACCACACCCCCCTAATTTTTTGTATTTTTAGTAGAGACGGGGTTTCACTGTGTTAGCCAGGATTGTCTCGATCTCCTGACCTTGTGATCCACCTGTCTCGGCCTCCCAAAGTGCTGGGATTACAGGCGTGAGCCACCGCACCCGGCCATGTCTCCCAAATCTTTAGCCCAGATCCTGCTTCCATGCTTCAGACAATTTGCTCAAATATCTAGTTGACAACTCTATTTAGATGTCTTTTTGCCACTACCAACTCAATATATTTAAAGTGACTTTATCACCTTCCTCTGTCAAATTTGCCTTTTCTTGTGTTCCCATCTTAGTGAATGGTACCTCCATCCCTCCCATGACCCCAGGCTAAGAACCCAGTCTTTGTTACTTCATGTCCCTCAACCCCTCCCCCAAATAGACACATTTATTTTTAACCAAGTTCAGTGTGTTCTACAAATGAAGTTATTTCTGGAATTTGTCCACTTCTCTTCATTCCCCCGCCACTGGCACTTCTTACCTAGACTTTTGCAAGTCTACAAATTCTCTTCATATTTCTCTCAAAGCCATTTTTCACAGAGCAGCAGGAGCGATTATATGAAAGCATAATAAATCTTATCACATCACCCCACTACTTAAAACTCATCAATGGCTCCAAATGTCTACAGGATAAAATTCAAATTTCTTGGCCCAGCAGACAAAGCCCTGAATGATTTGGACTCTGCTTGCTTCTCCAGTCTCCCCTCTCACTGCTGCTTGCCTCCGCTTCTATGTTCCACCCACAAAAAACTACCAACTTCCCATGCTCTTTCTTCTTGCAGTCCATACATGTTATTCCCCCAAATCCAAGACAGGCTTTTGCCTTACATTCTGTATTCATACCCTCCCCACCCCTCCATCAACCGTAACCTTCTAAGACTAAGCTAGGCAATCCTCTTCTGTGCTCATAAACTATCCCAGAGCCCTACTTCAGAGAACTGTAATTTCCTATTAACTTGTCAGTAATCTTACCTACCCACCTTAGAACCAGTGAGTCAGAATCTCCAGGACAGGGACTCTAGCATCTGTATTTTTTAAACACTTACTTGTATAGCTAATGCACAGCCAGCACTGAGGGACAACTGTTTTACTTCCCTGAAGACAAGAAGTGTGATGTTTACTGTTGTAACCCAATACCCAGCATAGTGCTGACACATGGAGGTTACTCAATAGGGGGAAGGGGGAAATGATTATACATTTAAAATAATCCTCAAGAACAAGTTTGGATGTTCTTCTGCACAAGGGTAAAAGGACATATTACCAGGAGTGCAATTTTTAAGAATGAAATTTCTATTTTACTTTCAGTGTTAAGTTTTTCTTTGCTACTGCTAAACAATGTTCTCTTTGCATCAACTATAAGTAAAGAATGGCAGCTAAGATATGTTAGTCCTAAAAAGTTCAGTACAAATCAGCTGTCACATCTATAATTCTGCATATTTTGCCTTCTTGACCTTATAAATACTGGCTGGAAAGGCACAGGTCACAGAAAAACATCAGCTATTTGAGCATCTGTACTTTCTCAAAACGCAGTGAGAACTCCTGAAATAAAGCACTGAAGTGGGTTAAAATGGTTCTGAACCTTTTAGAGACAAAAATAACTACACAATACTTTAGTAGCAAGCATGTATAAAATATAAAAAAAAGGCATAGAATTAACACTTCCGAAAAGAAAAATCTAATAAAACTGAACTCAGGGAAGAGGCACTGCACAAAACAGGGAAGAAACATCTTTATATTTCCCTCATTGCCCTGAACACAGCAGCCTCAGTATATATTTGTTGAATGAATGCTTGATAAATGATAAATAAACACAGTTCTGAAGGGATTACTCATATTTTCCTATCCTGATCAAAGAGCTGGCTACCCCCAGCTTCATGTTTCATCAAAAAAATATTTATCAAGTGTCTAAAGCTACCTGGTAATGTGCTAGTACACAGCATACCAAAAGAACCACAAGAGCTGGCTTTTGCATTTCAAAGATTACTATGCAAATCCTACAGTTGGCTTTGTCTCCCAGCACTAGCACCACCAAAAAACACACAAACTCCACAGTCTAGCCACATTCCCTAAACACGCCATGTTCTTTCATGATGCCATCAGTTTTCACATACTGTCATGCTTAACAACTGGGATACATTCTGAGAAATGCAATTTCATCATGGCGTGAACATCATAGAGTATACTTACACGAACTGGATGCCATAGCCTACTATACACCAAGGCTAGATGGTATAGCCTATTGCTCCTAGGCTACAAACCAGCACAGCATGTAACTGAACTGAAGACTGTAGGTAACTGTAATACAATGGTATCTGTATATCTAAACACAGAAAAGGAGAGTAAAAATATAATTAGCACTTACCATGAACAGAGCTTGTAGGAATGGAAGTTGTTCTAGGTGAGTCAGCGAGTGAGTGGTGAGTGAATGTAAAGGCCTAGAACATTACTGAACACTACAGCTGACTTTATAAATACTGTGCACTTAGGCTACACAAAGTTTATTTTTAAAATTTTCTTTCTTCAGTAGTAATTAAACTTAGCTTACTGAAACTTTAATGCTTTATAAACTTTTAATTTTTAACTTTCTGAATCTTTAAAAATAATACTTAGCTTAAAACACAAACATTGTATAGCTGTACAAAAATATTACCTTTATATCCTTATTCCATAAGTTTGTTTTCTATTTACATTTTTTAACTTTTGAACTCTTTTATTAAATACTAAGACATAAACATATATATTAGCCTAGGCCTACACTGGGTTAGGATCATCAATATCTCTGTCTTCCACCTCCACATCTTGTCCCACTGGAAGGCCTCCAGGGGCAGAAACGTGCATGGAGCTGTCATCTCCTATGATAACAATGCCTTCTTCCGAAATACCTCCTGAAGGACCTGCCTGAGGTCGTTTTCCGGTTAAATTTTTTTTCATAAGTAGAAGGTATATGCTCCAAAATAACTCTAAAAGTATAGTGAATTACATATGCTATACTTTTATATATAGGGTTGCTTACACCAGCATCACCACAAACACATGAGTAACGTGTAATACTACAATGTTATGATGGCTATGACATCACTAGGAGTTAGGGATTTCTCAGCTCCTTTATGGGATCACTGTTGTATATGTGACTTGCTGTTGATGTAAAGATTATTATGCAGCACATAATTGTTACTGTTCCCTCTGCCCCAAATAACCTTCCCACCTGAAAAACTCCTACTTATCCTTCAAGACCTAGATAAATGTTACCTTCCTTACAAAATATTGTCTGAATTTCCCAGACATAATCATTTCCTCATCTGTGTCTGTTCCACAGTATTTTGGAAATGCCTTTTTTTTTTTTTTTTTTTTGAGACAGGGTCTCACTCTGTCACCCAGGCTGGAGTGCAGTGGCATGATCGTGGGTCACTGCAGCCTTGACCTCCTGGGCTCAAGTGATCCCCCTGCCTCAGCCTCCCGAGTAGCTGGGATGACAGGCGCCTGCCACCACGCCTGGCTAATTATTTTATTTTTTGTAGAGACAAGATCTCCCTATGTTGCCCAGGCTGGTCTCGAACTCCTGAGCTCAAGCCAACTGCCTGCTTGGCCTCCCAAAGTGTTGAGATTACAGGCATGAGCCACCGCTCCTGGCTGTAAATACCTCTGATGTAGCTTGAATCATATCTAAATTATGATGATTAACTTCATATTCATTAGGCGCAATTCAAAGAATGAGGGGAAACCATATATTTGGGTCATTTTTCTCACAGATATGGAAAAGTTTCACATGGAAAGGCAAAAGGTAAAGATTTGCTTGCATAGATGACAGGAAGGGCGTTTCAAACATAAGGCGCAGTTCTGGGAAGGACTTAACCTTAGATGTGTACATGTAGAGGAAAGGGAAATGAAATGGTCTAGGACCCTCTTGAAAGCTCAGAGTAGGAATTTTGAGTTTCATCCACAGAGCAATGAAAACCTACCACTATTTTTCCCCCTTTTTTTGAGACGGAGTTTCACTCTTGTTGCCCAGGCTGGAGTGCAATGGCACAATCTCAGCTCACCACAACCTCTGCCTCCCGGGTTCAAGTGATTCTCCTGCCTCAGCCTCCCCAGTAGCTGGGATTACAGGCACGCACCATCACGCCTGGCTAATTTTGTATTTTTAGTAGAGATGGGGTTTCTCCATGTTGGTCAGGCTGGTCTCAAACTCCCGATCTCAGGTGATCTGCCCGCCTCGGCCTCCCAAAGTGCTGAGATTACAGGCGTGAACCACCATGCCCGGCCACTACTATGTTTTAAAAAAGGAAAGGGATACTACAGTTTGCATCACTCATTTGATCAGATAATTCCTGTGGAACATGTACATACCAAACCCCATATGGTGACTATTAATTAGGTGTCAACATTTAGATGACCCATGTAAAATTCACTCTTCCAGTAAACTGTGAGCTATTTAAGAATAAGGATGTGGGCTCATTCACCACTGTATCATCTCCAGTGCTAAGGAAAGGGTGGGAGCTTGCTGACCGAGCTGAACTGAATTCTTCCACACCTTTAAGTAATATGCCCTGCAAAATCACTACCAGCTTCCACAATAAGGAGGACTGTGTTGCTGTGAGGTAAACCATTTTGCCCACCCTTTCAGACACACAAAAACAAACACACAAATAATTCTTTTAGAGGCAGCCATCACTAGTTTAATAAATTTCACTAACTCTCTTCATTACCTTTAAGAAGTGAGTTTTTAACTCTGAAGGGGCAGATTTTTAATAAATCCATATTATTACAAACCATTCTTTATATAAATACGTTTAGCTATTATATTGATAGAATTTTGTAGTTGAGATCTAAGTACTTCCATATAGCTTAATGCTAAAGTTTAACATTATGGTATATGTAATGTAAAAATGAGGTGTTAAGATGATGTATAGCCTGAAAATACCAAAGTTAACAAAAGTATAATAAGAAGCTAGTAAAAAAGCTATGCTAACAAGTACAGAGGTTCTTAAATGGGTTGGACCATACACTCCTAGTATAAATTCCAAGGAGTTCTTAGTGCCCGACCTTTACCCCAATGCCTAACCATAGAATCCATTAGTGTCCAGGCAATCCTAAGGTTTACTTGGCTTACAGAATTTTTCTTATAAGGTTCATTTAACAAAAGCACATTTGAAGAAGTGCTCCTGGCTGGATGCAGTGGCTCATGCCTATAATCCTATCACTTTGGGAGGCCGAGGGGAGTGGATCAGGAGTTCCAGACCAGCCTGATCAACGTGGTGAAACCCCGTCTCTACTAAAAATACAAAAAAATTAGCCGGGCATGGTGGTGCATGCCTATAGTCCCAGCTACTTGGGAGGCTGAAGCAGAAGAATTGCTTGAACCTGGGAGGCAGAGGTTTCAGTGAGCCAAGAACGTGCCACTGCACTCCAGCTTGGGCAACAGAGTGAGACTCTGTCTCAAAAAAAAAAAAGAAAAGAAAAAGAAGTGCTCCACCTTGGTTAAAAAAAATCCCACGACACTTCCAACAACTCCAAATTAAATGGAAGAGATGTTCCTTGGGCTGACAGTAAAATCAAATTAGGTCTACTACTCATAAAAATGAACCCAAGCAATGATTCTGCTTTGGAGAAAAAGATTAATATGAAGACACACACACACACATACACACATCATTTATAGCTATTTTCACAGTCTATTATTAATCGTAAAACTACCAGCAGAGGTGGGGTAGACAAGCAAAAGTACCAATGCCATGACTAGACATATTCAAGTGGTGGCTTTTTTGGGGAATCAGGTGAGAGGAAGGCTGTCTGTGCGTACCAGTGCAGTGTTCACTTAGATGATATTTTTATTTTTGTAGCCTTACTAACATATTCCAGGTTCAAAAATGCAGGATATGAGTCTTGACTGTAGAAACAAATTGCCAGCTGTCACATAAAGGACAACCTCATTTAGTAGAAGGCAAATGCTAGCACAGAACAAAAGTAAATAAAGATGGCTACATATGCTCTAGCTTTCAAACCAGAAAGTGACAGTGATGAGAGAAGCAGAAGAGGGAAAGGATTAAACATGAAGAAGAAGAGCTGCTACCAATAGCAGACTATCTGACTATTCAACCAGTCTTCTGGTGCAGTAAGAATGCCAATTAAAATGGCTGGTATAAGGATGTGATCCAGAGATCTGATGGCTAAAGAAACCATGGGGGTACAACCAACACACTCCTGTTATTGTATAACTAAACTCAGATGTTATGTGTAAAAGTGCTTTATAAACTACAATGCTCTACAGAAAGACATCGTACTGCTATTATTCCTAATATGTGTCTATTCTTCTTTTAATTGTAAACTTATTTTTTAAAGTCCCAATTCTTTGTCCATTTTTTCATTTCTAATAAAGAGCTGTAATTGTCAATACCACTGTTATTTTACCTTTATTTTTTCAAGAACCTTCAGATAATATATGCTGCTCAAATTGAGTATCTTATAGGAATAAAGCATGAATGAAATATGTAATTTATATGAGAATGAACATGAACAAAGTCCACCCCTTTCATGTCTTACAAACATGTCCATAAAATGTCACTCATACCTATTAAAATTCTCATATGTCCTGGGAGTTCCCATATCTTCACAGAACCAACCACTCATTAAAGGTTAGGGCAGGAAGGGGAAAATAAATAGCTGCCCTTTCCTGACAAAGAAGGAGGGCTTGGTGATGTGCTTTCAGTGGGTAGAATAAAATAAAAAGGTTTTAAAAGGGTCAAAGGAAGAGCTTGAAGAGAACCTTAAATGTCTGACTTCACCATCCACCTTAAAAGGACTACTTCATCCAACTAAAAACTAAAATGGACCACCACTAGCTATTAGAGAACCATCTAACAAAGAAAGAATTTTTACAAGTGACCTCTGGTTACCCTTCAACACTGCAGACCTTCGAAACAGACTGGCACCAGAGCAAATGTAGCCAAGAAGAACCTAACATTTATATTTTATGATTTTATTTCAATTTTTCATATAATTTTTAGTAGACCTACTTATGTGGATATAATTTAATTCTAAAGTATTTGGGAAATACATTTAGTCCAGTTGTGCCTGGAAAAAAAAAAGGTAATTTTCCAGTTTTACAGATGCTTCCAGAATTCTGTCTGAAGATGGATTAATCTACAGTTACTCAGCTGCAGAATATTACTTCTATTCCACAGACTTTCTATATGAACTGTTAAATCCATTAGATCGATAGCAATTCCTCCCACCTACTCTTAAAGAGCGGATTTAATGAGAACATGATTTTCTTATTCAAGGCTTTCTTTCTTAAGAGAACAGTCAACATTTCCTCTTACATCATGACAACTTCATACAAACAGAGCCTGGGGCAGGGCAATGAGGCAAAATGCTGGGTGGTAAATAAGCGAATTTGCTTAAAAGATATCACTATGGAATTTGAGCTTAAAACTGGCCTGGACTTTAAAAGCCAGTAAACTAACACTATTTTCTTTCTCAAAAACTCCTCAAATCACACAGGAACTAATGGCATCATGACATTGAACAAAGAAGTGTTATTTTCTTACTACTAAGCATAGAACTATCCAGCATTAAATAATTTATTTCAATATCCTCTCTCCATACTCCTCTCCTACAACTAAAAGATAATAGGGGAAGAGATTTACTCTTTTATTCTTTCTGGGCCTGCATATTAAGAGAGACAACAGAGATATTATGTCTATTATTCTTGGTTTAGACAAAATAAGCAATGGGAGGCCTCGAGACATAGTCACTAGCTACTAAGCTCTCTCTCTTCTTAGCCTTTACACATGAAAAGCACAGAATAAATCATAAAGTACTACTTGACGCACCAAAAATTAAAAATGGAGACAGAGGGTGGATCAATGTGCACTGTCTCACAAACACAGTTTCAAAGATAATTGGTAATGTTCTCTTTTTCCAAAGAAGTGAGGGTTAAATATAGTCACTCTGTACAGAGACTGATGATCTTCAGGATGTGTAAATTATACATTGTAGTTACATAACAGACTAAATCACAGTCATCAACAAAAGAAAATTCGGCACAATTCTTGAATTTTTATTATTCTAGCTCATAAGTAGAGCCTCAAAAAGGAGAAAATATCTCACCTTAATCAGCCCTACAAGTAGCCTCACCTCAGGGCAGGAAACAAGTAACCAAGGTAAATGAAAGAGGAAAGTGATCACCTTCACTGGACTAGAAAATAGGAGGGAGAGTACTTTGTATTTTCAAGATTATGTTACATGAAATAAATAAGTCAGCCATTCCATGAATTTAAAAAAAAAAAGAAGGGTTCAACTAACCAGATACATGTAGAACTATGTGTTTAAACACCTATAGAGCTACTGTGACTTTATGTCCCTAGGTTAAGGCCAGGCATGAAAACCAGGTGAAAGAACACAGATTCCTTCAGAACACTTTCAAAAATCTGGATGGCACAAACTACAGACCGGCAAAGAATTTCCATGCCTCCAATGCAGCTTGAAGGGCTACCTGGTCGCAGACTCTGTCATGCCTGCACTGCCCAGTGTAGGCAATTCAGAACGGGTCAAGAGCATTCAGTAGGTGACATGCTAGGAAGGTCCAAATGCTCTGCCTCAACTCCCATGATGACACTGAAGCAGGAAATCTCAGGCTTATTAGATGCACCCAATTAACATTCATCTCTGACTAGTTCATCCTTTTATCTCCCACATGAAAACAGCTACTATTACTGTGTAGTATCTATTAAGCAGTCACAGTGATCTGAGTAAAGTATATTAATGGAAAAAATAAAGAGATATTTAATAAAAAGAAAATGGAAGACACATATGAGGAATGCAAAGACCAGACCAATCAAGAATACATTATTTCCTTCATTCCATCAGATTGTGCCTCTTCTGCCACCAACTCAACACAATTTGCTCACTGCACTCTGAATAAAAAGTGAAAATTGTTCTCTTTAAAATGAAGTTGGCATTGTAAGAACTTACAGAATTCAAAGCTAATATTCAGAGGTTTTCCAAGTGTCCAGAGCTCCAAAGAGCCCATCAATCCTGATAAACTTGGAGAGACTAGACAATCTAAGGGTACTCAGGGCCACTCCACTCTACCTCAGTCATATTTCAGAATGACTACAAAGGAGTCAATGTTGACCTAGATCCACAGCAACCAAGATGATCTGTGAGCTCTGGAACACTGCCAACACTTCCTAAAGAGATTTCCAGATCTGAGAAAGTAAACCAGTTCATAAGGTTAAACTTTAGAGCTTTGGATAACAAAAGCAGTATCTGGCTTACTTTGAAACTAGTATGTTTCTGAGTAATCAAATACCAAAGTAATGCTACAGCAAAAAAAGTTTGACTTCAACCTTCTTGGGTGTATTGGGACACAAACCTTGTGTATCTTGTCAGCTACGTGCAGCCAACTCCTTCTCTGCCTCCCCCACCCGCTGCCTGGCCACCTTCCCCTCTCCTTCTCTTAGTTGGTGCCCCATCCAAGTCACTTTTGGACTTGTATGAAAAACCACAGTGTAGTACATGGGATCTAGCATCCTGAGTAGCCACAGAGAGCCAGAATGACATAGCCTGGTCATACAGAGGAATTAGCTTCCTGTGGAGTAAACTCCTATTAACTAGGAACAGGAGACAGGAAGAAATATCAGGCAGATAAATTCTCCCCCTTCTTTCTCTTTTCCAAGGACTACTCTTAGTTCCTCCTTGCAACCCTTTCAGAAAAAAGCTGCATGCTTCCTGAGTCACCTTCCATGTCTCTTCTTAGTTTGTTGTAAAGCAAAAGCTAGCTGGCTCTATAACACATCGAATCCATTTCTTTGCACCTTCCCTTCTTCCTTTTGCCCTTACCCTTATAGACTTGGACCTGCAACCCTCCAAGAAAGCATTACCACCTTAATCCTCACCTCAGGCTCTGTTTTCCAGAGAACCCAAGGCTTAGCCACTAGGCTTATAGGAATTAATTCCAGATGAAATTAAGAAGAAATCATTAAAACGCACATTTTCAAAATACACTGAGTCAAAGAATGACAAATATTAAAAAGTAGAAAAATATTAAACACCTAAAAACCTAAAAGACCAGGGCCAATACAGTAGCAAATGTCACTAACTGAGAAACCATTCAGGCAGCAACAATAATTACATATAGAATTTCTTTAATGTGCCCCCCACCCCCGAACCAACTTCAGAGGACAAGATCAGGCATTTTCATTAAGGAATAATGCTGTGTAACAGATGTTGTTGCCTATAGAATTTTCTTACTAATTGTATCAGTCCTAATTGTATAGTATTCTCTCCTCCCAACGTGAAAAGAGGAGGAATGCCCTTTACAGGCATAGATCTTGAATAGTAATCACCATGGTTCCATTATCTTCACCAATGACTGATATGCGAGTGATAATTTCAACTGGTTCTCGCCAATTGTGTATGGAGATCTCTAGGGAGATTCTGGGAAAGGTTTCTTAGCTCTTTCGAGCAATAAAGGGAAGAGATGCTTTGCATTTGGACCTTATGCCTGGACCTGTAACAGTCATACTGTGATCATGAAAGGATCCAGTTTGAGCACAAAGCTTATATAATGATGGCAGAGTCTAAAAAACAGAAAAGCCCAGATCCTTGACAATATCATTAAGCCACCAAATTAACCAACCCTGAGCTGACCAATCTCTGTGCTTCTATATAAGGACATGTATAATACTTCCTTACTATTTAAGGCTCTTTGAGTCACAGTTTCCTCTTATTTGTAGCTATAAGCACCTTTACTAACTGCATAAAGCATCTGGCTGGTTGGAGAGGCATGTGAATGGCTACTATAAGGTGCCATTATACAAGGGATAAGGTTAGATTTGAAAAGAACTGGTCTTCACTCTCAAGAGCTTATAATCCATTTTTTATAAGACATATAAAACAATTGGGAAAAAAGTGATATACCAATTAAAGAAAAAATAAAGGAGCACAGGTACCCAGAGTAAAGAAATCATCAGTGAAGGACATCAGAGGCAGTTTTCTAAAAGAGATAAAACCAATACATATGCTTTTTGTGCAGCACTAAATTCAATTAGTGTAATTCAACTTCCAGGAAGCTTTCTGCTGCAGATATGTATAGTTCTATCACTTGAGCACAGCATCCTCTTGCATGTGGGAAATGTGACTTCCTTTACTCTGAGCTCAGGGATGGGCACCAGACCCAAGGTGAACTAGCCAGAGCCATTTTCTTAGATTTTTTAAAACTTGGGATCATAAGGGCTCATAAGGATTTGGGTTACACTGTTGTATGGACTTGTCCTAAGACTTGTGCATTTCTTTGTAAATTTTGTATCAAAAGAAAAAGATAAATAAGTATTGAATTCTATAATACCTATGCTGAAGTATTTAGGAGAAAGTATACTGATAGCTGCAATTTATTTTGAAGTGAATTTTTTAAAGATGCAGTGACAGATGAAGACAGGCTGATAGATATGTGACACAGCAAGCAGAGTAACATACTTGTATTTATATATCCTTGTACTGTAAAGTATACTAAACTGTCACTTTAAAATCCTTTCAACCTTGCTTTTTCATTTGAAAAACTTCATTAATAAAATTTGGGTGTGGGAGGAACTCAAGCTGCAGTCCCACTCTGCTGGCAGTGCTGTGAGCAATAGCTCAGGAGCTCTCTCTGGTCATGTTTTCCAGGGTTTCAGTAAACAAGCATGCAGAAAGAATCAGGAATAAGGAGTGAAAGAGTTTTGAGTTGTCTGAGTTGTCTCCAGCTCCAGCTACCCTTGAGGCCTAGCTGCATCCCTGCCATTTCAGCTGTTACATAAGCCAAGAACTTCTGGTTTGCACCTAAGCTAGATCAAGGTGAGTTCCTACTGCTTACAACCAGAGTCTTGACTAACATACTAGCCTAAGGCAATAATAAGCATTGCAGACAAAGAAAGATAACCACTGTAGCATCACTTATAAGAACAAAATACATAAATTACCTAATCATTCAGTAAAAGAAAAATAGTGACAATTTTATGGTGTTTTAAAATATTAAATGAAAATCTCACAAAACTATATGTATAAAACTATATACACACACATGCATATGCATACACACATACATATACATTATGATCCAATTTTGTAAAAAGAAAAAAACTGACAGAAAAAAAAAATCACATGAAAATACACAAAATTGTCGGCCAGGCACAGTGGCTCACACCTGTAATCCCAGCACTTTGGGAGGCTGAGGTGGGTAGATAACCTGAGGTCAGGAATTCCAGACCAGCCTGGCCAACATGGCAAAACCCCATTTCTACTAAAAATAAAATGAAATAAAATTAGCTGGGTGTGGTGACACGCATCTGTCGTCCCAGCTACTCAGGAGGCTGAGGCAGGATAATCACTTGAACCCGAGAGGCAGAGGTTGCAGTGAGCCGAGATCACACCACTGCACTCCATCCTGGGAGACAGAGCAAGACTCCATCTCAAAACAAAAAAACAAACAA
Organism: Homo sapiens; assembly: GCF_000001405.40. NCBI lineage: Eukaryota > Metazoa > Chordata > Mammalia > Primates > Hominidae > Homo > Homo sapiens. The sequence goes on from NC_000006.12 coordinate 38,520,480, forward strand.
ACAAAAAATACACAAAATTGTCAACTTTGGTTATCTCTGGGTTTAGGATGATTTTGTTAAAATTTATACTTTACTTACTAAGTTTTCTTCAATAACCATATATTACTTGTAGAATAACCAAAAAGGAAGTTAGTTTTAAAAAATTAATTTACTGCCATTAAATATTTAAAAGGCCAGGCATGGTGGCTCATGCCTGTAATCCCAGCACTTTGTAAGGCTGAGGTGGGAGGAGCGCTTTAGCTCAAGAGTTCGAGACCAGCCTGGGCAACACAGAGAGACCACATCTCTACTAAATATTAAAAATAAAAAATTTAAAAAAAAGCCAGGCCTGGTGGCGCATGCTTGTAGTCCCAGCTACTTGGGAAGCTGAGATGGGAGAATTGCTTGAGCTCAGTAGAAAGAGGCCACAGTGAGCTATAATTGTGTCACTGCACTCCAGCCTGCTTGACAGAGTGAGACCTTGTCTCAGACAAAAAGAAAAAAAGAAAAAAGATATGGGTTGCTTCCTAGGCACCATTCCCACCATAAATGATCTAAATATTCATATGTGTCTTAAATCTGCCATTCATTTCCCAGGGCCAGGGACACAGGAGCCCAACAGTTAAGATCGTGACCTTACACACACTGTGTACCCACAAAAACTGAAAATAATTAAAAAAAAAAAAAGATATGACCTGTAAAGTCACACCACCTCAGTTCAAATCGCCACTCTGCCCTTTATTGAATGTATGGTTTAGGGAAAATCAGTTAATCTTTTTTACCTTAATTTCTCCATCTACAAAATGTGGAAATAGTACCTTACTATTACAAGTTTAAGAAATAAATGAAATAATATATATAAACATTTAAAACAGTGCTTGAAGCACAGGAGATGTTAACCATCATTGTTACCATTCTTATTAGCAGCTTTTCTACTTTAATACAGGTTGAGTATCCTTATATGAAATGCTTCAGACCAGAGGTGATTCACATTTCAGATTTTTTCAGATTTCAGAATATCTGCATTATACTTACTGGTTGAACATCCCAAATTTAAAATTCTGAAATCTCAAATGCTCCATTGAGAATTTCCTTTGAGCATCAAAAAGTTTCAGATTAGGAAGCATTCAGATTTCAGATTTTCAGATGTGGGAGGCTTACCTGTAACACAATTTAACTCCTCAGGCACTATGAATTCACTCATTTCTACCTCCTCACTACTTCTTTTTTTTTTAAATGGAGTTTTGCTCTTGTCACCCAGGCTGGAGTGCAATGGCACGATCTTGGCTCACTGCAACCTCTGCCTCCTGCGTTTAAGCAATTCTCCTGCCTCAGCCTTCCAAGTAGCTGGGATTATAGGCGCCTGCCACCATGCTTGGCTAACTTTTGTATTTTTAGTAGAGACCAGGTTTCACCATGTTGGCCAGCCTGGTCTCCAACTCTTGACCCCAGGTGATCCACCCGCCTCAGCCTCCCAAAGCGCTAGGGTTAGAGGTGTGAGCTACCACACCCAGCCCCTCCTCTCTACTTCTAAGTTATCAGTTTTTACACCTAGCCTATTCCCTCTTTTCAGTCATGCCCTGTCCTAGGCACAAGACAACATCCCACTGCCCGAGTGTGGGCCTCCTCCTTTCTGAAGCTAAGCTCGCAGGCTCCGTCTTATCCTTCCCATCTGCTCCAGCTCCTTGCCAGTTCATTCCATCTCCCTCTCCCTAATCTTTCAAATGCTTAGAACAGTGCCTGCTAAGGCTTTGTTCTCTACTGGCTTTTCTCTCTCTGGCTGAAAATGTACACATATGCCATTTTTTGAGAAAAAACAAAAAAACAAAAAACCAACAATTTGAACCTACTAGAGCTATTCTATATTTCTTCTTCCTTTCACATTTATACTTCTCAAATTAAAGTCCCTATACTCTACTGAAACTTCACTTAATAAGATTACTAATGGCCTTCTTATTGCCAGATTCAATAACTATTTTAGGCTCATTCTGTTTGTTCTGCAGCCTCTGACATCACTGACTATGTGCTCTGTTTGCAAATGCTTCTTTGACGTCCGTCTGGGTCTTCTCCCAGTTCTTTGGCTGCTTTGCCACATTCTTTCAAACCAGATGTTCTTCAACAAATAAGCCCAGCTCTTCCCATTGCCTCTCTTGGAGATCTTGATGCTTCCCATGGCTTCAAATATTAGCTCTAAGGAGGTGACCATATATCTAACTCCAGTTCTGACTTCTCAGTATCAGTCCTTCTTCTTGAGTTTCAGCCATCCATTTCCAACTACCAGTCAGGGATTTCCAATTGGCCTTTCAATCTAACGATGTCTGAAAAGTCTGATATTCCACCCACAGACAGCTCCCTATTCTAGTTTTCCCTCTGTAGTGAAAGATACCAAGTGTGGGGAGACTGCATACTAGGCAGGAGAAATCTGCTCAAAAAAAGAGTCAGGGCTGGGCACAGTGGTTCATGCCTGTAATCCCAGCACTTTGGGAAGCTGAGGCGGGTGGATCACCTGAGGTCAGGAGTTTGAGACCAACCTGGCCAACATGGTGAAACACCATCTCTACTAAAAATACAAAAATTAGCCAGGCGTGGTGGCACGTGCCTGTAATCCCAGCTACTCAGGAGGCTGAGGAAGGAGAATCACCTGAACCCAGAAGATGGAGGTTGCTGTGAGTTGAGATCGCTCCACTGTACTCCAGCCTGGGTGACAGAGCAGGACTTCGTCTCATTAAAAAAAATAGAGGCAGGCAAAATCCTTTGAATTTTCCATGATGACACCTCTTGCAGACACCTCTTCTTCTCCATTTTTACTGTACTACCCCAGTCTAGCCCTGTGCTATAACATCCTAACTGGTCACCCTGCCACCACTCACCAACCGTCTCCACCAATCTAGCAATCTATTTTATATTAAAATTAAAATATTGCTTGTACTATAACACTTACAAAGATCAAATCCAAACTCCAGACAGTTTGGACTTTCAGAAGTTTGGAAGTCTCTGAGAGTTGGGCCAAAGCCTACTACCCTTGTGCCCTGCCTTCAAACCCTCCTGTTTCAGAGAGCTCTGTCCCAACCAAACCAATCCACTCAGTGCCCTCTACACACCTTGTAGTCTCCCTGTCTTGCATGAACAGGTCTCTCCCCTCCTCTAAGATTATCCAAATGCTATCTGCCCTTCAAATATCTGCTTAATCCCACCATAAGTTCTTCCAACAACATTTTAGCCTACAGTATTTTTTTCATTATCATTAGCAGGCACTGTATCATTAGCAGGCACTTTATAGATAGTAGCTAACTTTATTTAAATCTCACAATAATGCTCTAAGTCAGGTACTGTTATTATCTATATTTAACAGATGGGGAAACAGAGGCACAGAAAAGCTAAACAACTGCTCAGACATATTGCTAATGAATGGCAGATTCACGGTTCACACCCAGGCAGTGTGGCTCCAAAGTCTGTGCTCTTAAACCACTGTGTTCTGCTGCCTATGTGGAATCCTTTGGTATTTCTGACTACACTATTCATTTGTCAATAAGCTGCTTTGAGATATCTCTTCAATTATTAGGTTACAGGACATACTTATGTCTTTTCTCCCCAATTAGAGAAATTTCTTAGACAGCAGAGGGTGAACTTTTAATTATTTTGATTTCTCCGCAATTACTAATCACTATCAATAAATATTAATTTATAAATTAAATATAAAATATAAGAAAGTGACAGAAATAAGAGTAACTAGCCAAGATTTTAAAATCTGAGAGGTGACTTCAAACAATTTTTAAGTATACAAAAGGTTTAATTAAAGGAAAGTGGTTTTTAGCTGAGTTTCCATTTCCAAATGATAGAACAGTATCAGGAAAAAACTAATTATTACATATTATGAAATGTAAGACATACTGAAAAATTTTTCTTCTCCTTAGAATTCATAAGAAGTTAAAAAAATCCCAGAAAAAAACTGAGTAGTCTTGCCTGAAAGTAGAGAAATGGATTAGTATTAGAACAGTAAGCACGTAGCAAGAATTAAATCAATGTTTATTTAACAAATGAATGAGCTACCTTGACCACAAAATTATCTAAGTTGTCCCTTATAGAACATGATTTTAATGCAGAACTGTAGTCCAGTAAGTCCAACATTATGAGTCTTCTGAAAAATGTACACAATGACTAAATAACATAGGGTTATTTAGTTCTATCCATTTAGAAACTGAAACTGGTTTTAGTTTTGCCATAGCTGATATTCATTTTGGCAATATTTAAGTAACAAATTCAGTCACTTCTTGAAGCCACCCTTGCTTGATAAACATTATAAAATTAACCCACAAAGAGTTTTGAACTCTGCCCTCTAGCTAAGTTTTTCAAGACTCACAATAAAGGAGTCAACAGAGATCAGAATAATTCATTCCTTCCTTTTGTCCTTCCTTCCTCTCTTTATCTCTCTGTATCTGGAGTAGCTGGTAGTGTCAAACAAAGGAAGGCCAGCAAAACTGACTAGCTGGTTAGTGTCTGGGTGATCAGGCCCTTTGAGATGACTCACCCTTAGTAAAATTTATTTAAGACTGACATAGGCACTAGAATGGTTTATTATTTTAATATTTTGTCACATGGGGGATATCATGATGGCACGATCAGCACTGATATGGTTTGGCTGTGTCCCCACCCAAACCTCATCTTGAATTGTAATCCCCATGTGTCGAGGGAGAAAGTTAGTTGGATCACAGGGGTAGTTTCCCCTACACTGTTCTCATGACAGTGAGTGAGTTCTCACGAGATCTGATGGTTTTATAATCAGTTTTCCCTGCTCTTGCTCGCTCTCTCTCCTGCAACCTTGTAAAGAAGGTGCCTGCTTCCCCTTCTGCCATGATTGTAAGTTTCCTGAGGCCTCCCCAGCCATGTGGATCTATGAGTCAATTAAACCTCTGTCCTGTAAAAATTACCCGGTCTCAGGTAGTATCTTTATAGCAGTGTGAAAATGGACTAAAACAGTTAATTGGTACCAAGGTAGTGGTGTACTGCTATAAAGATACAGAGAATGTGGAAGCCACTTTGGAACTGGGTAACAGGCAGAGACTGGAACAATTTGGAGGGCTCAGAAGAAGACAGGAAGATGAAGTTTGGAACTTCCTAGAGACTTGTTGAATGGTTTTGACCAAAATGCTGATAGTGATATGGACAATAAAGTACAGGCTGAGGTGGTCTCAGATGGAGATGAGGAACTTACTGGGAAATGGAGTAAAGGTCACTCTTGCTATGCTTTAGCAAAGAGACTGGCAGCACTGTGCTCCTGCTTTAGGAATCTGTTGAACTTTGAACTTGAGGGAGATGATTTCTTCTGGAGGAAGAAATTTCTAAGCAGCAAAGCATTCAAGATATGGCCTGGCTGCTTCTAATCGTGCATGCTCATATGTGTGAACAAAAAGATTATCTGAAACTGGAACTAATATTTAAAAGGGAATAAGAGTGTAAAAGTTTGGAAAATTTGCAGCCTGGCCCTGTAGTAGAAAAGAAAAACCCACTTTCTGGGGAGATATAAAAGCTGGCTGCAGAAATTTGCATAAGTAAAGAAGAGCAAATGTTAATAGCCAAAACAATGGGGAAAATGCCTCCAAGGCATTTCAGAGACCTTCACAGCAAACCTCCCATCACAGACCTGGATACCCAGGAGAGAAGAATGGTTTTGTGAGCCAGGCCCAGGGCCCTGCTGCTCTGTGCAGCCTTGGGACACAGTGCCCTGTATCGCACCTGCTCCAGCTCCAGCCACAGCTAAAAGTGGCCAAGGTACAGCTTGGGCTGTTGCTTCAGAGGATGCAAGCTCCAAACACTGGCGGCTTCTAAGTGGTATTAAGCCTGTGGGTGCACAGAGGGCAAGAGTTGAGGCCTGGGAGCCTGCACCTAGATTTCAGAGGATGTATAGAAACATCTGGATGTCCAGGTAGAAGTCTGCTGCAGGGGCAGAGCCCTCATGGAGAACCTGTACTAGGGCAATGTGGAAGGGAAATGTGGGGTTGGACCCCCCTACATGGAGTCCCCACTGGGGCACTACCTAGTGGAGCTTTAAGAAGAGGGCCACTGTCCTCCAGACTCCAGCATGGTAGATCCACTGACAGCTTGCACCGTGCACCTGGAAAAGCCACAGATACCAGACACCAGCCCATGAAGGAGCTGTCCAAGACTGTGGGAGTGCACCCCTTGCATCAGTCAGCATGCCCCAGATGAGAGACATGCAGCTAAATATCATTTCAGAGCTTTAAGATTTAATGACTGCCCTGCTGGATTTTGGACTTGCATGAGGCCTGTAGCCCCTTTGTTTTGGCCAATTTCTCCCATTTGGAAGGGGTGTATTTACCCAATGCCTGTATCCCCATTGTATCTAGGAAGTAACTAACGTGGTTTTGATTTTATAAGCTCATGGGCAGAAGGGGCTTGCCCTGTCTCAGATGAGACTTTGGATTATGGACTATGGACTTTTCAGTTAATGCTGAAATGAGTTAAGACTTTGGGGGACTGTTGAGAAGGCATGATTGGTTTTGAAATGTGAAAAGATGGCTGGGTGCGGTGGCTCACGCCTGTAATCTTAGCACTTCGGGAGGCCAGGCAGATGGATCATCTGAGGTCAAGAGTTTCAGACCAGCCTGGCCAACATAGTGAAACCCCATCTCTACTAAAAACACAAAAAATTAGCTGGGCATGGTGGCATGTACCTGTAATCCCAGCTACCTGGGAGGCTGAGGCAGGAGAATCACTGGAACCCAGGAGTTAGAGGTTGCAATGAGCCAAGATCGCACCACTGCACTCCAGAGCGAGACTCTGTCTCAAAAAAAAAAAAAAAAAAAAAAAAAAAAAAAAAGATGTGATTTGGTGGGGGCCAGGGCAGAATGATATGACTTGGTTCTGTGTCCTCACCCAAATCTCATGTCTAATTGTAATCCCCATGTATCAAGGGAGGAAACTGTAATCCCCACATGTCAAGGGAGGGAGGTGACTGGATCACAGGGGCAGTATCCCCCATGCTGTTCTCATGATAGTGAGTGAGTTCTCACGAGAGGTGATCATTTTATAAGGCAGTTTTCCCTGCTCTTGCTCACTCTCTCTCCTGCAATCTTGTGAAGGTGCCTGCTTCCCCTTCTGTCATGACTGTATGTTTCCTGAGGCCTCCCTAGCCATGCAGAACTATGAGTCAATTAAACCTCTTTCCTTTATAAATTACCCAGTCTTGGATAGTATCTTTACAGCAGTGTGAAAAGGGACTAATACAAGGACATTCTACATTGTAGTTAAACCACATCAATATAAGTCAGAATCATAATCAGAAACCAATTTCCTAGGAAAGGAAAGACTCTATCACCATGATTCCCACTTTTTTTTTAATCATGACAAATCACTCTCATGAAAATCAGAAATAGGAAGGCAGAATAAGACAGCCGAACAGAATCCTCCGGTGATCATCCCTCCAGCAAGAACACCAAATTTAACAACTATCCACATAAAAAAAGCCCCTTCATAAGAATGAAGAGTCAGGTAAGTGATCATAATAATATTATATTAAGGAAAGAGGCACTGAAGAGGGTAGGAAAGACAGTCTTGAATCACCTACAACATCCCTTCCCCATTCCCCAGTAGTGGCCATGGCCATGTGGCACAAAGAGAGAATCTGTGCACTTGGAGGGAGGCAGAGTGTAGTGACTGTGGGACTTTGCATTGGAACTCAGTGCTATTTTGTCACAGTGGAAAGCAGCACTGGGCAGAACTCAGTTGGCACCTATCAGAGGGAGCATTTAGACCAGCCCTAGCCAGAAAGAAATTGCCCACCCCAGGGCTCAGAACCTGAGTCCTGGCAAGCCCTGCCACCACATGCTAAAGTGTTCCGGGGCCTTCAATGAACTGGAAAGGCAGTCTAGACCACAAGGAATTAAATGTCTATGCAAGTCCTGGTGCTGTGCTGGGCTCGAAGCCAGTGGACCTGGGGGGCACGTGACCCAGTGATACACAAGCCAGGGTGGCCACGGAAATGCTTGCAACACCCCTCCCCCAATCCCAAGCAGCACAGCTCGCAGCTCTCAGAGAGACTTCTTACCTCTGTTTGAGAAGAGGAGAGGAGAAGGAAGAGTATTTTGTCTTAACATGGATAACAGCTCAGTCATGGTAGAATATGGCACCAGGCAGAATCCTGAGGCCCCCATTCCAGGTGCTAGCTCCCAGATGACACTTCTAAACACATCTTGGGCCAGAAAGGAACTGTTGCCTTGAAGGGAAGGACCCAGTCCTGGCAGAATTCATTACCTGCTGACTAAAGAGCCTTTGGGCCCTGAATAATTAACAGGAATAGCCAGGCAGGCAGTACTCATTGTGGGCCTTGGGTAAGACTAAGAGCTGTGCTGGCTTCAGGTGTGTGACCCACCACATTCCCAGCTGTGGTGGATACAGGAAGAGATCCTTTCTGCTTAAGAAAAAGAGAGACAAGAGTAAATGGGACATTGTCTTGCAGCTTGGGTGCCAGGTTGGCCACAGTGGGATAGAGCACCAAGTGGGCTCCTGGAGTCCCCAGTTCTAGGCCTTGACTCCTGGGTGGCAATTCTGGACCTGTCCTGGTCCTGAAGGGAGCCCACTGCCCTGAAGGAAGAGACTCAGGACTGGCAGCATTCACTACAAGCTGACTGAGAAGCCCTTGGGACTTGAATGAACATCAGCCATAGCCAGGCAGTGGTCACTGTGGGGCTTGGGAAAGACCCATTGCTAAGCTGGCTTCAGGTCTGAATTAACAGCCTGTATCACCCCTCCTCCAGTTCCAGGCATCTCAGCAGAGAGAGACTCCATTTGTTTGGGGGAAAGAAAAGAAGAGTCTCCACCTGGTAATCCAAGAAATTCTCTTGGATATTACCCAAGACCACCAGGGTGGTACCTCTATGAGTCTGCAAGACCCACAGTGTTACTAAGCTTGGGGTGCCCCCTAAAGCAGATATAGCTGCAGTGACCAAAGACTTAGATCCCTTTGACTACCTGGGAAGCCTTCCCAAGAAGGACAGATACAGACAAGCCCAGACTGCAAAGACTACAACAAATACCTAATCTCAGTGTCCAGACTCTGATGAACACCCACAAGCATTAAGACCATCCAGGAAAACATGACCTCACATGTTGCGGGAAGTCAGGGACCCCGAACAGAGGGACTGGCTGGAGCCTCGGCGGAGGAACATAAATTGTGAAGATTTCATAGACATTTATCAGTTCCCAAATAATAACTTTTGTAATTTCTTATGCCTGTCTTTACTTTAATCTCTTAATCCTGTTATCTTCATAAGCTGAGGATGTACGTCACCTCAGGACCACTATGATAATTGTGTTAACTGTACAAATTGATTGTAAAACGTGTGTTTGAACAATATGAAATCAGTGCACCTTGAAAAAGAACAGAATAACAGCGATTTTTAGGGAACAAGGGAAGACAACCATAAGGTCTGACTGCCTGCGGGGTCAGGCAAAAAGAGCCATATTTTTCTTCTTGCAGAGAGCCTATAAACGGACGTGTAAGTAGGGAAGAGATTACTAAATTCTTTTCCTAGCAAGGAATATTAATATTAATACCCAGGGAAAGGAATGCATTCCTGGGGAGAGGTCTATAAACAGCCACTCTGGGAATGTCTTGTCTTCTGCAGTTGAGATAAGGACTGAGATACGCCCTGGTCTCCTGCAGTACGCTGGGCTTACTAGGGTCAGGAAAAACTCCACCCTGGCAAATTTGTGGTCAGACCAGTTCTCTGCTCTAGAACCCTGTTTTCTGTTGTTTAAGATGTTTATCAAGACAATACATGCACCGCTGAACATAGACCCTTATCAGTGGTTCTGCTTTTTCCCTTTATCCTGTTCCCTCAGAAGCATGTGATCTTTGTTAGACCCTTATTAGTAGTTCTGCTTTCTGCCCTTTGAAGCATGTGATCTTTATACCTACTCCATGTTCTTACACCCCCTCCCCTTTTGAAACCCTTAATAAAAACTTGCTGGTCTGAGACTCAGGTGGGCATCACGGTCCTACTGATATGTGCTGTCACTTCTGGTGGCCCAACTGTAAAATTCCTCTCTTTGTACTGTCTCTGTTTATTTCTCAGCTGGCCGACACTTATGGAAAATAGAAAGAACCTACATTGAAATATTGGGGGTGGGTTCCCCCAATACTCACAAAACAAACTAAATAAGACACCAGAGACCAATCCTGGAGAGACAGAGATAGGTGACCTTTCAGACAGAGAATTCAAAATGGCTGCTTTGAGGAAGCTCAACGAAATCCAAGATAAAACAGAAGGAATTCAGAATTCTACCAGATAAATTTAATGAAGAGACTGAAATAAAAAGAATCAAGCAGAAATTCTGTAGTTGAAAAGTGCAACTGACATACTGAAGAATGCATCAGAGTCTCTTAACAGCAGAACTGATCAAGCAGAAGAATTAAGTGAGCTTGAAAACTGGCTATTTGAAAGTATACAATCAAAGGAAACAAACAAGAAAATAATTCAAAAAAGAATGAAGCACACCTACAAGATCTAGAAAACAGCCTCAAAAGGGAAAATCTAAGAGTTACAAGTTTTAAGGGGTGGGGGTAGAAAATTTATTCAAAGTGATAATAACTGAACTTTCCAAACCTACAGAAAGATATCAATATTCAAGTACAAGAAGGCTATAGAACACCAAGCAGATTCAACCCAAAGAAGACTACCTGAACACATTTAATAATCAAACTTCCGAAGGTCTAGGATAAAGAAAGAAACAACATTCAAAGGAGTTCCAATAGGTCTGGCAGAAGACTTCTCAGAAGAAACCTCACAGGCCAGGAGAGAGTCGCATGACATATTTAAAGTACTGAAGGAGAAAAACTTTTATCCTAAAACAGTGTACTCAGCAAAAATATCATTCAAACATGAAGGAGAAATAAAGACATTCCTAGAAAATAAAAGCTGAGGGATTTCATCAACACCAGACATTTCCTACAGGAAATGCTAAAGGAAGTTCTTCAATCTGAAAGAAAAGGATGTTAATGAGCAATAAGAAATCATCTGAAGGTACAAAACTCACCGATAGAGAATACAAAGAAAAATGGAATACTATAACAAACACTGTAATTGTGGTATGTAAACTACTTACATCTTAAGTAGACAGACTAAAAGATGAACTGATCAAAAATAGAAACAACAACTTTTGAAGACAGACAGTATAAGAAGATATAAACAGAAACAGCAAAAAGTTTTAAAAAAGCAGGGAGGTAAAATTAAAGTGTAGAGTTTTTATTAGTTTTCTCTATGTTTGTGTATTAGTTTGTTTATGCAATCACTATTAAGTTGTCATCAGTTTAAAATAATGGGTTATATTATTTTCAAGCCTCATGATAACCTCAAATCAAAAAACCTACAACAGGGAGAGGCAGGGAGAAGGCACAGCAAGATGGCTGAATAAAAGGCTCCACTGATTACCCCCACTCCTGCTCCCACAAGGACACCAATTTAACAACTATCTACACAGAAAAAGCACTTTCATAAGAACCAAAACTCAGGTGAGCACTCACAGTACCCGGGTTTAACTTCATATCCCTGAAAGAGGTGCTAAAGAGGATAGGTGTTGAATTGCCAACACCACCCCCTCCCCATCCTGTGGCAGTGGCCACATGATACAGAGAAGGAATCTGTGCAATTAGGAGAGGGACAGCAGCAGTTGCAAGGTATTGTACTGAACTCAATGGTGCCCTGTCATAGCAGAAAACAAAACTGGGCTGAACTCAGCTGATGGCCACAACAGCAGGAGCATTTAGACCAGTCCTAGCCAGAGGGGAATTGCCAATCCCGGCAGTCAGAACTTGAGTTTCAGTGAGTCTCACCAACGTGGGCTAAAGTTCTCTGGGATCCTAAATAAACTTGAAAGGCAGTCTAGGCCACAAGAGACTATACTCCTAGGTGAGTTCTAGTGCTGAACTGGGCTCAGAGCCGAGGGACTGAGGGGACAAGTGACCTACTGAGACACCAGCTAAGGAGGTGTTTTCGCCATCTCTTCCCCAACCACAGGCTGCTCAGCTCACTGCTCCAAAGAGACCCCTTTCTTCCACTTGAAGAGAGGAAAGGGTACCATAAAGAGGACTTTGTCTTACATCTTGGATACCAGCTCAGCCACAGTAGGATAGGGACCAGTCAGAGTCCTCAGGCCCCTTTTCCAGGACTTAGCTCTCAGATGACATGTCTAGATGTACCCTGGCCAGGAAGGCAACCTGCTGCCTTGAAGGGAAGAACCCAGTCCTCGAAGGATCCATCACCTGCTGACTAAAGAGCCCTTGGACCCTGAATAACCAGCAGCAATACCCAGGCAGTATGCCATGGGCCTTGGATGAGACTCAGCATATCCCCAGCTGTGGTGGCTACAGGGAGAGACTCCTTCTGCTTGAGAAAAGTGAAAGGAAAAGTAAGGGGGACTTTGTCTTGCACTTAAGTACCACCTTGGCCACAGGCGAGTAGAGCACAAAGTGGGCACCTTCACTAAAAGGAAGACAGGAATGAAGAGAAGAACACAGAACAACCAGAAAACAAAAAACAAAATGGGAGGAGTAAGCAATTACTTACCAATGATAACAGTGAATGTAAATGGACTAAACTCTCTAATCAAAAGACAAAGAATGGTTGAATGGATTAAAAAATAATAATAATAATAAAAAAAACAAGACCCAACAATCTGTTGCCTACAAGAGACATACTTCACCTATAAAGATACACATAGACTGAAAATAAAGGGATGGAAAAAGACATTCCATGCTAATGGAAACCAAAAAGAACAGGAGTAGCTATACTTATATCAGACAAAATAGATTTCAAGACAAAAACTATAAGAAGACACAAAGAAGTCACTATATACAATAAAGGGGTCAATTCAGTAAGAGGGTATAACAATTATAAATATATTTGCACCCAACACTGGAGCACTCAGATATATAAAGCAAATATTAAAGCTAAAGAGAGAGACTCTATTAGAATCACAGCTGGAGACTTCAACACCCCGCATCCAACAATGAACAGATCTTCAACAAAGAAATGTCAGGCTCAATCTGCACTTATAGACCAAATGACCTAATAAATACTTACAGAAAATTTCATCCAATGGCTGCAGAATACACATTCTTTTCCTCAGCATATGGAACCTTATCAAGGATAGACCATATGTTAGGTCACAAAAAAGTCTTAAAACATTCAAAAAATTAAAATAATATCAAGCATCTTTTCTGATCACAATGGAATAAAACAAATCAATAACAAAAGGAATTCTGAAAACTACACAAACACATGCAAATTAAACAATATGCTCTGAATGACCAGTGAGTCAATGAAGAAATTAAAAAGGAAATTGAAAAATTTCTTCAAACAAATGATAATGAAAACACAACATACCAAAACCTATGGGATTCAATGAAAGCAGTAGTAGGAGGAAAGTTTATAGCTGTAAGTGCCTACATCAAAAAAGAAAAACTTCAAGTAAACAACCTAATGATGCATCTTAAAGAATTAAAAAAGAGCAAATCAAACCAAAAATGAGTAAAAGAAAATAAATAAAAATCAGAGCAGAAATAAATGAAACTGAAACAAACAAACAAACCAATTGGAAAGACTGATGAAACAAAGACTTGGTTTTTTGAAAAGATAAAATTGACAGATCTTTAACCTAACTAAGAAAAAAAGAGAGAAGATAAAAAAAATCAGAGATGAAAAATGAGACTTTACAACTGATACTGCAGAAATTCAAAGGATCATTAGAGGCTGCTATGAGCAACTATATGCCAATAAATTGGAAAACCTAGAAGAAATGCATCATTCCCTAGACACATAAAACCTACCAAGATTGAACCATGAAGAAATCCAAAATTTAAACAGACCAGTAATAAGTAATGCAATCAAACCCATTAAAAATTCTCCCAGCAAAGAAAAGCCTGGGACCCGATGGCTTCACTGCTGAACTCTACCAAACATTTAAACAAAAACTGATACCAATTCTACTCAAACTGTTCAAAAAAAAAAAAAAAATAGAGGAGGAGGGAATACTTCCAAACTCATTCTATAAGGCCAGTATTACCCAATACCAAAACCAGACAAAGACACATCAAAAAAAGAAAACTACAGGTCAATATCCCTGATGAACTTTGATACAAAAATATACAACAAAATACTAGCAAAAGGAATTGAACAAAACATTAAAAAGTTCATTCATCATGACTGGAATTAATCCCAGGGGTGCAAGGATAGTTTAACATATGGAAATAAATCAATGTGATACATCATATCAACAGAATGAGGACAAAAACCATATGATCATCTCAATTGATGCTGAAAAAGCATTTGATAAAATTCAACTCCCTTCATGAGAAGAACCCTCAAGAAACTGGGTACAGAAGGAACATACTTCAACATAATAAAAGCGATATAAGGCAGACATGCAACTAGTATCATACTGAATGAGGAAAAACTGAAATCATTTCTTCTAAGATCTGGAACATGATAAGGATGCCCACTTTCACCACTGTTATTCAGTGTAGTAGTGGAAACCCTAGCCAGAGCAATCAGATAACAGAAAGAAATAAAGAGCATCCAATTTGGAAATGAAGTCAAATTATCCTTGTTTGAAGAGGATATGATCTTACATTTGGAAAAATCTAAAGACTCCATCAAAAAACTATTAGAACTGATCAATTCAGTAAACTTGCAATATAGAAAATCAACATACAAAAATCAGTTGCATTTCTATACACCAATGGCAAACAATCTGAAAAAGAAAGTAATCCCATTTACAACAGGTACACATAAAATTAAATACCTAGGAAATAAGTTAACCAAGGAAGTGAAAGATCTCTACAATGAAAACTATAAAACATTGATGCAAGAAATTGAAGAGGACACAAAAAAATGGAAAGATATTTCATGTTCATGGACTAGAAGAATCAATATTGTTAAAATGTCCATATTACCCAAAGCAATCTACAGATTCAATGCAATCATAATCAAAATACCAATGACATTTTTGACAGAAATAGAAATTACAATCCTAAAGTTTATATGGAACCATAAAAGACCCAGAAGAGCCAAAGCTATCCTAAGCAAAGAGGACACAACTGAAGGGAATCACATTACCTGACTTCAAATTAAATGACAAAGCTAAAGTAACCAAAACAGCATGTTACTGGCATTAAAAAACAGATACATAGACCAACGGAACAGAATTGAGAATCCAGAACAAATCCACACACCTACAGTGAACTCATTTTCAACAAAGGTGCCAAACACATACACTGGGAAAAGGACAGTATCTTCAATAAATGGTGCTGGGAAAACTGGATATCCATATGCAGAAAAATGAAACTCTGTCCACAACAAAAACCAAGTCAAAATGGATTAAAGACTTAAATCTACTATCTCAAACTATGAAACTACTAAAACAAAACACTGAGGAAACCCTCCAGGACATGGAGGGAGCAGAGATTTCTTGAGTAATCCTCCAAAAGCATAGGCAAGCAAAGCAAAAATGGATAAATGGGATCATATCAAGTTAAAAAGCTTCTGCACAGCAAAAGAAACAATCAACAAAGTGAAGAAACAACTCACATAATGGGTGAAAATATCTGCAAACTATCCATCTGACAAGCAATTAATAACTAGAATAAATAAGGAGCTCAAACAACTCTCTAAGAAAAAAATCTAATAATCCACTGAATAGACATGTCTCAAAAGAAGACATACAAATGGCAAACAGGTATAAAGAAAGATGCTCAACATCACTGACCACCAGAAAAATGCCATTCAAAACTGAAATGAGGTATCATCTCATCCCAGTTAAAATGGCTTTTATCCAAAAGACAGGCAATAATAAATGCTGTCAATGATGTGGAGAAAAGGGAACCCTCGTACACTGCTGGTGGAAATGTACATTAGTACAAACCATTATGGAGAACAGTCTGGAGATTCCTCACAAAACTAAACACAAAACTACCATATGATTCAGCAATCCCACTGCTAGGTATATACCCAAAAGAAAGGAAATCAGTATATCAGAGAGTTATCTGTACTCCCATATTTACTATAGCACTATTCACAATAGCCAAAATTTGGAAGCAACCTAAGTGTCCATCAACTGACGAATGGATAAAGAAAGTGAGGTACACAGTGGAGTAATATTCAGCCATAAAAAAAGAATAAGATCCTATCATTTGCACAACATGGATGAGGTTATTATGTTAAGTGAAATAAGCCAGGCACAGAAAGACAAACTTCATGTGTGCTCTCATATTTGTGAGGCTAAAAAAATGAAAACAATTGAACTCGTGGAGATAGAAAGTAGAATCATGGTTACCAGAGGCTGAGAAGAGTGCTGGGGGTGGAGGAAAGTGGGGATGCTTAATGGGTACAAAAATCTAGTTAGATAGAATGAATAAGATCTAGTATTTGACAGCACAATAGGGTGACTACAGTCAACAATAATGTATTACACATTTTAAAATGGCTAAAAGAGTATCACTGGATTGTTTGTAACACAGAAAAAAGAACAAATACTTGAGATGATGAATATCCCATTTACCCTGAGGTGATTATTACACATTGTATGCCTGTATCAAATATCTTATGTAACTCAGAAATATAAACATCTACTATGACCCACAAAAATTAAAAATAATTTTTTTAAAAAATTGGAAATACTTGTAGACTGTAGAATTGTTGCACTGTTTTGTGTATAGAGAATTATACAGGAATTATGGGGGTGCTTGACAAGTCTCTACTCCAAAAAACAGAGTTAAACGATCCAAATGAACAAAGGCATCAGACTACAATAGCCATACTCTTAACCTTGGAAACAACCACTCCCCTATGAAGTGCTTAGATATACTCTACCAGAATTTATCTCAGTTTGAATTTCTTTTTATTATCTTCCACAAATGGCCAGCAGGCCTTCTGATGGACGTATTTTTGTGGATATGTAAATATACACAAATTATCAAAGACTCCTGCAGGGCAGGAAACAATTCTATCAATTTCTGCAGATTTTTCAGAACTAATGTATCTGGTTAATCTTCCATTTTAACACAAGGGCAAGCATATCTCTTTAATTTTTTACTTATTTTCGAGAGGTGAGAATGGGGAGTTAGAGAAAGTGCTTCATTTTGGCTCCAAGGTATTGACAATATGACATGGAATTTTATGCTATGTACAAAGAAAACATTAGATAAAAGATTGGGTGGAAGACCTTCAAAACTTGTCCTCCCTTCTTCTACAGCAAATTTTAGCTGGCACATGGCTACCGAACTTAAGACTACACTTTCCATTTTCCTTTGCCAGTAGGTGTAGCGAATAGCTAAGTTCTCACCAAAGGAACGTGAGTGGTAGTGATGTATAACACTTTCAAGCCTTGGTCCTAATACATTGGGCATACTGTACTCTGCTATCACCAAGTCCACCAAAGGAACCATGTAAATCACCCCTGAAGGATGGCAGAGCCCCCTTGCCAGCCTGAGTACCATGAGGTCATAAGAAAGAGCCTGCCTATCAGCCCTGGACTATTAAGTGAGAGAAAAATAACCTTCTACTTTTATAAAAGTCATTGGGTCTTTTTGATGCAATTGTTTAATCTGTACCCTTACTAATAGTTATTGATAAAATTAAACATCAGACCCACATGTTAGAATCCAAAACCACTCTTTGCAAATTTATAGTACTGAAGTACTAATTTGTCAGAAAGAATATCTCAGTATAAATCTATTCCTACACACTTGATGCCTAGGAATTCATTAGTTTTTTAAGATAAAAAAGTAATGGTTAAGTCCATAGTGTTAAACCCAAGAGACAGAATTGCAAATTACTTTGGGGAAATTAAGGGGTTTCTGAGGAACACATGCATTGTCAACACTAATAATAAAAGGCAAATGGGAGTGGGGGGAGTGGGAGGAGTAGGAGAAATGATAAAGTATTCATTGTGATTTTAATTCTGCTCTCCAAGTACATTCTGGGAGTGACAGGTGTTATCTACATAATATTTTAACATTCTTATATATAAGCAGGAGCAATTTCTTTTAACATTTCTTATATGTAAGCAGGAGTAATTTCAATACCCCCAAATTATTATCTAGATTAGTTTTTCATCACAATTTACCTTAGTAAACAGTCCTTTGTTTACCTTCCCCCGCCCCCCAAAAGAGACACCCAGCCTGGGCGCAGTGGTGCAATTATAGCTCACTGTAACCTCAAACACTTGGGCTAAAGCCATCCTCCTACCTTAGTCTCCAGAGTAGCTGGGACTACAGGCATGTGCCACCATATCTAGCTTTTTCTTTTTCTTTTTTTTTTTTCTTTTTGAGACAGAGTCTTGCTCTGTAGCTGAGGCTAGAGTGCAGTGGTGCAATCTCAGGTCACCGCAACCTCTGTCTCCCAAGCTCATGTGATCCCTACACCTCAGCCTCTTGAGTAGCTGGGACAACAGGCACACACCACCACATCCAGCTAATTTTGATGCAGGGGACAGGAGGGGTTGTTGTTGTTTTTGAGACAGGGTCTTGCCCATGTTGCCCAGGATGGTCTCAAACTACTGAGCTCAAGTGATTCACCGACCTCAGCCTCCCAAAGTGCTGGGATTACAGCAAACCTAACTAATTTTTAAGCTTTTTTTGGAGAGATAAAGTCTCGCTGTGTTGCCTGGGCTGGTCTCAAACTCCTGGCCTCAAGCAATCCTCCCATCTTGGCCTCCCAAAGCACTGGGATTACAGGCATGAGCCACCGCACCCAGTCCTGTTTACCAAATTTTTAATAACATTTCCCATATTCAATGTCAACAACGAATGTGACATTAATTAATGACTGTATCTTAGTTCAACCCAATAATACCAACTTCAGTTTTATTAAGTATATTTATTCCTCTAAACAAATGAACCTGGGGTTAACACTGATTTCAAATATGGGTAGGTGTTTAGTAAAGAATCTGAGACTCTGGTGTGTAAATTCATATAGGACAGATGGCTGATATTATAAGTATTATAACCAGAAGACCACTGTTCTGCTCAAGAATTATATTGTGCCACAAACAACTTTTGATATTAACCAAAGGTAGAAACACGGATGATCAAAAATAACTTGCAAACCACTACTAGTTGGCTTTGAATGGTCTATTAATTTTTAAAAGAGATTTATTTGATTACATTTTTCTCAGAATAATATGAAAAACGACCTATGTTCCTTGGGTACAAGCCAAGTGATAAAAGCAAAACTAGTGGCTAAACCAATTCAATTTGGGTATAAAAACCCACCACAAATAAAATAGAAAGTAAACCAATTGTAAGAGATAAATGAGATTTGACTACAGGTGTTAAAAATAACATATTTTAAAACATGATTCCATGTTAGGCTCTATATGGAATCAGGCTCACAGATGTGCAACTAAAGAAAAATTGTGCTCTATTAGAGTTCACAGGCTAAGAGAAATAAGTATTTCTAGCAACTTTTAGGTGGTTGGATTACCGATCTTAAAGGTTTCTCAGAGGGCAGGGATGTTGATGTTATTAGTGCTTTTTCCTTAAAAGTCAAGGTTCTTTATCAGTACCTAAAATGAATGGGACATGACAATCATAAGCACTTCTATATGTACTCCAAATTTTAAAATGGGGCTGAGATAGTTTAGGACTCAAAAGTATACTAGGGGCACAGGCGCCAAAAAGGCGGCATATAGGAAAGCAGGACTTTTCTTCTTCTACCTTGCTACTGTGCCAAAGTATCAAACAACTTTTTGGCCTGGGTCAAGTTCCATCTTTTGATTTTGTTCAGAGCCTAAGAAATCATTGGCATGTAATAAGTGCTAAGTAATAACACACACGGTGGAGGTATAATAAATTAATATGAAATACTCCATAGGGGGTCCAATTTTATGGAATAGGCTAGTAATCCATGAGCCATATTTTTGATAAATTGGTTTATGTTACAATAAACTTTATTGTATTACAACAGATTCCGCTGGCTTGCAGCATATTACACACTTGCAAATCCCAAACCTATAAAGCATTTATTTTTATTTAAGATTGATAAAATCATGTCCATCTTAAGATGCCTCTGGGCACTTACATGGTATAAAAGTAGACACAAAATTCTAAGAAAAAGAAAGCCTGGCTCTGTTCAGATTTAGTTTTTGTTCTTTTTTAAGTACTAAACAAAGGCAGTATGTCTTATACCTGAAGGTCAACCCAAAGTGCAAACTTTATAAAGATTTATAGAATAAAAAGTCTGTCTCAAGAAAACACTGGTATCCCTGGACAGCAAAGACTTGTGCCGACTAGCAGGAGAGCTTCAGCGGTGCCTCACTGGAAGCGAATGTTAAGATACCTAAGGGCTTAAGTATAAATTTTTTAAAAACATAAAATCACTACTCTGAATTTAACTCCAAAGCAAAGCAGAGCTGTGATGTACCTCATGCTGCGTTCTATGATGTTACATGCTAGAGTGGCAATACTTTATACACAGCATCACCTTCCCATGGTCTGTACTAAACAGGGCCCTTCTCTTTCACATACATTCACAGCTTGATGAGAAGGACATCAAGTCAAGAAAACACAGTAGCTGTCTTAATGCTGGACGCAGATGCAATGATGAATAGAAACTTAAAGACAATGTTTCTGGTCAACTCAGATGAAAGACTCCTAAAGTGAAGTACATATTATTCATATTTATTCTAATTTTTGTTTTTAGGCCTCCCCTCATATAAAAAGCATGAAAAAAATGAATGTCACAATAATAGAATATTTGAACATGTTATTACTGACAATAGACAATAAGCTTCATGGTTTTGTTTTTTGTTTTACTATTACATTACCTATGCATATACAATGCCTTGCATATAGAAGGTACTCAAAATATTTGAGGAAAGAAGGGAAGGGAATACGGGAATAAGGAAGAGGGAAGAATTCAAACAGGAGGGAATTTTATAACTGGAACATGGACATAGAGGTCAATTATAAAATTTTCATTCTGGCCAGGCGCAGTGGCTCACGCCTGTAATCCCAGCACTTTGGGAGGCCGAGGCAGGCGGATCACGAGGTCAGGAGATGGAGACCATCCTGGCTAATATGGCGAAGCCCCGTCTCTACTAAAAATACAAAAAATTAGCCGGGCATGGTGGCACGTGCCTGTAGTCCCAGGTAGTCGGGAGGCTGAGGCAGGAGAATCACTTGAACCCAGGAGATGGAGGTTGCTGTGAGCCGAGATCGCACCACTGCACTCCAGCCTGGTGACAGAGCAAGACTCCATCTCAAACGACAACAACAACAACAAAATTTTCATTCTGGGATTGACCCACATTGAAATCTCTACTAAGAATTAGTCAAAGCTCTGCTTTCTTCCTCTGCTTCTAGAAAGTTTAATATAAAGTCAGCCATCTCTTCCATTTGTATATGAGTAGAAATTCTAAGGTTCCTAAGATTGCTGTCATGCTTACTAAAAAGATAAAACAGTTTTTATTTTCTGAAATAGAAAACTTATATGAACTTGACTACATATTTAACCCATAAATTTATACAGAGAATATACAGGGAGGAGAGATCAGAGATGGTTATCAAGAGAGTACAGTTATGACTCTACAGCTGGACAGGTGGCCTTCACTACTCTTTCCCTAGTTGATTTCATCTACCCAACAGCTTCAAACAACCTACATGTCAGTAACTCTCAATTTGTTATCTCTTGTATATACACAAGACCTGTTTTCTAAGAACAAGTCTTGCGTATCCAACTCTCTCTGGAAACTTCCATTTGATGACTCACATGCATCTCAAACTTGGCAAGTCTCAACTAAATGTTTGGTCTTCCCGCACCCACAGTATGTCTTTTTTCCTGGTTTCTGTATCTCAGTAAATTGTACCCCCATTCACCCAGTTTTCATGCCAAAAACCCAGTGTCAAGGATGTCTCCCTCTCTCATTCTCTCCTCTATCCATTCTCTTCCACATCCACTCTATCCATCATGTTTGTCATTACCACCCTCAAAATATACCTCAATCTCATTTTCCCCCTGCATTTCCACTGCCATCACACTAATACAGAGATTGCAAAGTGCCACCCATGAGATCCTATCTGACCGGTAAGGCTGTTCCATCTGGCCCATAGTATTTTTATAAACTACTTACTATAAACTATAAATATTAATTGATGATATTTATAAATTTAAGACTTTAACAAAACACTCTAGATTCCTTACTTCTCTTGGAAAATTAAAAAAGCTGGCAAAACTAAGCATATGATTCCACTTGCCCTAACCTGGGCGGGACTCAGGAGAGGCTACACCTCTTAACACAGGGTCTATGCTCTCTATTGCCTCCTAAAACTTAGGCCCAAAGAAAGTTGCTATTATCAATGCAATCTTATTTTGCTTATAAGGATCTGTTTAATACTTTTGTACTACCTGGCCACTGAAAGCAAACGAGTTTGTGAACTACTTTCTGTTTTATTTCTCTAACTCCATTAAAATGTGAACCAGATCATATCACTTCCCCGATTAAACCTTCTAATGACTTCACATTGTCTTAAAATAAAAATCTAAACTCTTACCTAAAAGGCCTTAACATAATCTGACCTGTCCAGTCTCATCTCCTGCCCCTCCCCTGACTCACCATGTTCTACCTGTACAAGCCTTCTTTCTTGTCCTTGTTACCAATCTACAAAGGCTCTTCGCACAGATATCCACATGGGTGACTCTTCCCTGTCATTCAGGTGTTAGCTCAAATATGACCTTCTAAAAAGGTCTCCTCTGACCACAGAGGTATTCCCCTACTTCCCCACCCAAGCCTATAACCCACCCTCACCACGTTCACTTTCTACCACCTTGTGTTATTTTCTTCACAGCAATCACTGATCTTTAACATTACCTTGCTTACTGATTTATTTACCTATTGTATATATCACCCCTCTAGAATGTAAATGATGCAGGGACCATGAATGTCTTACTTGCCACTGTAATTCCAGTGATTGGCACTTAGTAATAAATGTTTGTCAAATAAACAATGCACTACAATAAGAGCTCTTACAATTTTCAATGGGCTCGGTCAATACCCATTTACAATTCATTTCTCATTTTTTCTAATCTAGAGGCTAGCCTTTTTTGCAGGTTGGCATGCCATGACAGAGTTCATTTACTCATTCAAAAAATATACATTGCACCTGTTTGCGGTACTGAGATCAAACAACCAAAAAACCTGCCCCGCCGGGCGCGGTGGCTCACGCCTGTAATCCTAGCACTTTGGGAGGCCGAGACGGGCGGATCACGAGGTCAGGAGATCGAGACCATCTTGGCTAACACAGTGAAACCCCGTTTCTACTAAAAATACAAAAAATTAGCCGGGCGTGTTGGCGGGCGCCTGTAGTCCCAGCTACTTGGGAGGCTGAGGCAGGAGAATGGCATGAACCTGGGAGGCGGAGCTTGCAGTGAGCCGAGATCGCGCCACTGCACTCCAACCTGGGAGACACAGCGAGACTCCGTCTCAAAAAAAAAAAAAAACCTGCCCTGAAGGAATTTATAATCTAATAGGGAGGGACAGATGATAAACAAAAGTTAGTAAATTATATAGTAAGTTGGCTCTCCATATCCATGGATTCCACATCCATAGATTCAACCAATCAACTGTAGATCAAAAATATTTTTTAAAAATAATAAAAATTGTAAAACTTAAAAACCATTACAGTATAACAACTATTTACATAGTATTCACCTCATATTAGGTATTATAAGTAATCCAGAGATGACTTTAAGTATACAGGAGGATATGTGTAGGTTATGTGCAATTACTATACCATTTTATATAACAGACTTGAGTATCTGGGGATTTTAGTATCCATGGGAGTCCCCATGGATACTGAGAGACAACTATATATTATAAGCTGATAAAACTGAATAAAAACATAAGGGGCAAGAGAGAGTGCTGTAAATGTGTGTCAGTGAGTGTGTGTGTGTATGTGTGTATATGTATGTATATGGGGAGGGTGCTACAATTTTAAATAGAGTAGTCAGGAAAGGGCCCACTGAAAGGGTGTCATCTGAGGAAAACTGGAAGGAGGTGAGAAATGAAGCATTCCAGGTAGAGGGAACAGCAAGTGTACAGGATCTGTAGCAGGAGCTCATCTGGTGTGGAACAGCAAGGAGGCCAATGCGGTTGAAGAGTGATGAGGGTGTGGGCCAGGCTCGGTGGCTTATGCCTATAATCCCAGCACTTTGGGAGGCCAAGGCAGGCAGATCACCTGAGGTCAGGAGTTCGAGACCAGGTTGGCCAACGTGGTGAAACCCTGTCTCTACTAAAAATACAAAAATTAGCCGGGCGTGGTGGTGGGCACCTGTAATCCCAGCTAGTTGGGAGGCTAAGGCAGGAGAATTGCTTGAA